>NC_000022.11:49025639-49341714 GCF_000001405.40 Homo sapiens | reverse complement strand
CAAACAAACCTCTGGTCACTTCCAACTTTTCTTCGACAGCTTTCTCCCTCTCTCAGCCTTCATGGAATTGAAGAGAATCAGAGTCTTGCTCTGGATTAGGCTTTGGCTTCAGGGAATGTTGTGGTTGGTTTGATCTTCTCTCCAGACCACTCAAACAATAACGCTGTTTTGCTTTCTTATCATTCGTGAGTTCAGGGAGGCGTATTTCAAGAAGTTTCCCTTCACATTCACAATGTGGATAACCGTTTGGCATAAGAGTTTTTGGTCTACCCTGGCTTTCAACGTTCCTTCCTCACTCAGCTTAATCATTTCTAGCTTTTGATTTAAAGTGAGAGATGTGTGACTCTTCCTTTCACTTGAACACTTAGAGGCCATGGTGGGGTTATTCATGGGCCTCACACCAATACTGCTGCATCTCAGGGAAGAGAAGAGGACAGGGAGAGAGGTGTGGGAATGGCTGGTCTGTGGAGCAGTCAAAACACACACATTTATCAATTAAGTTCACCGTCTTATGTGGTCATAGTACATGGTGTCCCAAAACAGTTACACTAATAATATCCAAGATCACTGACTGCGATAAAAAATGTAATAATAAGACCAGATGTGGTGGTTCATGCCTGTAATCCCAGCACTTTGGGAGGCTAAGACAGGAGGATCACTTGAGCCCAAGAGTTTGAGACCAATTTAGGCAATAGAGATCTCATTTCTACAAATTTTTTAAAAAATTAACTGGGTGTGATGGTGGCCCCTGTAATCTTAGCTCCTTGGGAGGCTGAGGTGGGAGGATCGCTTGGGTCTGGGAGACTGAGGCTGCAGCGAGCGTGATTGCACCCACTACACTCCAGCCTGAGGAACAGAGTGAGACCCTGTGTTGGGATAATCACCAGAATGGGACAGAGATGCAAAGTGAGTACGTGCTGGTGGAAAACTGGCACCAATAGGCTTGCTCGACACAGGGTTCCCACCAACCTTCAATTTGTCAAATAGGCAACAACTGCAAAGCACAGTAGAGTGGAGCTCAATAGGACACGGCACAGCTCAGGGGCCCTGGGTGTGCTCTGCCATGCTCAGGCTGGGGAGCCAGGGGAGGACTCTGTGTGATGGGCATTGGCACTGGGAGACACGCGGAGGAGACAGGACGTGACCTCACCCTGGCAAGAAGGTTGGACAAGGCACAGGCCGGCCTCCCAGTGAAAATAACAGACAGAAGCCAGGAGGAAGAACCACTCAGGATTGGGAAGAGCCGTTAAATAAGTTACACACAAAGAAGATAAGAACAGGACTCTATCTTAATGCTAGAAGAAGAATATGAAGAAGAGGGAGGAGGAAGAGAAGAAGAAGAAGAAAAAGAAGGAGGCTGGGATTACATGCCTGTAATCCCAGCACGTTGGGAGGCTGAGGTGGGCAGACCACCTGAGGTCAAGAGTTCGAGACCAGCCCGCCCTGCCAATATGGCAAAACTCCATCTCTACTAGAAATACAAAAATTAGCTGGGCATGGTTGTGGGCACCTGTAATCCCAGCTACTTGGGAGGCTGAGGCAGGAGAATCACTTGAACTCGGGAGGCTGAGATTGCAGTGAGCTGAGATCGTGCCACTGCACTCCAGCCTGGGCGACAGAGTGAGACTCAGTCAAAAAAAAAAAAAAAAAAAAAAAAGAAGAAGAAGAAGGAGAAGAAAAGGAAGGAGAAAAAGTAGCTCTGATAAGCCATGGAGAGCCACTAAAGGTGTCTGGAGAAGGATTTCTGCTTTCATAAAAAATGGAGTAAAAGAGCCCAGATATACTCTCCACAGGAAACAAACCCAAATGGGTAAAATATATAAAACCCAACCCAAAATGGGCAAACTATATGAAACAATGTGTTATTCTGAGACTGTTATTAAGATAACAAAAGACAGTGATTCCTGAGCAGGGGAAAGCAGGGTAGGTGAACCCAGGGACTGTCCTGATTATTACCTAGAGGCAGTACACAGACAGGGCCAGTGGACATCCGGAGTGGAGGAGACATTACTGAGAGTTTAGGGAGATCAAAGCAGACAGCGTTCAAAGCTTGGGGTGCGATGGAGGGGAGGCCTTCCGAGAGAAAGAATGACACGGGTCTGCAGAGGGTCTCCCTCAAATATTCCTGAGTGTTTATCAGCATAGGCACGTGAGGAAAGTGCCTGAAGCCAGGAAGAAAACTGCTGGGCAGGACACGTCTGTGCTCACACCGAGCTATGAATGATGCCTGCTCCCCACAGACAGACCAACCAACCAACAAAACTAGGACTTGTGGGCATCCAGCAGGGTGCACAGAAGGGCCCGCCCCTGTCATGGAAATAGACTGAGCATTGCTTCGGTTCTGCTGAACAAATCCTAAAAGCAAGCTCCAAGAAGATGAACCTGTTTCTGTGTAACTTAACTACATCCCAAAACAAAGCTCAAATATATACATACATATATGGGTGTGTGTGTATATATCTATATATACAGAGTCTCACTCTGTTGCCCAGGCTGGAGTGCAAAGGCACAATCTTGGCTCACTGCAACCTCCACCTCCTGGGTTCAAGTGATTCTCATGCCTCAGCCTCCTAAATAGCTGGGATTACAGGCGCCCACCACACCTGGCTAATTTTTTTTTTTGTATTTTTAGTAGAGATGGGGTTTGGCTATGGTGGCCAGACTGGTCTTGAACTCCTGACCTCAGGTGATCCATCCACCTCAGCCTCCCAAAGTGCTGGGATTACAGGCATGAGCCACTGTGCTCGGCCCAAAGCTCAATATATTTAGGAGCATGAAAATATCCATCACCCAACAAGGTACAATTTACAATATCTGGCATCCAGTAAAAAATTACCAGGCATGCAGGAAAACAGGATCCATAATGAGGAGAAAAATCAATCAACTGAAATTATCCTGAAAAGGCACAATTTTGGACTCCCAGTAAAGGATATTAAAAGGCCATTTTGTAATGAGAAAAGGGTTATTGCATCAAGAGGACATAACACTTTTAAACATTTATGCACGTAACAACAGAACTGAGCTTCAAAATTCATGAAGCAAAGACTGATAGAACTGCTGGGAGGAACAGAAAAATCCGCAGTTGTAATTAGAGATTTAAATATGCCTGTTTCAATAATATATAGAAAAAGTCGACAGAAAATCAGTAAAGATACAGAAAATTTAAGCAACACTATCAACCAACTTGACCTAATGGAAATTTATGGAATGCTCCACCAAATAACAGCAGAATACACATGACTTTTAAGTCCACATGGAATATTAACCAAGGAAGACCATATTTTTGGTTATAAAACAAGTCTCAATAAGTTTAAAAGGATTTCAAGTCTTATAAAGTATGTGTTCTTACCACAATGGAGTTAAATTAGAAATTAATAACAGAATGATCTTTAGACAATCTCCCAATGTTTGGAAACTAAGTAACATTTCTAAATGACCCATGGATCAAAGAATAAATCAAAAGATATCTTAAGAAGTATTTTGGACTGAATATGAAATACAAAAAAAAAGAACTAAAATACAAACATTAAAATATATCATCATGTATGAGATGTTATCAAAAGGGTAATTAGGGGAGAATTTATATCTCTAAAGGCCAATATTAGAAAAAAAAATCTCAAATCAACGATCTTCATTTCCACCTTCCAAAATTAGAAAAAGTAAAGAGGGGAAAAAAAACAATAAAGATCAGAGTGGAAATCACTGAAATAGATGAAAACAGAAAAACAGTTGAGAAAATAACTGAAACAAAAAGTTCATTCTTTGTGAAGGCAAATGCAATTGATAAGCCTCTAGCCACACAGCTCAGGAAAAAAAGAGAAAAGATATAAATTACTGCTATGAGAGTTGGAAGAGGAATCATTGCAGGTGCTCCAAATATGAAAGGGATAATGAGGCAATATCATGAACAACTTTATGGCAATAAATTCAACAACTCAGAGGAAATTGAAAAATTCTTCACAAACACAACATACCAAAACTCACTCGAGAAGACATAGGTAATATGAATATCCCTATAGCTAGTAAAGACATTTCAGATAAGGAAAACAAAAACAAAAACAAAAACCAAACTTTAAACTTTCCCACAAAGAAAACCCAAGGCCCAAATGGCTTTGCTGGTGAATTCTCCAATCCTTCCAAACATTTAAAAAAGAAGTAAGGCCAGGCGTGGTGGCTCACACCTGTAATCCCAGCACTTTGGGAGGCCAAGGTGGGCGGGTCACGAGGTTAGGAGATCGAGACCATCCTGGCTAACACGGTGAAACCCCGTCTCTACTAAAAATACAAAAACATTAGCCGGGCGTGGTGGCGGGTGCCTGTAGTCCCAGCTACTCTACTCAGGAGGCTGAGGCAGGAGAATGGTATGAACCCAGGAGGCGGAGGTTGCAGTGAGCTGAGATGGCATCTCAAAATCAATCAATATAATTCACCACATTGCCAAACCAAAAAATTAAAACCGTAGGATCATCTCAACAGATGCAGAGAGATACTCGATGAAACCCAAGACCATTTTCTGATACGAAGCCTCAGTGAGGCAGCTGCCGAGAGGAACACGCTCAACCCGATGGGCCTGCCTTGAAATGCCGACATCTAACACCAAGGCGCAAGGTGAAGGAGTGAGTCCCTTTCCCCCAAGATGAGGAAAAACAGAGGGTTTCTGTTCTCACCACTTTGACTGAACTTTGTATTAAAGATTTCAGCCAGCGTAATAATAAAAGAAAAAGAAACAAAAGGCATGTGATTTGTTAAAAGGAAGCAAACTGTCTTCATTCACAGACAACATGATCATCTAAGTAGAAAATCTGACAGAATGTACAAAAAAGCTTCTAGAACGAATGAGTAAAGTGATAAGTGAGTTTCAAAGGGTGGCAGGATATAAGATTGATAAATGTACATCGACTGGACAACTGGCCATTACTTACAAGTTAAATGCATACCTACTCTAGGGTCCAGATACTCGGTTCCTAGGGAATTACTTACAAGAAACGACATCAGCCGGAAACGGTGGCTTATGCCTGTAGTCCAGCACTTTGGGAGGCTGGGGTGGGTGGATCACTTGAGGTCATGAGTTCGAGACCAGCCTGGTCAACATAGTGAAATCCTGTCTCTACTAAAAATACAAAAATCAGCCAGGCATGGTGGCGGGCATCTGTAATCCCAGCTACTAGGCAGGCTGAGGCAGGGAGAATCACTTGAATCCAGGAGGCGGAGTTTGCAGTGAGCTGAGATCGTGCCACTGCACTCCATCCTAGACAACAGAGTGAGACTCTATCTCAAAAAACAAACAAACAAACAAAAGCCTGACATCATAGCTCCATGAAAAGACTTGAATATGAATAGACATAATAGTTTTATTGTCGTAGCTCAAACTGCAAACAACCTAAAGGCCATCAACAGATGAATGGCTACATAAACTTTAGTCAATCCACATAATGGATGACTATTCAGCAGGATAATGAATGGAGCATTGATAATTTTTTGATAATTGATCATTACATTGATAATGTAACAACATGGGTGAATCCCAAGATAACAAAGCCGTGTGGAAGCATCCCCACAAAAGAGATGATATGTTGCACGATTCCATTTATATAAGATTCTGGTAAACGTACACTAACGTGCAGTGATGGAGAGCAGCTGGGACGTGGGAGGAGCAGGCAGTCTGGGAGGAGGGAGCACAGGAGCTTTTGGGGGCAATGGGTAGATTCATTCTCTGGATTATGGGGATGGTGTCTCAGGTCTGCATATACGTCAGTGCTTAGGAAAGTGTATGCTTTAAATATATGTTATTGCATGTCCACCTCACCTAAGTAAAGCTGGCTTAGAAATGTAAAAAAACATGGGGTAGTGGTTGAATAAAAAGCCTATTTCATCTTAGAATTCTACTGTTAAAATTTGGCTCCGGCCACTATTAAGGTGAAAAAAAAATCCAGCTTTAAATTGTTAAATTCTGTTATTATTTGTATGTAAATAATTCATTCTTTTGGAAGAATGAATTATCTGGATAATTATAGACTGCCAGCACTCATTCCCTATGACCAAGGCGATGGCATACTTCCTTATCCAAACTAGACCACTTCTTCTTCTTCTTCTTCTTTTTTTTTTTCCTCTCTTGCCCAGGCTGGAGGGCAGTGGTGTGATCTCGGCTCACTGCAACCTCCGCCTCCTGGGTTCGAGCGATTCTCCTGCCTCAGACTTCTAAGTAGCTGGGATTACATGCACCTGGCTAATTTTTTTATATTTTTAGTAGAGACGGGGTTTCACCATGTTGTCCAGGCTGCTCTCAAACTCCTGACCTCAGATGATCCGCCCACCTCAGCCTCCCAAAGTGCTGGGATTACAGGCATGAGCCACCGCACCCAGCTAAACTAGGCCACTTCTGAGAACAAGGCAATAGATGACCACTGAGGCTGCCCTGGCAAACTGACCGAAGGTCATCTCATCTGGCCGAGGCCCCTGCTCCCATCGGTCCCCACAGGACATTCGGGACTCACCGTGGGCCACACCTCACTCCTGCATCCTGGACCCCACACCTTCATGGAACCTGCTCTCCCATCCCCACTTCCTGGGCCTTCTAGATTGGTGGTGGGCACTGGGCACCCTCCCCCGATCCCCCTACCATGATTCCAGCAGGGAGTGTGTGTCCCGCAGGGCCTCTTCGAGTTCCTGCCATTCCTGGTCCTCAGCAAATCTTTGGCAGAAGAGTAAATGAATCGTCACAGACCTTGTTGGATACAAAGTTGCTGTGGTCAGTGTGAAGTCTCACGTTTCAGCGAATTTTCCTGGCATGGGCATTTGTGGCACAGAAGCCGGGTGGTCACCCGAGCACCCCCAAAGGCTGCAGCACACGTTCCGGTGGTGGGGGCTGTGGGGGCCTGCACGGGAGGATCCTGGGGAAAGTGCTGGCCTTGTCTGCTCAGCTCTGAATGTAGACACAGCAGCTTCTCCACGGGAGACTCACTGCTTCCTTCCCCAAGGTCTCACTCTCAGACTGAATTAACACGTTGAAGGGTTCCCGTCTCAGCTTTTCCCCAAGGCATGCCTTTCAAAGAATGTTCCCTGAGTTGTGAATGGCAGCAGAGCCCTTTTTAAGTAGAAGGTTATTTTACTTCGGTATCTACTGGTGATTCCCAGCTTAAAACTAAACAGCTGGGGAATCCTCCATGAAACCTGTAGAGTTTCCATGGCAACCTTTGTCCTAGAAAGGCAGGCCAGGGACCTGCCATTCTGCAGCCCCACCTCGCTCCAGATCTCAGGGGTCCTGAGCCTGCTCCGCAGGTGAGGTGGCGGAGGGCGGGGGGCGGGGGCACAGGGTCTGGGCCTGGGGTTTCCTCGGCCGGGGAGGAGGCTCTTCCATGGCATGAGCACAGCCTAGCAGTTCTCTGAACAAAACCCCTTCCCAGCCAAAGCCCCCTTTCCTGAGTGAGGGAGGAAGTCCCTTTTGATAAACCAGCTCTGGTCAGAGAGCACTTGTCTGCATGCAAAGTTGGTCTGGAGAGGTTTCCGCTTCTATTAGGGATGCCTGTAGTCCCAGCCACTCGGGAGGCTGAGGCAGGAGAATGGCTTGAACCCGGGAGGCAGAGCTTGCAGTGAGCCGAGGTCGCGCCACTGCACTCCAGCCTGGGCGACAGAACGAGACTCCGTCTCAAAAAAAAAAAAAAGGATGCAACCATCGTGAACAGTTGCACGACAGCCCCTCCCGAGATGCCTCTCGTGTGTCTGGCACCGACGTGCACGGTCACAGCACCTGGACTCAGTGACTGCGATTCCATCGTTCAGAGCCACGTGAGGCTCTGGGGCCGGCACTCACCTCCAGGCGGGGTCCCTCCTGCCCATGCCCCCATCCGGGCTCCCAAAAACCACTTCACTTTCCTCCAGGATAATTAGAGGAGAAAATACAACGTGTCACTTGAAAGGATTCAAATTCCACCTATTATTTCAGAAGTTAAATAAAAAAGATCCCCAGGGAATGGGAGAGGCTGAGGAGCCATTAGCTAAACAGTGGGACTCAAATCCAGTTACATATTTGACAGCCTGTAAAAGGCTTTGGAAGCTGCGTGAACATTTTGACAAGTCTGAGATGAACAGGAAAACGGCCCCGGGAGATACCTGAGCAAGTGCGGTCCCCTTAGGAGGCTGCTAGGGAGGGAGAACGGCCGGAGAAAGTGGGAGGTTCTCAACCTGACGCAGGCCAGGGGTTGGGACTTCATTTCTTCTCCATCGCAGCCTGTGTCTCCAGCGGGCCAGCCCCAGAGAGAGCTCACACCTGCTAAGCCACGGGGCACTCCGTGTCGACCTGCGGCAAAACTGTGAATGGTCTGACTTCAACATGCCTGAAAGTGCACAGAGAAACCCAGGCAGGAGGCACCAAGTCGTGGCTGATACTCTGGGACCGCAGGGGCCGGGGTTGGGTGGTGGCGCCGCGTCCAGGGCAGCAAAGCTTCCCGCACACGCTGTCCCTTCTGAGCACCAGAGCCGAGACCTGCTTCTAACGCTGGACCCAAGCGATGAATTATTGCTACAGAGCGGCCGCTGGCGACTTGATCCTGGACTTCCAGCCTTCAGGACTGTGAGGAATAAATGTCTGTGGTTTATAATCCCCCAGCGTATGGTGCTTTGTTCCAGGAGCCTGGTTAGACTAAGACACCAAATATTCCTTATTGAAATCCTGCCTCCTCCCTTGCCCCCAGCTCTGAGGTTGCTCAGGAAATCAAAGCTCCTCGTACCATGAGCGTCTCTCTGATGGACCATCAGTTCCTTCCTCATGTAGGCTCCTCTCCAGCGCTGGCCCTTCCTTGGTGGGAGTGCCTGGATCCCACCTGCTGCAGCCTCTTCTCTGTCCCTCAGCCTCTGGAATTATGGTGAGTTGTGAACATCCGGCTTGACAATGAGGCGCGGACTGGCATCTGTGAAATGTGAAATTGCAGATTGTGGAAAGAGGATCCCATGAAGTTGAAGGAGTGATACGAGGCCCTGTCGTAGGTCCAGGAGGCCTCCAGGGACAGCAGAGTCTCGCATGGCGGTGCTGGGGCTGGGCAGAGCAACCCCAGCTTCACAGGATGGGCTTTGGCCCTGGAAGACATGTTTGCAGAGAAGACTTTGTGACAGGATCAAAAACATTGCAGGGGACAGCCAGGGAATCTTATGGTCTTTCTTACAATTGGTTAAGAACAGGACTTAACATTTGATTTTTTCTTCGTCTAGTCTAATAATGACACAAGCTTATGGCTATCATCATAACCCACATTTTGTGAAACATAAAATAAAATGAGCTGATTCTCGTAATTGTTAGTTCTATTTGTAAAGATAAGATCCATATCAGGGGTCAGCCAGCTACAGCCTGGGCACCAGACTCCACCCATAGCCCGCTTGTGAAAATGAATGTTTGCTGGAACACAGCTGTGCTCTATTGTGTCTGTGCCATCTGTGGCTGTCTTTGTGTTTTGAGGGCTCCATGCACCCCACCTTCGGTTCTCCTGCCCCCATGTGCTGTCTCCTTTCCTGTGGGACCTGGGACTTCCCTCTCAGCCACAGAATGTGGAGCAGGTGAGGACATCACTCTTGTGCCTTTTCCATTGGATAGGACGTCTCCTCTGCGGTCGCCCTTGCTGCCATGGAAGACAGTGGCTGCCGTGCACAGGCTGCATGGCTGGGAAATGCAGATGGCCTCCAGGAGCTGTGTGTGACTTGGAGCAGCAGGACAGCAGGACCCGGGTCCTCAGTCCTGTGGCCACAGAGAAATGAATTATTCCAGCACGGGAGGGAGCTGAGAGGCAGGTCCTTCCTCGGTCAAGTGTCCAGATGAGAACACAGCCGCAGGCAGCACCTCGATTGCAGTGGAGCCATGCCTGGATCCAACCCACAGAAGCTGTGAGGCCATGAGTGCGTGTGTAGTAAACCACTAACTTCGTGGCAGTGTGTGAGACAATAGGAAACTCGTGCACTCTGCCACAGCAGAGTGGAGTCATTTTGGTAGGAACCATATGGCCTAAAAACACAAAATACGAAATATTCATTATCCAAACCTGGACAGAGAAGTTGGAAAGGACTGCATTCAAGCACATTTGTTGGAGACCTGCTGACTCAGCAACAAGGCTTTGCAGATGTGAGGTCCTGATGTTTGACCTGGGTTTGGTTTTGGGGTGAGGTTCAGGCCTCTCTAAACACAGGAGACCAGATGTCCATGCATTCTACTCAGTAGCAATAACTGGCTGCTTTCAGGTCATTACACCAGCAAGTTACAGCAAACGTGTTGATTTTAGCTGCCACACTTCCTCCAGGCTGACTAATTGGCTCTCTGATTAGATTGGTGTTTCAATGTATTAGTGGTCAAATCAGCCGACTCCTAGAATGAAGACTCGTCCACCCCGCCCGCCGCCAGTCACCGCTGTTTCTTCAGGAAGCTGAGCCGGGTAATTAGGACCAACCCAGTGAGGCCCAAGGGCTGACAGCCGTTAGGTGACCAGTGGACAGTGAAGGGTAACCTCAAAATTGGCGACTCTGATTAGAACGGATAACTCGTTCCCACGATGGGTGGAAATAGCTTTGTTTACGTCTCTGGCTGCTTGACAGCAGCGATGCTTCTCAGGACACCGAGATTGTCCTGTGGAATGACCCAGCTGTGACCCCAGAAGATCTCCAATGCGTGAGGCCGCGTGTCCATGGTCTCCGTAAAGCCTGACCTAAAGGCTGTTCTGACCGGAATACACAGCGACGCGTCTGACACACAGACTGTGTAAATGAGGCCAGGGGTCCTCATTCTCTTCCCTTTAGATGTTGTTTTTTCTCCCAAGTAGTTTTACTTGGTTTAAGTCAAGTATGTAAATCCATCTTTCTTTAGTTGAGTCAAGGGCTCATGGCCAGGGCAGGCTGTTCATGGCTCCAGATCGCTGCCCCTAGGAGTCCCCAAGTCTTGTCCATGCCCAGGGGATCCTGAGCCAGATCCCACACTGCCCTTCCCCCAGGGTGCCTGCTGGTCTCGGGATGGCCTTGGTCTTGCAGCAGGAGACATACCTGACCAGACTGGCCAAGTGTTACCCACGGTCCATGCCTTCCCCTCTGACCTGGCTTCTCTCCTCCACAGAGGCACCTAGATGCTGGCTCATGCCTGAGCCTGAGCAAGCACTAAAGTGCAGAGTGTCCAATGTCTGCTTTTCCCAGGGTCTCAGTCAGCTGGGGCTGCTGGAACAAAGTCCCATGGACTGAGTAACTTACAAATGGCAGGAGTTTATTTCTCACAGTTCTAAGGGATGGAAGTCCAAGATCAAGGCGTCGGCAGCCCCGGTGCTGGTGAGGACCTGCTTCCTGGTTTAGAGAAGTGCCTTCCTGCTGTGTCCTCAGGTGGCAGAAGCTCTCCGAGGCCTCCTTTATGGCAGCACTAACTCCATTAATGAAACTTCTGCTCCATGGCTTCATCACCATCCAAAGGCCCGCCTTGTAAAACCATCATCTGGGGGCTGGGGTTTCAACACAGACATTCTGGGGGGACACAAACATTCAGTCCACTGCAGCCAAGGAGAACCAGCAGAGAACCAGTCAGCCTCAGAAAGAACACTTGCTGTCCAGCTGCACCGGTCTTGCTGTCTGCGCATGAACCTTGCTCACCCAATCTGCCCTAAGGGTGTCTGCTAAGCCCTGCTCACCCCTGCCTATAGGGGAACAGGCCTTTTCTGTATGATTTTGAGATGCTTGCAGATTCTGAGTGTTCAGCCTTTTGGCATAAAGTTTCTCCTTTTCCATTTGGATTTGTTTAATTTGACGTAATCTGGGAGGGGAAGATGGCATCGCATGGGCACCTGAGGCCCTCATAGAAAAGCTGGAGCCCCAGCCTTCCTGTAGGACTGCATTTCTGTCTCTCTTCCTAGTGTAAAAGGGGCACTTCCCAGGGCCTGGGTCCTCCTGCCTGTCTCCAACAGGAGCCATCCCCAGAGAGGTGCATGTCGTCTCTGCCCTGGATCCACTGGCTGGACTTGGGTCATGCGGCCACAGTCCTGCTCAGGGGCTCAGGCATGAAGTTGGCCAGAGTTTGAGGGAGAAAAAGGAGTATTTGTGGTGGTTTTAGCCGTCTCTGCCTTGCTCCTGCTTGGTTTATGTCATGTAAAAGTGGAGAGGCTGGTCCCTCTAAAACAGATGTGTTTAATGACACATTCACCTCCAATCCCATCAGTCCAACCAGTCTTCATTCCTGCGTTGATGGATAAGACTCATCTAAGTGCTTTCGAGAAACTCAAGTGTGTCTTTTCTGCTTTGCTTGAGTTTGCATATTTGAAGTGTTAGAGCCGGTTAAGCTGAAGAAGTGATTTTCAACCTTCTTAGAGGAGGACGGACCACTGTTTCTTGCATGCAGAGGGCTGCCCTGTGCACGTGGGGCTGCTGAGGGGCATTGAGACCTCCCTGAGATCCAGCAGCAACTCCTCCTCAATTATGATGACCAGAAATGCCTCTAGACATTGCCAAGTGTCTCCTGGGGGCAAATTAGCTTAGCTGCCTTCTCATGTCTTGTCACTCCTGTGAGACATTGATTGGGGAGTGAGACATGTCCAAAGGCCTGGAGGCTTGCACCTCAGCAGACACCTATCTCAGCTCAAATTTACCAAAACAGACAACAAGCATGTTACATTATTCTGAACACAGAGGTCATTGTTCACTTGATAATGACTGGGTAACTACTGCAGGTGTGGCCTGGCCTGCCCTGAGAAAGCACCACAGATTATGTGGCTATCTCAGCCAGAGGCCAGAAATCTGAAATCAAGATGTTGGCAGGATCCTGCTCCCTCTGGAGGCTCTGGGGAGATCCTCCCTTGACCTTCCAGCCTCTGGAGGCTCCAGGCTTTCCATGGCTGTGGTCACGTCGCTCCATTCTTGCCTCCATTGTCCTGTGGCCTTCTCCTCAGGTGTTGTGTCCGAATTCTCCTCTTCTTGTAAGGACACTGGTCAGGGCCTAGGCCCGCCCTCCTGCAGTGCACCTCACCTTAACCACCTGCAAAGACTGCGTTCCTAAGAAGGATGTTCATAGGTGTTTGGGGCTAGGACTTAGCATCTCTTTTTGGGGGACATATTTCAACCTTCGACACCCACCATGTACCACGTGCTGGTAGTCCTGAGCCCCAGGGCCCACACACCCTTGGGTGAGCAGGAGATGGACTTTCTAGAAAGGTCTACAGGCTTATAGGAACCACACATGAAATGAGATTTGAATGCCGTCCAATGAGAACCAGATCCTCTTCTCCCTGAATGCACTCGTTCCCAATTTGCTCCACTGACACTCTTGAAGCATCCCTGGGATGCACGCACTAAGACAGATGGGGCCGTGCTGGGGGCCCTGTGACCCCACTCTGATGCCCCCAACTGTGGGTCCCCTCCACCATCAACCCCTGGTGGTCAGGGCGATGTGCAGGAGGGATGTGTGGAGGGCCCAACAAGTGCTGACCCACATGGCTGGGAGTTCCTCCTGCAGCTGAACACTGGAGGAGCTCTGAGAGGAGGGGAGAAGGTGGAGCCCCTTGCGTCATCAGGGTTGGCCGTGTGTGTCCCTGGGGCTCCTTGGAGTCTGTGGTGGCCACTGAGATGAGATTCAGAAACAGAAAATAGGGTCACACAGGGCTGACGTCCCATGCAGGTGCCACGGAAATAGAGGTCTCCAGACCCAAAACCCTTAAGAGCATCATAGCCTGTGGTGTGGGGTGAGGGGTCCCCACTGGGTTCCTTAGGAGTGCATGTTTGCTCCTTGAACCTTGAAGGCTAGGCAGTGAGCCAAGGCCATGCAGTCCAGCTGAGGAACAGATGTCCCCGAGAACCCAAACATCCCGAAGCATTTCTGGGAACCTACCAAGAAAAAGAGTCTCATTGTACACAGTAGGCAAACAGCCAGAAAATTAGCTTAAAAGCCGCTTAGAGATAGTGGTGGGGCAGATCCCTGGAGCTGTCCTGATACTGCCTGGGAGTGCCTCCTGTGTGAGTCCTAAAAAACTCATCTCCTTACCAAGTAGGGCTTGTCCCAGGCATTCTTTGGCCCCTCAGCTCCCTCCCAGCTTGAGGGTATGTTACAGCCCCACGTTTTTCTTGTAACACATAGCCTGTGCCCTCCTTTCCCTCCAGCCTCCCCTGGGGAGTGAGCTTTGAGCTGACCCTTGCCTGGGCGGCTTTTCTCTAAGCATCAGGAATGTCCTGAGCATCCTGCCCAATGGTCACAGGCTTGACAGACCTCCGGACATTTGGCCAGGACTTCAATTTTCAGATTTAATTTCAAACCAAATCACTCCCATCGCTATTGTATTCCAGTGTTGTATGAACACTCTGAAGAAAGGATGTCTGCACACACTCTGATTTTGTACCTGGGGAAACAGGCTCAGGCCAAGTCCATGCCTTCCTCATGGTCACTGCGTTGGAAGGTGAGGGAACCCAATGTTCTTGCTTTCTCTTCTTTGATTTCTGTCATGACACAGTCACATCCTTTGTCTCCTTTTGCATGTGGGGTTCTCTTATTTTAATTTGCAAGTTTCTCAAACTCATGCATTTGCTTAGCCTGTATTGGGGTTGGTGGAGCAGAAACCTCTTTTGAACCCAAACCCAAAGATCATGTGAGAGTCAGACTTCACAGGGATTTATCATGATTGCACCAGTCATCTTGGACTGCATAACAAATGCTACAGGCTGGGCAGCTTAAACAACAGAAATTTATTTTCTTGCAAGTCTGGAGCCTGGAAATCTAAGATCGAGGTGCCCTTAAGTTTGATGCCTGGTGAGGGCTCTTCTTGTCTTGCAGACAGCACTTTTTCACTGTGTCCTCACATGGCAGAGAGAGAGAGAGGGACAGAGAGAGAGAGAGAGACAGAGACAGAGGCTGGGAGAGAGAGGGAGAGAGAGAGAAGAGAGCCCTGGTACTCATCTTCCAGAGACACCAGCCCTGTTGCATCAGGGCCCCGCCCTCAAGACCTCAGTTGGTCTGAACCTCCTCCTTGCAGGCCCACTTCCTACAACATCACATTGGGGTGAGGGTTTCACCATAGGAATTTGGGGGAACGCAGTTCGGTTCTTGTTTCTCCGTGCCTGCATGCGAGTGTCTAGGCTGCATCCTCACTTTTCCAGCTCTCTTCAGGAGGAAGTCACACTTCATGGCCCAAGGTGAACATGTAGATCAGTCTTTCTGGAGGGATGCTGAGCCCTCGGGCCCACAGCGGTGCCACCCGGCTGCCTCACTCAGGGCTACGTGTGATTGATTTAGCAATTGATTTTTCTCTTTGCACAAAATTCTCATCCCATAGCCTTAATAGGACCGATTATTCATCAATATTAAAGCAGCAAATTCATTATAGTCTAATAATCTGACATCAAATATTAAATCTTATTGTGTGAGGAGCTGGGATTTACAGCCCCATCCAGGGTCTCAGGTGAGCAGCTCAGCTCCCACAGAGGGGCAATAACAGGATTGGTGACTGCATCCTCACCTTCCAGGCGACGTGGCTGCAGCACCCACTGTGAGGCCAGGAAACCTTCGTGACCTGTGGGGCGCTGGCAGTTGAGGAGAGAAGGGCCTGGGAGTCGTATTCTCTGCATCGCCTCAGCACAGGGGATCTTCCAGGCTCTCCTTCTGAGGTCCGCCATCCGGCCATCAGCAGAAACACTGTCCAGCATCAGATGCTGTCTGGGCTCAGGTCTGATCCCCTCAGAGCCTCACTGCCGGGCACTAGTGGCTGCCCGAGGGCCTTGCTGACCCAATAGGTCTTCTAGAAGTTTCCAGAGCACGTGTTTTATTTCTGAATTCTGTGCCTTTCTGCCCAGGAGGGCCGCCTGCTTCCCACCTGTCTTCACATGTGTGTGCTTCTTCTCCGACTGCGGAGCCCGTGGCAGAGCGGGCTCTTCTGGGCTCACACCGCCAGCACGGCAGGCCCCCTGCACCACGTCTGTGTCTCCTGGTGGCTCTGGCTTTAAAGAAAAAATACTGCAACAGAACCTGCTGAAGCACAATGAGGAAGATTTTATTCAGGGCCATCACGATAGACGTGGGGGAAGATTGGACTCAACACCAAATATAGCATGGGAAGTTGGAGTTTATAGCCCGGGAGCAGGGTGGGGGCAGGGCACAGCAAGTCACATAGAGGAGACATCGGGGCAGGGGAATTCTGGCTACACTGACCCAACAGGGTTTCGCTGAGGATGGGCCAGGGCGACAGGCATTACCTGGGTGTGGTGGACAATGAGGAGCCTGAACAGATCATGAGGGTGATGTGGTGTCGAGGGCAGGGGCTCTTGCTGAACTGACTCAGTCGCGTTCTTGCTAAACCCAGGTTTTATAGGGATGAGCCCAGATAGGCCCAGGGGATGTTCCAGAGCCTGGCTGAAATCTGGGCAGGTAGGGCCTTTCTGTCGCCAGAGAGCCAGGACAGCCCCACCCACCACAAGGCGTTCACCGTGGCAGGAAGCAGGTGCCTGTGCTCGGAAAGTCTCACGGGCAATTCCTCCCAGCGGTGGGCATGGGATGTGGCCCTGGCCCCTGATCTGTGAGCCCCCTCCTCTGCGAGTAGGTGTGAAGACCCATCCTGCCAGGCCTGGCTCCTGAGGACCAGCCGAGGATGGGAGTGGAACACAGGAGCTTTCTCCACACGTGCTCTGTGCTGCAGCCGTGCAGTCAGGCTGGGGAGTTTGCTGGGACTCTCTGAGGTGTCCTGACCACTTCCCTGGCTACCCACAAACCATGTGAGCTTTGTTAACATCCGCGAACTTGGCAGACAACAACTGCCTTGAGAGAGTGGCGGCTGGGGAGTCGGCATGGCGCTGGGAGCCCGAAACGCTGAGTACCCTTGTCGGCTCATCTAACCTCACTGTCTGTGCAGGGGGCTGGGGAGTTGGGATGGTGCTGGGAGTCCGAAATGCTGAGCAGACTTGTCGGCTCATCTAACCTCAGTCTGTGCAGGGAAATGGGGTTGTTGCTGATCGGTGGGATACGTATGAGGTAGGTTGGGTGCGGCACCTGCCAAGAAGGTCTTTACCGCTCACCCATGCAGGTCTCCCAGCTGCTCAGGGCTGAGGGGGCCACGGAAACCTCATACGGCCCTCACTCAAGAGAGCAGCAAGAGGGGGCAGTTTGTGAGGTTGTAGAAAAACAATAGTCACAGCCTTTTAGGGTTCACAAAACCAACACAAATATGTTTTCTGTTGACATTTTATAGTGTAATTTGCAATTACCTCTTTAGACAAATGGATTTGGTTTTCCACTTAGCTCAGAGGGAGGACCCAGCACCCAGAAGGTTCTGGAGCACTCAGGCTGCCTGGAAGCAGAGTGGGGACGTGGGTGGTTGTGCAGGGCCTGGAGTCCCCGTCATGGGACTGAAGCTGAGCTGTTTCATCTCGGGGAGTTGTGAGTCTTTCACGTGTGGAAGAGGAACAGTGGCAGTCCTGCCTACTGAGCTGAGGGCCAGGTGGGGTGCACAGCTGATGCCTGAGAGCACGTGAGCAGCTGCCAAGGTGAGACACTGTTCTGCATTTGCTGGAGGGACAGGCCGCCTTCAAGCTTGGCACCAGGCTGAACAGGAGCCCCAGGTGGGTCCAGTCGAGTCAAGGACAGAACCCGTGTCAGCCCTTCAGACCGTTCT
This sequence comes from Homo sapiens, assembly GCF_000001405.40. NCBI lineage: Eukaryota > Metazoa > Chordata > Mammalia > Primates > Hominidae > Homo > Homo sapiens. The sequence goes on along the minus strand of NC_000022.11, from coordinate 49,324,123 downwards.
TCATGGCTGTTGGTGGCAGCAATTAGGGGGTGGCAGAGCCCAGGCCATGGGAGGTGGGTGCTCCTCTGTAAGTCTCCCTCTGTTCCCTTCTCCAGGGAATGTCCTGACGGCAGTTCTGTGCACCAGGAGGCCGGCATGCTCTCCTGAAACGCCTTTCCCGGCGTGGGCAACGCCTGCGTGCGTGACCTCAGGTGCTCCATTCTGTCTCCCAAGGGGTACAGCCAAAGCTGGCGGCCCACAGGATGCACTCACAGCTGCACTGGGGAGGGAGGGTGGCAGGGACAATGGCGAGTCAATGCGTGGGAGTCCAGGGAGTCTGTCCGAGGCTGCAGGCTTTAGGGGCTGCACAGGGCAAGGGGAATGAATGCCTGAGTTTGCTGCTGCTGAGGATTACTGATCTCTACACTGACCACGCACATCACCTACCACACACAGAGAAACACGCAGACCACATGCCACACACACACCATGCGCACATCACATACCACACACACTACTCCTGTACACACTACATGTCACACACACAGAAACACACCACACACATCACATACCACACACACCACTCCTGTACACACACCCCATGTCACACACACAGAAACACATACACTACACACACCATGCTCACATCACATACCACACACATCACTCCTATATACACACCACATTATACATACACCACACATCACACACACACAGAAAAACACACAACACACACACATCGCATACCACACACACACCACTCTTATACACACACATTACACATCACACACACACCACACACCATGCACACTTCACACATTCATGCTCCTTATGGAGGTTCAAGGTTGACTGTGCTCTTTTCCCTTCCTGTTAAGCCTGACCCCACAGGTCTCCAGATCCTGCAGCCATGAAGTGGGTATGCCACATCCACCCGGGTCTCCGGATCTCAAGGTGTGAGGTGGGGACCCCAGGCTGGCTGGGGTCTCCTGGGCATCAGTCCTGGCTCACTGCCCTCTGCCCTGGGGCTCCTTCTCTTAGGTCGAGGGAGAAAAAGTGTCCTGAATCCCACACTCTGACCCTCAGACTCCAGCTCAGCCGCACCCAGCCCACAGGGAGGGCCCCGTGGCCCGCAGAGCTCCCCGTCTCGGAGGAGGCTTGTTCCTGTGATTCTTCTCCCTCACATCTTCCTCCTTGACCTGGACTGGGCTGTGCCGTCCCTTCCAGTTCACCCACAGCCCCATGGCCCCGAGCTCATCCCCCTCCCCAAACTCTCTTGGGTGCTTTCCCTGGCCATCAGCATCCTATTCAGGTCATGAGGCTGGAGAAGAAGAGACACCAACAGCCCCCAGGCCCATGTCTTCAAGGCTGGGATCCCTTCAGCCTCTCACTGGCATCTGCAGAGCTCGGAGTTAGGAGATTCTCCTTAATTTGAATTGAAAAGTGCTCTGGGCTTTTTACGTTACACGGCATTGTGCAGGCACTGTGCGTCATTCTCCGGGCATAGAATTTATATCAGAATGATTGTCCTCAACTTCCCCTTTACTCCCTGCTTCCTATCAACCACCCTCAGTGAGTGCCGGATGGAGTCCAGGCCCCCGAGGCTGGGGGTCCAGCGCCTGATTTGCCCCCAGCCACTGTCCCGTCTCATCTCTTCGCCCTGCTGGGCAGGGCAGCCCCTGGATTGTCCCTACAGCTTTAGCTACGGGGGCTGCCCCCATCCCTGCCCCCTGCACCTGCACCTGCACGCAGCCCTGGGGATGGAAGTGGCAGAGCTCATTCGTCCACTTACAGGAAGATCCCTCGGTGTCTCCCGTGTGCTGAGCTCTGCTCCGGAGGGGAGGAGAAAAGACCCAGAGCCTGTTTACGTTTCTGATGCCTCTTGTCCCTGTCACCAGGTTTGCCCTCGAAAGTATCACATACCCAGGAGATAGTTTATCACTGTTATTGTATATTTCTGGAAGCAAAATACTAACGTTAACTCATGTTTCTTCCATGCAAATGACAGAACTCGGAGCCTTCCGATTTACATGTCCTATTTCTTGTTTTCAAGCAGGACCTGAGAACAGCTGTGTTTTGGACCAGGGACACCTTCTGAGCAGCAAACTTGGGCAGTTGCGTCTCTGTAAATTAGTAGGACACATGCACACACGGGCAGCGATCCATCCGGCTCCCGGAGACTCTCGGCCGCCTCCATCCATCTCCCTGACGGGTACCAGGTAGAAGTGGCACAGCCCAAGCTGGCGCCTCCGAACGAGACAGCCTCAGAGCTCAGGAGCAGGCGGGGCCGGCCTCCCAGGCGATGCTCCCGTTTTAGACGAGATGCAAATGCCGTGAGTGGAGCCCCACCGTTTCCCACAGCAGATGGAAGGCTGATAATAACTCAGTATTTGCCACGGGAGGGACAGCTTCCTGGAACACCTCCACCGCCGAATCCCCAGCGAGCACACCGAAGTGCAGAAACCGGGCTTGTCGTGGAATGATCAGCACAGCACAGCAGGAAGGCGGGCCTTGTCTGCCAGCGCTGCTGCCCGGAGCCACTCGGGGTATCGGTGTCAGTCATCCCGAGGACAGGGACAGAGGTGCAGGGTGGCTTCCTGGGGCCTGGGGAGGCCGAGGGTGCAGCTGATGCCAGGCCCTGGGGCTCCTGGGCTTCCGTCCTCTGTAATCAGCCCTGCCCCGCTATCTACGTTAGAGGATGAGTTTCAAAGGCAGAGTTCAATTATCTTGAAAAGGATTTCCCAGAGAACACACAGAAAGGCAGACTCCTCCTCAGAAACCGAGCGGGCTCCGTGCTTGAGTGGATGGTGGGAAGCAATGGGTTTTATCCCCACAGGCCCCAGGGTGGGTGTGCTGTGTCCCTGGTGGGTGAAGAAGAGCATGGCACTGGGACAGAGGCAGCGTCCGGGCAGGATGGGAACACGCCCCATCCCACAGGAGGGACAGAGGCAGCGTGGGATGCAGGCAGGATGGGAACGCGCCCCATCCCACAGGAGGGACAGAGGCAGCGTGGGATGCAGGCAGGATGGGAACGCGCCCCATCCCACAGGAGGGACAGAGGCAGCGTGGGATGCAGGCAGGATGGGAACGCGCCCCATCCCACAGGAGGGTCAGAGGCAGCGTGGGATGCAGGCAGGATGGGAACGCGCCCCATCCCACAGGAGGAGCTCGGTGGACCTGACGTTCGGCCAAACCTCACGGCCACTCATGGTTCAAAAGAGTGAGGCACAGGAGGAAATCTCACCCAGAGAAGCAGAGGCTTGTCCAGCATGACAGGCCCTGCGGAGCCAAACCACGGAGCAGAGCTGGGGGATGCGTATTGAACCCAGGAAATGACACTAGATGGTAACTCGCATCCCCAAGTAAACGAAAAAATGCAAAAATATTAAATAAGAGGATTTCTGTAACAAACTCTATAAATCAATATCTACTCTTCTTTCTTCTTTCAACTTTTTAAAAAAGACATAAAACTAAGCAATACGTATAATAGATTGTTGGGTCCACAACTTATAACAAAAATAATAGCACAGGAAGGGGGGAAGAGAGAATGGAACTAAAAAGAAGTAACATTTCTATAGCTCAATGTAATTAAGTTAATATAAATCTAAAGTAGACTCACATAAATTATGAAGTTTATAATAAGCACTAGAGTAACCATAAATGAAATAACTCAAAAATACAGTGAAAAACCATTAAAACATTAAACTAGAAAATATTCACTTAGTGTGAAAGAAAACAGAAAAGAAGGAAGAGAAGAATCCAAAACATCAGACATACAGAAAACAAAATGCAAAACGGAAGATGTAAATCCAAGTGCATCAATAATCTCATCAAATGTGAATGGATTAACAATGCAATCAAAAGACGTATTACAAGACTAGATTAGTAAAGAAGATTTAATTTTATGCTGTCTACAGAAGACAGACTTTAGATCTAAATACACAAATAGGATGAAAGTATAAGAATGGAAAAAAATTATCATGCAAAGAGTAACCATAAGAAAATAGTAATGGTTATATTAATATTAGTCAAAATAGGCTTTAGATGTCCCCCAAATGTTACTAGATAAAGAAATATTTTATAATAACAAAAGGTCAATCTAACAAGAAGATATAATAATTATAAACATATAAAAAACCCATAATAGATTCCCAAAATACCTGAAGCAAAACCAGACAGAGTTGAAAGGAAAGTTAGATAATTAAACAATCATCACTGGAGAATTCAAAACCTGACTTTTAATACTGTATAGGACAACTAGGCAGATGATCAACAAAGAAATAGCAGACTTGAAAAAACACTGCAAACCACTAGACCTACCAGACCTTTAGGAAAACCTCCACCCAATGACATTAGAAGAGACGTTATTCTCATGTGCACATGGAATGACCAGCAGGATGGACTATGTACCAGGCCATTAAGATAAGCTATGTAAGATGATGAGCACTATACAAAGTATTTTCTCTTACCATAATGGAGTGGAATTAGAAAACAATAACAGAAGATATTGGGGAAATCCATACATGTGTGAAAAATATTTACACACTCAAAATAACCAGTGAATCAAAGAAGAAATCACAAAGGAAATTAGATGTGGAGATGAATGGAAAGGCATGTGCAGATTCCAGACTCATGGGAGCTGCAAAAGCAGTGCTTAGAGGGAAATCCATGGCTGTGAAAGCCTGCATTAAAACAAGGGAAAGAAAAATCTTACCTCAATAAAGTAAACTCCCCCCTTTAAAACACTGGAAAAAGAAGAGCAGATTACTCCAGTGCAAGCAGAAAGAAGGAAACAATGAAGATTAGAGCGGAAAGTAATGAAACGGAGAATAGAAAAATCGAGAAAATTAATGAAACCAAAAGTTGGTTCTTTGAAAAAAGCAACAGAATTGACTAATCGTTTGTTAAATTGATGAAGCAAAAAAGAAAGAAGACTCAAATTACTAAAATTAGGACTGAAAGAAGGGACATCACTGCTAACCCTACAGAAATAAAAAGGAGTATAATGGAATACTACAAACACAGTATGTCAACAAATGAGTAAAGTTAGTTGAACTGGAAAAATTTAGAGCAAGACACAAACTCCTGAATGACTTAAGAAGAAAGAAAAGAAAATATGAATAGACCTATAACAAGTGAAGAAATTGTGTTAGTAATCTAAAAACTATCTACACAGAAAAGCCTAGACCCAGATGGTTTCACTGGTGAATTCTACCAAACACTTTAAGAAAAATTAATGGCAATTCTTCACAAACCCTTCCACAAAATAGGTGAGAAGATACTTCCCGAATCGTTTTGAGGCCAGTATTACCCTGATACCAAAACCAGACATCACAAGAAAACTACGGAGCAACATCTTTTGTGAATATAGATATAAAACTCCACAATAAAATACTATCAAGACAAATCCAGCAATATATAAAAAAGGATTTTATGACAAGACCTAGCATTATTTGTCCCAGCAATTCACAGTTGGTTTAACATTTAAAAACCAATTAATGCAATAATGTGTCGTGTCAATAAAAAAAAAAAAAGAAAAAAATTCACACAATCACCTCAATAGACGCAGGAAAAGGCATCCATTTATCAGATTGAGTTAACAGAATTCAATACCCCTGCATGGTTAAAACATGCCACAAAGTCATAATAGCAGAGAACTTCCTCAATCTGATAAAGTGCTTCTACAAAGAAATCACAGCTAACATCATACTTAATGGCGAGAAACTGAACGTGTTCACCCTAAGATCAGGAACAAGACAAGCACGTCTACTCTCACCATTTCTATTTAATATTGTCCTGGAATTCTAGCCAGGAAAATAAGACAATAAAAATGAAATAAAAGGCATCCAGATTGGAAAGTTAAAAGAATACTATTTCTATGTGCAGATGACATTATTTTGTATAGAGAAAATTCTAAGGAATCCATTAAAAAACTATTCAAATTAAGAAATGAGCTTAGCAAGATTGCAGGGTACAAGATCAATATACAAAACTCAGTTAAATTTCTATATACTTGTAATGAACAATCCAAAAATGAAATTAAGTAATTATTTCATTTACAACAGCATCAAAAATAAAATACTTACAAATAAATTTAAAAAAAAGAAAATACCCAGCTTATACCCAGGAAAAATAAAAAGACATGTTGAAAGTAATTTTTCACCTAAATAAATGGAAAGATTCCATATGTTCATGGATCAGAAGATTTACTCCTTTTATGATGGCGATTCCTTTCAATTTGATCTAAAGATTCAATGCAATTGCTTCAAAAATCCCAGCTGAATTTTTTGCAGAAATGACAAACTCATCCTAAAATTTGTATGGCTACTCAAAGTACCCAGAATAACCAAAACTATTTTGAAAAAGAATAAAGTTAAAGGACACACACTTTGCAATTTCAAAACTTACTACAAACCTCCGGTAATCACTTCTGCTTGGTACTGGCATAAGATAGATATAAAGATCAATGGAACGAAATAAGAGCCTAAAAATAGCCACTGATATTGGTGATCGAATGATTTTCAACAACAGTGCCAAGATAGTTCAATGGCGAAAAAGAATAATCTTTTCAATAGATGGCGCTGTCAACTGTATATCCACATGGAAAAAATAAATTTGAATACAAACCTCCCATCATATTAAAATTAGCTAAAATATAATAAAACAAAATACAAGAGCAAAAATTCTAAACCTCTTAGGAGAAAGCATAGATGTAAATTTCTCTGACCAAGGATGTTTTTAGATATGACACCTAAGGCACAAGCACAAAACAAAACAAAAATTAATTGAACTTCATCACAATTTAAAACTGTGCTCTAAAGGATGTCACCAAGTAAGTGAAAAGACACGTACACAATGGGAGAAAATGTTTTCCAGTCATATCTCTGAGAAGGGACTTGTGTCTAGAATATATAAAGAATACAGAATTCAATAATTAAACAGAGACATAATTCAATTAAAACTGGGAAAAGGATATAAATAGACATTCATTCAAATGAAGGTATATCAATGGCCGATGTACACATAAAAAGATGCTCACATTGCTAGCCACAAGAAAAGTGTAAAGCAAACCCTCTATGAGATACCACCTCACAATCATTATGATTGTTGTAATCAGAAAGACAGATAAGCCAAGGATGTCGAGAAATTAGAACCCTCATAGTGCTGGTGGAAGTTTAAAATAGTGCAACTGCTTTGGAAAACAGGTGGGCAGTTTCTCAAAAGGTTAAGCATAGTACCCCAGCAATTCCACGCTAAGGTATTTACCCCAAAGCAAACAAAACAAAACAAAAACACACAAACAAAAAAAAAGTCTATGCAAAAACTTGCACACAAATGTTCATGGCAGCATTATTCATAATAGCCCCAAAGTGGAGACAACCCAAATGCCCACCAAGTGATGAATGAATAAATAAAATGTGGCATATCCATAGACTGAACTGTTATTTGGCAATAAAACAATGAAGTACTGATACATGCTACATCATGGGTGAACCTTGAAAACATTACTTTAAGTGAAAGAAGCCAATTACAAAAGACCACATGTTGTATGTTTCCATGAATATGCAAATCCAGAGTATGCAAATCCATAGTGACAGAAAGTAGATTTTCATGGTTGTTTACTGTTGTGGAGAAAGGTTTGAGTAGACAGGAGGCATAATTGTTAACGGGTATGGTGTTTCTTTTTGGGTGATGAAAGTGTTCTAAAATTGATTGTGATGAGCGCACAATTCTGAAAACACAAAACCACTGACTTGCACAATGGTGGATTTTATGATATTTTAGTTATATCTCAATAATGTTGTTAAAAAGTGAAAATGGTTTAATATTAACATTTGGAACAATAATTGCCTTGGCTTTTAGGCAGTTAGGAATCGAAAGGATTGAGACCCAGATAAATGGAACAAGGACTGGGCATGATGGCACCTACCTGCAGTTTCTGCTACTCAGGAGGCTGAGGTGGAAAGATCACTTGAGCCCCGGAGGTTGAGGCTGTAGTGAGCCAGGATTGCACCACTGCACTCTAGCCTGGGCAATGGAGTAAGAACCTATTTCAAACATACAAAACAAAACAAAAAATGGAACAAGGAAGACAGTCAAACGTTCTGTATACATTTTCTTCCTTTCATTCATTTTCTGAATTCTAAGCTGTGTATGTGTGCGGTGACACAGTAATAAAGCAAGCAGAAAACAATGGCTAACAAGCTAAAGTCTATGCTGTCCTTCTCTTCAGAGCCCACCAAGCAGGAAATGATCTGGCAAATGTCTCAAGCTTTTATTGAAGACTCTCTAAAAAGGCTGCCCATCTAGGATAAGGGCCAACTGAAAACGAACCAACCTGTTTCAGGTAACTGAATCAGGGGCATTTTCCTGTGCTCTATCTAACTGCTAGATGAAAAATAATTCTTATAGATCTGCTAGATTAAAAATAAAGTGAAACTGAAATAATAATAAGATAACATAGTCTCTGTAAATTTTATACACAATGAGTAGAATTCAATAAAAAATGTTCAAGCATCAAGAAACTAACACCAGGTGAGCAAAATCTCAGTGAAGACACAGGAGCACGTGTATGGGATGGTGAAGATACTGGAGTTACTGAGTTTATACTTAACAACCGGGATTCATATATTTAAGTTTTCTTAGATTAAAAGGTTTAGATATTTAAAGTTTCTTAGATTAAAATAATTTTACCAGAGTACTGAAATGGATAAGAACAAAATGAAAATTCTACTACTGAGAAATAAAAAAAAAGAAAACTAAGAATTCAGTAGTTTAATAGTATATTAAACAATACGGAAAAAATTAATAGACTCAACATAGCTTTGAGTTTTAAAAATTTTTAAAACCTTGAGATTAAATCACAGAGTAAAAATGATGTAAAATTAATAGAAAGAAAGTAAGAGACGTGGGGAACAATGAAAAGTCTTATTTATGCATAACTGGTTTTTCAGAAGGACAGAAGAGAAAATATTTGGACAGATTCTTTGATGACATATAGGCTAAGAATACTCCAAAGCCATAAAAGAAATAAAGCCCAAAATTTAAGAAATTATATGAAGCCACAAAAAGATACAATAAATGAAAAAAATCCACCTAGACACATCATAGTAAAATTCAGTACACCGTCAGACACACCATACAAAGAAACAAAACATTAATGGTATTCAGAAAAGACGTAATAATTTACAAAAAGCAGAAATAGTAGAATTGATTATTTAATAGAAAACACTGATGGCCAGAAGACAGTGGAATAGACATTAGTTAAGGATCTGAGCACACATTTCACGAAGGAAGGCATACAAAAGGCCAATAGGCACTCAGAAAGACATTTCATATCATTGATCATCAGGAAAAGGCATATTGAGATCTATCTATGTTTTCAAATTTTATTTTTTGTTGTAAGAAACATAGAATTGTATCATGCTTTCTGATCCAACTTGACAGTCTCTGTCTTTTAATTGGTATGTCTGCATTGCTTATATTTAATACATGTATTCCTATCATGGTATTAAATCAACAGCTTTGTTAGTTGCTTTTTACTTGTTTCATCTTTGGTTATTCTTTTTAAAATTTTTTCTGCCTTCTCTTGAGAGACTGTTTTTATTATAAAATTTTAACTCTACTATTGGCTTAGTATTTATATCTATAGACAACATTAGTGATTGTATTATTTACAATATATGTCTTTAGTTAACCACAGTCCACCTTCAAATAAAATTATACCTCTTCACATGTAGTTAAGAACCTTACTGTGTATATCCAGATTTGCTCTTCTCATTTCTTTCTGCTATGGTGGCCATACATTTCACTTTTACATGAATAAACAATAAATTACTACTATTTGTGTTTTAGAGAGTAAATTGTTTTTTAGAGTGATTAAAAGAAGAAATTTATATTTATTTTCATTATTGTCACTTCCAGCACTTTCATTTCTTTGTATAGAAGTATCTGCCTAATAACATATTGATTCTGCTTGAAGACATTCCTTTAACATTTCTTGTAGTGTAGGTTTGTTAGCAATTCTCTCAGCTTTTCTTTTATTCTGGGAAATACGTATTTCTTCATTTTTCAAAGGTAAATTTACTGGATATAGAATTTGGTTGTGTTTTTTTTTCCTGTTGAATTTTGAGATGCTATTCAATTTTCTTGTGGCCCATATTTTCTGATAAGAAATCTGTTGAAACTCTTATATTTGTTTCTCTGTATAGAGTGTATCTTTTTCTTCTTTCTGGCTGGCTTCAAAAGTTTATATTTGGTTCTGAAAGTTTGAATATGAGGTGTTTAGATATGTACATTTTTTATTTGAGTATTTATCCTTCTTAAAGTTTGGCGAGCTTTTTGGATTTGTGGTTGTGTCTTTTATTAATTTTGCAAATTTTTTATCCATCATGCCTTCAAATATTTCTTCTATGTTGTTATTTTCTCTTCTCTTTCTGGGATTCCAATTATGTGTATGTTATTGTAATAATACTTCATTTGATATTGTTCCAGAGTTCTTGAATGCTCTGTTTTGGTTTTATTACTCTTGATTTTAATTTGAATAATTTCTACTGACCTATCTCCAAGTTCACTAATTGTTTCCTGGACTTTTTTGAATTTACCAATTAACCTCTCAAAGACATCCCTTCTCTCTGGTATGTGTTTTCATTTTTAGATTTACAGTAAATTCTTTCTTACGGTATTTGTGTCTCTGCAAAAATCAAACATTTGCTCATACATGTTTTTCACCTTTTCTGCTAAAGCCTTTAACATACTGATCCTTGTTTATTTACACTTTGTGTCCAATAGTTCTATCTTCTGGATCATCTCAGTTCTGCTGATTTCCTTGTTTTTTGACGGTGTGTATATTTATTCTTCATGGCTTTTCATCTGTCTCACCTTTTTGTTGAAAGGCAGAAGTTTTGTGTAGTATAGAAGAGGACTGAGTGAATGATACATTAGGAGACGGTCTGCCTCTTATTTTGCTAAGTTTTTAGTGTCATGTTTGAGTCCATTTAGTCATGAGTTCAGTTGAGTTGGGGTTCAGCTATGTCATTGCTGTGGTTACCCTAAGTAAACTCAGGTTTCGAATACTTCTAGCATTCCTGTGTATTCAGGGTGAAGGTGGGGGCTGGATTGCTTGTCTCCTAATTGCTCTCTCTTGCAAGGCAAGCAATACAGCCCCCACCCCTCACCCCGAATACACAGGAATGAAAAGCCAACATTGAGGGTGGAACAAGAACTTTTCCTAAAAAAACTGATTTAGACTGTCAGTGAAGGATCATTATTTCCCATTACAGAGGCCAACATTATCTGTCTGCTCGTGAGATCTCAATTTGTGTGTGTCACATAAATTGAGCAACAAGCAGACAGCCCATCTCTGTCATTCCTAGGAAGACTGTGGCTTATTAGTGATCCCCAGTGGTAAGCAGATTGCCATTTTGGCTTTGCTACTGATGCTTGGGGTGACATCACTTACTACCAATCATTAAGGGCCATCACCTTTATTGTGCTGTTCTATGGCCCCACCATTGTGACAATTTTAAATAGTCCACTTTTATGGGATCATCTCCTCCCATCAACCACAGGACAACATACGGGTCTCAAAAATGCAGCCATCTGTCATCAACCTTCTCATCAGTTCTTTGAGGAAAAGTTCTTGTTCCACCTTCAATGTCGGCTTTTCATGATCCTACCTCTCATCCAGCAATGAGAGGTCTCTAATAATCTGTGCCCTGGATGTTTCCTTGTTCTTTTCTTGGGGGATAAAGTATGTTTTATCATCTTCCCCAAGCTATGATGGATCATTGCTTGCAGGTGGCCAGGCTTTTGTAACATGGAGAAACCAGAGGCTAATAATTCTGGAAGGGTCTTGTGCCTTTCCTGCAGTAGCTTCTGTTTCTCTCCCAGAATGCATCATGAAGCAGTCTTTCTCTGGTTTCCACCCTTGACTCCAATCTTTTTTTTTTTTTTTTTGAGACGGAGTCTCGCTCTGTCGCCCAGGCTGGAGTGTAGTGGCGTGATCTTGGCTCACTGCAAGCTCTGCCTCCCGGGTTCACGCCATTCTCCTGCCTCAGCCTCCCAAGTAGCTGGGATTACAGGCGCCTGCCCCCACACTGGGCTAATTTTTGTATTTTTAGTAGACATGGGGTTTCACCATGTTGGTCAGGCTGGTCTCAAACTCCTGACCTCGTGATCCGCTCGCCTCGGCCTCCCAAAATGCTGGGGACATACATTTCAAATAGAGTTTTACATTTAAACTCGTAAGTATTGGTAGTTTTAATCATTTTTTTGTCTTTATTCAATTTTGCTTCTAAAGCTATACTAACTATATAATATTCAAAAGAGAGCTGTTTTTATAAAAAACTTTCTATGTTCTGGAATATTTTAAGTGACAGATTAACTTGTTTTTACCTTAACATAAAAGATAAAATTCAGTCTGAATGCACCGAATTATGGTGATTTTTTTTTCTAGTGGTAGATCTTGAATCAGATTTCTAATATTTCTTATGGGAATGACCTATTCAAGTTTTTCACTTCTTTTATGATATATTTTTTAAACTTAAAAAAATACTTCTAAGAAATGTCCTTTCATTCTAAATACCAAATATGTTGCCATAGTTAGATATATAATTAGCTTATAATTATCTTTATTTTTCCCTTATATGTAATTGTTTCCCATTCTCATTCCTCATTCTCCCCTCCCCATAATTAACTTACAAAGGTTTAACTTCAAAGAATCAAATTTGAAATAAACCATGCTTTCTACTTATTTTGCTTTCAATTTTATTGTTTTCAGCTTTCATGTTTATTAAATTCATTCCTTCTAATGTTTTTGAATTCATTTTGTCATTTTCCTAATGTTTAGCAGAGTACTAAATTCCTTTATCTTTGTTTTCTTTCTAAAATAATGAAGCCACCTTAAATTAATGCATTTTCTTTAATAGAGCTTTTTCCGTATGCAATTCATTTGGACACAAAATACTCTCCTTTTCAAAGCTTTCCAGATACTTTATCAATTGTTTCTTTATTAACTCTGTGATCCAAGGATGATTTATAAAGTGAATTTCTGATTTGTCAGACGCTTCAGTCATCTCATTATTATTTCTACTTTTGTTGTTTTGTGATCAGATAACATGACCAGCAAAGTTTCAAGTCTGATTTTTAATTGTTTTAAAAGATTTTATTCGCAGGCAAGCACATAACCAATTTTTGTCGATAGTTTTTGCAAATAGACTTGCTGTTTCTTTTTGAAGGATGTTAAGGTGCAAACCACTTAGCGTGTTAGTGTGAAGCCTGTTCCTGTCTCCTAAATCTATTTGATCAAGGTTAGAGGTTGTTTAATGAGACTTATCTGTGTCTCTATTACTGTCGTTTTCATCATGCACCAGATCAGCAGGACAATAAAGTGGGTACAGGGAAGTCTCCCTGCAATAGGAGTTTTAGAAAGGCCCCTTGCATTTCTCATAGCTCACAAGTGTCCTGCGCTATGTGCCTTACAGAGTGGCTCGTGAGATCCTTATAGAAGCCCATGGCGGGGAACTGCCGCTGTTAGAGGGACGCAGACAAAGAGGTTCATGCAGGGACCTGTTGGTGACTCCCCGGCTTCCAGGGAGACTCTGCTCCTGCTGGAGCTGGTCCACAGAGAGGCCGTGCAGGTCTGGACCCTTCGTTGGTCATCATGGTGCCAACAGCGGAGCTTTGGATGCAGAGTGTGGAGGTCATCACCTCATCATGACACGGACCTTCTAGTATTATGCACCGTCTTGCTCTCTTATAGCTTTTGTTTAGTAAGTTTTGCATATTAACTATGTTCTGTTTATTTCTAATTTACCAGTGTTTCATTTTTCCTCCCTTCCTTCCCTTCCCTCCCTTCCCTCCCTTCTCTCTCTTTCCTTTCCTTTCTTTCTCTTTCTTTCTTTCTTTTTTTTCCCCTTCCTTCCTTCCTTCCTTCCTTCCTTCCTTCCTTCCTTCCTTCCTTCCTTCCTTCCGTGCAATGGCGTGATCTCAGCTCACTGCAACCACCTCCCGAGTTTATGTGATTCTCCTGACAGCCTCCCGAGTAGCTGGGATTACAGGCACACGCCACCATGCCCAGCTAATTTTTGTATCTTTAGTAGAGACAGTTTCACCATGTTGGCCAGGCTGGTCTCGAACTCCTGACCTCAGGAGATCTGCCTACCTCGGCCTCCCAAATTGCTGGGATTATAGGCCTGAGCCACCGTGCCCAGCCTACCAGCATTTCCATCAGCAAACTTCTCCGATGTGTTCTATTGCTGCTGATACTTTCTCTTTTCATTTTCTAAGCCCGTTCCCTTCCTTTGTTTTCTGCACTTTCTCATAAGCTTGCTTTGCTTCTGTGTCTCCAGTGCTCCATGTAGCTTCTCATCAAAACTGCGAGTCGTGCTCGGTCCCAGGAGAAGACTGTCCATTCGCATTACTGCGATGACTGACATCTTTGATTCTATTGTTTTCTGCATTTGTTACCCTTATTATTCATTTTACTGACTTGTTTTTGCAGGTTTGATCAAATTATTGTCTGTCTACTATAATTTTCCCAATAGTTACATTTTTACTTGAAAACTCAATTGCCATTTCTTCCCTTAGAATTTATGTTCCCTTTCAGGGGATTTTGTTATTGTTTTTTGCTATTGATTGGAAGCACGTTGCTAACTTTCGCCTCTCCAGTATGTCCTTGTCCCCTTGTCCCTGTGGGGTGGGACATTTACGTGCTTGTGTTTCCCTCCACGACTCTCCTCCTCCCACTAATGAGACCTTTCAGACACTTTTTTACTTCTTCCTTCCTCCTGCCCTCAACCTTCTAGATGTTGCTGAGTTTGTTTAACATATCTTCTATCTAGATCATTATGATAATTTCCATTTTGGTGAGCAATTGCATTTGTATTTATTTAGCTTACAGATCTACTCACATATAAGAAATAACATAGAAAAAAGGATGTTCACTGCAGCATGATTAGTAAAAGTTAATTACTAGAAACAACCCAAATGTCCACCAATAGGGGACTGATTATATAAATTATGGTGCTTTCAAGCTACTGAACTCCACACAGCTGTAGAACATAGCTAGAAAGCTTTTCATACACTGCTATATAAATGTCTTTGTGTTGAATGTTAAGTAAAAAGAGCAAAGCACAGCATATTGTATGTAATATGTCACTGTTGTTTTTCATTTGTGAAAAGGGGGCACCTGGCTTTATATATGCACGTGACTTTGTGTGTGCTTCGGGAAAGACAGGCGAGAAATGAACTGGATTCTGTGCCTCTGTGGGGAGGAGACAGTGCTTCTTGCCCTTTCTTCAGCATTTTCTTCCGATGAGGTGAGCAGGTGGTCCCTGCTCTGAAACTTGCTTATCTGTGAATGCTGCCTTTTGTGCTGATGTGGGGCTCTGGGGCTGGATTTCCGGTTCCTGGACATGGTCCCCATCTCCCCGTGGGTGGGACTCGTTACCTTATGGCCTCTGACTTCTGCTGCGGACCATGAGAAGGGTGGCAAATGTGTGATTCTTTTGTTTTTTTCCTTTATTGAGACGGGGTCTCACTGTCGCCCAGGCTGGAGTGGAGTGGCACAATCACAGCTCACTGCAGCGTTGGCCTTTCAGGCTCAGGTGATCCTCCTGCTTCAGCCTCCCAAGTAGCTGAAACTACATGCACGCACCACCACGCCCACCTAATTATTGTATTTTTGCTAGAAACCGGGTCTTACTTTGTTGCTCGGCTGGTCTGGAACTCCTGGGATCCTGGGCTCAAGTGATCCTCCCGCCTCGGCCTCCAAAAGTGCTGGGATTACAGGCGTGAGCCACTGTGCTGGTCCATTTTTCCTTTCTGCCCCCCTTACCTGTGTTTTTTTTTTTTCCCCATCCCAAAGTGTGCACTCCTTGTTATACCCATATTATTTAGGAATTCCTGGGGGAAAGCGTAAGACCCGCCCCTCCCCAGCCCCTCAGCATCCAGGGCTGTCCTGAGACCTTCTGCGCCTTGCCCGCTGCAGCTCCAAGTATCAGCTTCTGCTACCGATTCTGTGGCTGCCTCTCTTCCGCCTTCTCCTTGGGGGATCCGGTGGCCGCGATGCTTGAGCTCCCTGTCTTCCCTTCCACGTCCATCCTCTTCCACGTCCGTCCTCTTCCACCCCACTCCTGTGACTCCTGCTTCGTCGGCCTCTGCCTCCAGGTGTGCACAGCCAGGCCCGGCACGTCCTCACCTTTACACACAGAGTTTTCATTTTGATATGTGTTGACTTTGAAAGTCATTTCCCCTGAGAAGGTTCTTTCCAGGTGCCCCCTCACTGCCCTCAGGAGCCCTGTCTGGTTTTGTTTTCTCTTCCCACTGTGGCTGGTGTGTTTCTTTCATGCCTCTTGTCTGGGGTTTCCTCTTGCTCATCGGGTGGGTGGCAGGTCTGTCCCCTGGGGGCCTCCTCCCCTCCCCATCTTCACCCTCAGCCTCAGATGGCACGTGACCTCCCCTCCTGCCCCTTCCCTGGGGCTTCTGGGGGCCAGATGTCAAGACACAGTCCCAGGTCTGGTGTAGGCTGCACCCTTGGGGGCCACAGGGCCCTGGCACCCTCAGCTACCTCCTGGTCTGAGGGCTGCCTTCAGAGTCCCACCTCAGCCCACCTTGCAGGGGTGCCCAGGACCTGAGCCCTCTCTGGACCCAAAGCTCACCAGGCCCAGCAACTCCCTGCTCCCCAGAAGCCAGGGGAGACCCCAGACGGCACAGAGGCCGGTGCTCTCAGCGTGCTCCCGCCCAGCCCCCTCTGCTGAGCCTGGTGTCCTGGTGGACACAGGGCTGAGCCCTCCTCTCCCTGCCTTGCCGCTGTGTCACATCATCGTCCCCTGCTATGTGGGGCCCTAGCTGAGTCAGGGAGGGGCCGGCTCTGCCCCAGCCCAGGGCTGCCCGGAGCCAGGGTCCTCGTGGTGCTATGCAGGGAGCGCTGCTCCAGGAGGGACGAAGGGGCCAGTTGGGGTCGTTCCAATTCCCGGTCCCTTCCCTGAGCTAACAAGGCGCTTGAAACGGCCCCCTTGGCCCTGGCCTCACTGCCGCTCTGCCAGGACGCATTTTATTTCTGACCCAGAGCACAGCCCCAAGTCCCTGAACAAAAATCTTCAGTTGTGCCAAGTTGATCTTTTATTGTTGCTATTAAACATTTATTAAATACTCTGTGCAGAGCTGGAGCCGGGGAGAGCAGTGATGCGGGATGAGCCAGGCCCAGGCAGTGCAGGCTGTGCCCGGGGCTCCTCCTCACAGGGGCTCACAGCAGCCCTGGCCTCACGTCTGCAGGGGTTCGAGTCTGCCGGGGGTGGGCAGAAAGAGGGGCTTCGGGGGCCCCGAGCAGAGGGAGAGGCAAGAGTGGAGGGCGGGAGACGCTGCAGGGTCGGGGTTCTGGCTTGGCAGTGAGGATGGAAGGAGAAACCACAGGGGTCTTGGCATGTGGGGGGTGGGGCCGGCCCAGCTGTGGGTGCTCCGGGGAGGCACAGGTGCACCCAGGCACACCGAAGGCTGCTGGGTCAGTGTGGGTGATTTTTTTTTTTTTTAAATAGGCTTTTTCTCTTGGAATAATTTTAGATTTACAGAAAGTTTGCAGAGTCCCCGCAGCCCTCAGGCAGCTTCCCCGATGCTCACGTCTCACCTTTCACCGCTGGACAGTCGGCAAACCAGAACAGGGATGTGGGCATCACAGGAGCGGAATTCCAGGCGTTGGGTTTCACAGGCACTTCCACTCATGCTCTATAGAGAGACTTTCAAAAAGAAAGTGAAGTTTAAAACCCCTCGATGTAGGTACAGACCCGCTGGTGCCCGGGAGCCACCACCTGGGAGCGAGCGCTGGACATCACCCCGCCTCCCTCCTGCCTAATCCCCAGAGGGGCTGTGGGTCCTGCCACCCCTGCTGCCTCATTCTGACCCTCCTGTGCCTCCTGCCGCCCCTGCTGCCTCATTCTGACCCTCCTGTGCCTCCTGCCGCCCCTGCTGCCTCATTCTGACCCTCCTGTGCCTCCTGCCCCTGAGGCCTCGTGGCCTTGTCCGTCTTCCTGGCCTCTGCATCTGCTAAGCCTGTGACCTCCCAAAACCCACTCCCAGTGGCACCAGGGCTGCTCTGCAAAAGCTGCCCATGCCTTGCTAACTCCACCACGGTGGCTCCTTCATTAGGAATGAAGTCCATCAGCTCCAAGGGTCACTCTTTATTGAGCGCTGTCTGTACACCTGGCAGTATCCCCAGGAAGGTGCTGTGTATTTCACACAGCCCCTGTGGCAGAGCCAGGGGGCTCTGCATCTTCTTATCAAGTCCCAGAGTGGTCACACAACTTGCCAGGTCACGTGGTAACAAGAGGGTCCAGCTCAGAGCCTGGGCTCCCTCTTTCTGATCCTGCCCCTTTCTCAGCCACCACTTCCCTTTCCACTGGTGCTGAGCCCTCCTCTGGACTGACAGGTCCCGATTCCTCCATCAGAGGCAGCCAGGTCCTCCCCCACCTCACCTGGGGTTGTCCAGCACCATCAATGCCTCACAGCCTCAGCTGGGCGTCACCTCCTCCAGGAAGCCTTCCCTAGGCCCATCTATTGGGGCCCAACTCCATCTGTGCCTGAGACTCAGAGAAGCTGCTGCAGCCCTGGGGTGGGACACAGGATGCAGGGGTGGCCACGGGCCCACGACGGGCCCACGACGGGCCCACGGGCATGCGGATGCAGACCCGGCCTCCTCAGCTCCTGCAGGTGGGCCCTGGGATCCCTTGAGTCCACTGCCCGTGTCCACCCCAGGCCAGACCCAGGGTGGGACCCCGGCGGCAGAGGCGGCAGCAGCCACCAGGGGGCACTGTTGGCCAGCGCTGGCTGAGCTGGCAGCTTCGGAGTGGCCGGACCAGCTCCATGGGGTTCATTTGCTGAGAGCGGCTGCAGCCCCTGGCTGAGGGGGCAGAGGGGCCAAGGAGTGAGGAGCTTCCAGAATCGCACTGGGCTGGGGCTCTCTGGGCTGCAAACGGTGTCAGGGGGCTGGCTGGCCGGCAGGCTCACCCGGATTCTCAGGCCCTCCCCAGGTCCTGCTGTCTTCTGCAAACAGGGCCTGGAGGCACCTCCCGGGCTCCTGCAGTGGGGACCTGGGTGCCGAGAGCCCTGCTGTCCGAGGGGCAGAAGACATGAGAGCTGGACACCAGGCCTTGCTGCAACGCCTCAGCAAGCCCAGGATGGGCAGCTGCGTGATGAGGTCCCCTGCCCTGCCCTGTGCTGCTTTTTTTTTGAGACGGAGTCTTGGTCTTTCGCCCAGGCCGGACTGCAGTGGCGCTATTTCGGCTCACTGCAAGCTCCGCCTCCCGGGTTCACACCATTCTCCTGCCTCAGCCTCCTAAGTAGCTGGGATTACACCTGTGCTGGTTTTATGGAACCGGCCTTCTTGGGGTCCCTTGGGAGCTGCGTGCAGAGGTGAGACTGGGCTGCACTGCCTGGGCCTCGGGTCATTCTGCAGCCACAGCCCAGGGAGGTTGCTCGGGGTGGGCACTGTGCTGTCTGTGCCCAGGATGGGCTTACTGTTTCCACTTGGGTAGCAATGTTCCCCTCCACCGCTGATGGCCTGGAGCAATGTCCCCTCCACCGCTGAGGGCCTGTGATGGGGGTGGGGGTTCTGCTTTTCCTTCTATACTAAGCAGAATTTTCTGGTTTCCCTACAATGAATCTGCACAGTGTGGTGATTGGGTTGAAGTGCTGCCTGTGGCCGGGAGGCAGGGCTGGGCTCTGGGGTCTCCTCTCCTAGCTCTGCCCCTCCAGCCTGTGCTTTGCTGGGAGCTCCACCCTGCTGGGCCTCGTTTCCCCCAACACCGTCCACTTTTCCTTGGGCATCTTGGCTTCATGCTGTCTCGCACAGCCCTTCGTCCACCCAAGCCGCATCTCCCACAGCCCCTAGTTGGTGTTGTCTCCGTCCCTCCAGGTCCTAACCCCTGCCCCCGAGATGGGTGGATTGGCAGAGCCCAGCGTCCCTCCACCCTCCTGTGGCATGGCCAGGTCGGGGTCTCTCCCTGTCCCTGTCCAGGCCTGCATTCCCTCAGCCCACTTCACCTAGGGCTGCAACAGTGATGTTCAGGCCCATCTTCGGCCCCTGTCCTGTCCACACAGCACAGTGACCTCTGTGCCACACCCTGTGTACCCCAGGGTGCACCGCATCCCCGCCCTCCACAGACAGCCGTCCGCAGCCTGGCACAAAGCCGTGGGAGGACACTCACCGTGGCAGCGTTGACCCTTCTTGGGGCCAGCCTGGGCCTGGCGGGCAGGAGGACACATGGGCTGCAGGGAGAGGCCATTGCCTCTCCCTTGGGTGTCTGGGACCGTGTGTGCCTGTGTGCACCTGTGTGCTTGCCTGTGTGCGTGACTGTGTGCACCTGTGTGCGTGGCTGTGCACATTCTCCTCTCCTTCCTGGTGGATTCCAGGCCTCATGAAGCTGCACCCATGCCTCTGCCCTGGGCCCCTCTTCCCATCTCCTCCCTCTCTGCCCCAGGTCCTGGCACACAACTCAGGTCTCTCCAGCAGACCCTGGAGCAGGGGAACAGCTGCTCCCCACGGTGCCCCATGTACTGGAGAGCCTGAGGTCAGGGCTGAGCCCTCCCCTTCCTCACTGCCACCTCCCGGCACCGCCACCCACGCTCACCCCACCTCCCGTGGACCCTGTCTCCTGCCCACTTCAGTCCAGCAGCTTCTTGCGCTGCATTTTTCAGTGAAGCCGTTGCATCTGGCCTGGCTAGACCCTCAGACTTCCATTTCTCCCAAAGGTGGAGGTAATTAATTGCTTGTTCCACCCAGCCTGACTCTTCCCTAATTGCCTGGAGGAGTGATGAGCTTCCCAGGGGACTTCTGTGCCTCTGGGAGGCCCTCCCCAGGGTCGGTGGCTCAGTCATCTCATTCCCTTCACGTCCATTCCCGCTGTGGACAGACAGCACCTAACGAGGCCGCCACCCTGCAGCCCCCAGGCCCGGCAAGCCCCGCCTGCCCATTTCCACCATCCTCCAGGAGAGAGCAAATGGCCTCCAATCTACAGATAGTCACTCTTCATTCACTGCGTTTCCCTCCAGAAACAGACCTCTCAGATGCGCGGGGATCACAAATCCCAGCCCGCTCTGCCTTCCAAGCTGGGCTTCCTTTCCTGGGGTTTTACAATTACATGTTTCGCATGAGCTGGTCTGTGGCAGCTTTTACCTCTGTCTGTGGGGGCAAAGTGCTCCCTGCTTCACGGTCCTTACAGGAAACACGCGTGGGTCTCCCATGTGCTGGACAGTAAACACATGTGGGTCTTCCCTGTGCCGGACGGTAAACACGCGTGGGTTTCCCGTGTGCCTGACGGTAAAGATGCATGGGCCTCCTGTGTGCCGGATGGTAAACAGGCCCCGTGTGGGTCTCCTGTGTGCCGGACAGTAAACACACGTGGGTCTTCCCTGTGCCGGACAGTAAACACACGTGGGTCTCCCCTGTGCCGGACAGTAAACACGCGTGGGTCTCCCTGTGCCGGACAGTAAACACGCGTGGGTCTCCCCTGTGCCGGACAGTAAACACGCGTGGGTCTCCCTGTGCCAAACGGTAAACACGCGTGGGTCTCTCGTGTGCCGAACAGTAAACACGCGTGGGTCTCCCCTGTGCCCGACAGTAAACACGCGTGGGTCTCCCGTGTGCCGGATGATAAACACGCATGGGTGTCCTGTGTGCTGGACAGATGCTTCCATGCTTCCTGGTTTTATTCTCAAAACAACCTCAGGAGAAAGACATTATCTTCACTTTGCAGGTGATAAGCAGGAGCCCAGGGAAGGCAGATGGTTTCCCAGGAAAGAGGAAGACGAAAGACCCAGCCCAGGGTCTCTGAATCTGAGGCCTTGGAGCTGCCCGCTCCTCCCAGCTGACGGACTTCTGAAGACCCTGGAGGGTGTTCGTGCGCTTCCAGCCAAAGCGCGGAGAGGCCCAGCTCAGCGCTCGCCATGAGGACGAGCCTGCAGACTCCGGCCCCAAACCTCCCCTTGCCCTTGCAGTGCTGCAGCCTGGGGCAGCCGTGATGACGGGGCGCTTTCTGGGCCTCAGCACCAGCCACCTCCTGGGCAGGGGTTGTCTCCCCACAGCGGGGCAGAGGCCGCCCTCTGCAAGGTACACCTGGCCCAGGGGTTCTCGGAGCCCTGCTGCTCGCTGCTAAGGCAAAGCTGCAGGCGCCGCCCCCTCCTCCAGAGGTGACCCCGCGCTGGTGTCCTGAGCTGAAGTCTTTCCCACCTCCGGGCCTTGCCAGTGGGGTCTCTGTCTGCAACGCCCGCCGGCCCCGCCACGGGGAGAATTCATGTGTACTTTGCCCGCACCCACGCGTCCCTTGTATGATGTGGGCTCTCATGGAAGCCCGTGGAGATGCCGGGGGCCCAGTCTGAGCCTCGAGGGCCTTTTCACTTCCCCAGCGACGCCTGCCTGGCCTGTCCCTTTCCATGGACATTAGGCAGCCCCACGGGGAGGACCTGTTGGCCGACCTGGTCAGGCCGGGCCGTGTGCAGCGTGGCTGGTGAGGACGGTGGAGGAGGCTCCTGGAGTCATACCGTCCGGGGAGACCCTGCCATGGCCCCCTCATGGGACAGTGTCCTGGACCCACAGGCACAATTAGGGGAGTTTCCTGAGAAGTGGGAGAGTTTGGAAGCACATGTGTGAACAGAAGCAGCTTCGGGAAGAGCCTGCCTGCAGCCTCACCGAGGGGATCTGCGCTCTCTTTGCATACCTGGGCAGGTCTGAGCCTGGGTGGGCGTTTGGGTACCTGGCTGGCCACATCACACCTGAACTGGGGGTTCGAGGGTATCACACACAGGGCTCTGGGCCCTCCCTGCCTCAATCAGAGCTACCCCACTTCTTTCACACCCCAGGATTGTCACAGGGACTTTGAGGAGACGGTCCCAAGGTGAAGAAGGAGAAACCAGGGTTCAGTCAATGCATCCCACGGGTCAGGCGGAACTAGGGGGTACAGGCGAGCACCACAGTGGGCAAAGCAAGACCGCAGGCCTGGGCCCTCCCTCCCGGCCCACGCTGCCTGCCCTGCCCTCCCCAGCCCCCTCAGTCATCTGGGAGTCACCCCTCGGGCTGTAGGTGGGGGGACGGGACGGCCTTCTGGGGTTTCTGTGGACACGGTGGGCACCAACCATTGCCCTCTTCTGTGAGGTCACCGTCACCGTGATATTCAGGGAGGGGTTTTTCCGAATCTTTCCCTCTTCTGTGGGCTCTGCACAAGCCTTGTGTAATCGCCTCCACGTGGGCTCCTCTGGTGCAGGTTCTCACAACAAGATACAAAGAAACTCCTGTTTTGGGAAGAGGCGTCTTCCTGTGTGGGTTTATCAGTATGATGCAGTCAGGTCACTGCCCTATTGACAACGTACACACACAGTTAGCACACACACAGCACACACACAGCATACATCCACACACAGCACACATGCACACACTCAGCACACACGCACACACACAGCACATACACAGCTAACACAATGAGCACCCACATCCACACATAGAACACCTGACACACACACACACACTCACACACACACACACACACACACACACACTCATGCACACAGGGGTATTTTGTTTCTGTTTTGGTGGACGCAGGGGCTTTCCTGGAAGAAACTGTCTGCTCCATCACTTGCCCGCTGTGGTCCCCAGCCTGCTCCAGTCACAAGGCTTGGCTCCTTCCAGCCCTTCTCTCGGGGGCTGTGTGACCTCAGCAGAGCCCTCTGCCCCCTCCAGCGGCTTGGGGGTGTGCATGGCGCCCACAGACGGATGGCGTGGCCTTTGGCTTAGAGAAGCCACAAAGCGTGGTGCCCTCCTGCCGCCTCCCACATTTCCTCTTTGAGAAAATCCTGAAGGTTGGAGGAGGTGCGTGGAAAGCTGGGGTTGGCCTTCACTCCGGATGCTCTTTGCCTTGCCTGGGTAGGAATGAGACTTCATTTCATCCAGTGGTGAGCTCAGAAGCCCCGCCTTGCCCCCTCTGGGACTCTCTGATGTTGCAGTAAATGGCCACACAGCCATGTGCTTCAGATGAAAGCGCCGTGCTGGAGGGGAGTCAATGGCCCGTGGTGCTTCCCACACCCGGGGGAGCCTCCTTCAACTGACGGGCAACTCACTTCAAACACCTCTCAATCGTGGGGTGGGTCCCACAGCCAGATGACAAATCCTACTGGCATCTCATTGGACAATTAATTTGTCTCAGAAGAAACTTCTGCATCCCACTCCGCCCGGGGTCAGGGGTGTTCCAGAAGGGTCTGCCTGCCTGAAGGGCCATGAGGCCTTAGGGGCCGGGCATCCCCGCTGCACCTGCCTCCTTCCCTCCTCCGTCAGAGTTGCCCGCTTCACTCCTGTGCTGCCCTGTAAGGTGCTGCAGAAATCCCTTCTCGAAATTCCACTGTCCCTGGAGGAAGCTGGGCCTTCAGTCATTATCAGTCCACAGCTCATGTGCTGGGAAGGAACACGTGGACAATGGTAGATGGGCATGGTGTTTGCGGCAGGATGTGGGTGGTGTCTGGGGAGGGGAGGGCAGGGGAGGGAGTGCCCCAGGCCAGGATCTGGAGTTGATGGCTGTGCTGTGCTGATGCCCCACGCCCACGGCCATGGCGTCCCGATACAAACCCAAGAGAGGGGTGAGCTCCAGAGGGCACCCTATGGGGACTGGCCGGGCCGAACTCCAGAGGCCACCTCCTGGGCAGAGGGTCATGAGCGTCCTTAGCGTTTCCTTCCTTTCAGCCACGCATTTTTCTGTTGGAAATTGTGATGGAGAACCAGAGCTTGGAGCTCGGAGCAGGCTCCCGGCTCAGACAGCACCAGGCGGCCTGGCAGCCTCATTCCCTCATCTTGCTCTACACGGACCTGGGAAGTTCTAGGATGGGACCTGCTTCTCCCAAGGACGCCAACTCAAGGGTCCCCCTGAGAAGCTGTGCTGGGCACCCCGCTTGGCCCTGGTCAGGAGGAGCTCGACCCTGAACCCTGTACTTTAGATCCCTCAGGGCTGAGCTGTCCTGACTTCACCGCCCAGGCCCAGAGAGGCCTCTCTCTACCTCCTGCAGAGGCCTCGGAATGCCCTGGAGGCCTGCGTGAGGAGCTGCGGGCGGTGGAGAAGCTGCTGCGGGTGGTGGAGAAGCTGCTGCGGGCGGTGGATAAGCTGCTGCGGGTGGAGAAGCTGCTGCGGGCGGTGGAGAAGCTGCTGCGGGTGGAGAAGCTGCTGCGGGCGGTGGAGAAGCTGCTGTGGGTGGTGGAGAAGCTGCTGTGGGTGGTGGAGAAGCTGCTGCAGCGGGTTCTGCAAGGCAGCCTGGAACGGGGAGTGAGTGGTTAGGGCATCAGAAGGACTAAGACCAGCTGCAGAAATAGAACTAATGGAATTGAACGGAACCAGACCTAGACATGACACTGAGGCAGGTGAGGTGAATGTGGATTTATGGAGCTGCACTCGGTGGGCGAGCACTGCCTGAGGAGCCAGCGGAGAGCCTTCCTGCCCCAGGTGTGTCCCCGAGATGGTGAATTCTGTGACTTCGCCATCACTGTGACAGAGCCACACGGTGCCCAGGTGACCAGCAAAATATTACTTCCAGGCTTGCCTGTGGAGTGGACAGGGTGAAGCCGACACCTTCCCCGGTGAGTGGCACGAACGTGGGGGCTGGGTGGGTTCCCACTCTGTCTACCTCTCAGCTGGGCCGTCTGTCTTCTCCTGCCTGCATGTTTCTGGTGCTCAGGCCTTCAGAGTTGGACTGGAATCCACACCACTGACCCCGGCTTTCAGGCCTCTGAAGGACACCCCCAGCTCTCCCGGGTCTCCAGCTCGCGGACGGCGGAGGATAGAACTTCTCCGGCTCCCTGACTTATAAACAGCTTCCTCGTCACGTCATTCTCTGTGCGTTGCTCTTGGTTCTGTTTCTCGGGAGAACCTTGACTGCCCCCGCCGCAGCCTCCACCCGCCCACAAAACGGGCCCCATCTCTCCTCTGCTTCCAGCATTTCCTCACCGCATCTGCCTCTCTTCAAGAAAGGCTCCCAACTCCCGCCTCCTCACGGCCATCCTTCCCTCTCCCCAGACACCCTCTGACCTGGCCCCTCCCACGGCAGGCTACGCCTCTTCCTGGAGCTCCCAGTGTCTGTGTAGTCGTGTCCTTAGCCCAGAATGCCGGCCCCACGCACCCACCGTGGGGAGCCCCCCAGACTTGCACAGGGTCCCGCCTGGCTCTGCAGCCAGCTTGTTCTTCCAGGCTCTGAACTGGAATGCCTGCTGAGCCCCGTTCATCTACAGGCCGCATACAGGCGTTGCCACCACGGTGAGTGCACGGTCACTCCCCATCCACAGCCTGGCATGGGGCCGGGGCATCTCAGAGCCTGGATCCCCCAGCGGGGCCTGGACACAGCGTTCGCAGGAGGCCTTAGGGAGAATACGGACTTTTACTCTTGCGAAGTCATGTGTTGAGAAAACAGTTCACGTTGTGAAGCTAGAAGTGGCTCCCTGGAAGCCCGTCCGGGGAGCCTGGTGTCTTCGGCGTTCTGGGATTGGGTTGGTTTCTCGGCCTCTGCGGCTCCCAGGCTGCTTTGCCTTCTCTGCAGGGGGTGCCTGGGAGGCTCTGGGGGACCAGGGACGCCTCGGTCAGCTGCTCCACCCTCACGGCTTCTGCACTTGGTTCCACACCAGGCTTGAGGATTCCTGGGCAGAAAGGAGCCCAGCCTGTGAGGAGCTGCAGAGCCTCAGGCTCCCCCGCCTCGCCCTCGTCACCCTTGGGGTCTCCCATGTGGCTTTCAGGGGAGGGTGACCCCGTCAGAAGCTCACGTTGCTCCGGAAAGGCCTGGATGAGCTGGTGTTCCGCACTCACACTATTGGACGCCAAGCCCAGCAAGCAAGGATACCGCCCGTAATGAGAGTCCCCACCGATGCCAGGGCCAGGGAGGGAACTGGGCAGAGGGCACAGCCTAGTGCCTTGGAGGACCGGATTAAAGGCCTCTTTCTATAGGATCTCACTCCATCTTTAGCCCCTAACAGGGAATCTGCTGGGAGAAGCTCTCTTAGCAAAATCCCTCCTGAGTCCACGTCTCCTCTCCTAACACATAGAGCCGTGTAATTTGGAACTTCATTTATTTCAACCAATTTATGTTCCTTCTCCATCTAGTGCTGTGAAATTAACAGGAAAAAGTTACAAATTGCTGGAGGACAGAGACCTCTAACCGTGGGCGCGCTGGCTTATGAGGGTTTGATAGGCTGACGACATTAAAAATAGAAGAGACAAGGCTCTAGGTGGACCAGGAGGCTTCAAAATTTAATGAGCTTCAGGCCAGACCCAGCAGTCAGAGGAGAGGACAGGGGCTGGCTGGGACCGTGAGAGCCCGGCCGTCCGTCTGGAGCAGGCCACACCTGCTGGTCCCCAGGCCCTCTGGGCTGTCCTGCTGTCCATGACAGACCCCACCCCTCCCGTCACCCCGCGTGATGCCTGGAGCTAGGACACACTCGCCCGCGTTCATCTTAGTGCCTTATGGAGTCCCTGGCATGTGCTGGGGAGATGACATTTGTGTTTTATAATTAATCAATTAATGAAATACCTGAAAAATTCATAGAAATAAGTCAGTGGAGCTGTTAAGGAAGCACTAAAATTCCTTACAAAAGCCCCAAGAGAGCATGTTTAAGGGGACTTTGGTCTACCATGGAGACCCTGCCCTCTGGGTGCAGAAGGACCACCAGAGCCCTGGGCATGTGGCCTTCCTCTTGGGGTCTCACACAGCCTGCGCCGTGGAACTGTGGCTGCTAGGAGGGTGCCTGGGAGGACAGAGACTCCCTGCACCCTGGCTGCTGTGCTGTGCAGGGCCCATCCCAGGACGGTCCAGCCAGGATGCCTTGGTCGGCCGCTCCACCTTCAGGGCAAGCTTGTGGGGCGGCTCAGGATGGGCAGCAACGCGAAAGACCCTGCTGGCGCTGAGCTGAGATCCTGGTTGTCCTGCTGAAGTCACTTCTGCAGTTAAAGGTCTCAGGGGCTCCCCCAGCCACAGACTTGATGCCTTCCTCCTGGCCAGCAGCCAAGGTCGTCGCAGCGCAGCCCGCCTGCTCCCCCATCTCCCCTCTCCATCTTGCCTTCTTGCAGACCAGCAGCCGGAACCACTGGACGCTCCCTGTGTGTCCATGAGGCTGTGTCTTCTTGCCTCTCCTCCATCCTTGCTTCTGTCTGGAATGTCCTCATTGCCTTGCCCCTTAGCCCAGCTGGCTGGGTGCCAGGACACCTCCCGGCCTTCCCCCTGACATTCCGGGCACAGCTGCCCCATGGTGCCATCTGCGCCAGGCAGTCACTGTTCCTGTTCAGCCTTCTCCTGCCTCTGGCTTGGACTCCGGCTTGCGCCGCCCCATCAGCTCTCCTGGGTCCCTAGCTTGCCTATTGCGGATCTGGGGACTTCTCAGCCTTCATAATTTCAGGAGCCAATTCCTTCTAATAAATTGCTTATAGACCTAAATCTACATCATCTATGTTTCCTGTTGGCTCTGTTTCTCTGGAGAACATTGAGTGCTATGCAGTGTTGTGAGCTGTTGCCTGGGCATCTAGGGAGAGATGGTGGGAGGCGGGCAGGCACCTGAGTCGGATCCCATGGGAGATGCCAGCTGGAGACATGGGGAGGGGTGCGGCTCAGTGGGAATTGGAAGAGGAGCGTGCTGGGGCTTGCTGACGTCATTCAGGGAGGGAACCTGGCTGGAGGAGAATGCCCACCTGACTCCACAGCCCTAGAGCTGGGCAAGGTGGAGGCAGAGAGCCTGAGGGCTGTTCACAGAGTGCTCTTTCCCTGCCAGGCACAGCTCGAGTGAATTGCAGGTGCCCGCAGGTGAATCAGCAGACATAGCTCCGTGCTGATCTACGCCCATCAGATTGGTGAGAGCTCAGGTTCAGGGAAGCCCAGGGACCCACCGAGGGTTCCAGGGCCCCCCGGAGCTGGCTGGCACCTGGAGCGTGTTAATATTTGTCATGTAATTGGATTCACTTGCCAATGGTAGAGACCATGCTTAGAAATTTAGAATGCTGACGCTAGAGAGGCCCTTCCACCTGGCTGGCCCACCCTTGCCTTGGGGCCCCGGCTACCTGTTCTTGGATGTGTTCAGGCCTGACCCAGGGAGCTAGCCCCACTGTTCCACCCTTGCTCATATCCTGGGCTTCTTTCTGGTTCTTTGGAACCTGGACTTTAGCGTCTCTACCTGTTTCCACCCTGCAGCCGCAGTCCCAGCCCTGCTCCCTGCCTCTCGCCTCTGTCTGCACCAAGGCCTTCCCCCCATGCACTCCCAGGGTCCACAGCTCCAAGTTTCACTTTGGGGGCAAGAGGGCTTGAGCCTGCAGCTCTGCCTTCATCGAAGTCCCATGGATTGGTTCTGCTTCCTGTGTGCTTCCCCCAGCGTAGGCAAGGGTGTCCTGCCACAAAGGGAGCTGGGAACCAAGTGGACATGGAGAAGGGTGAGTGATGCTCATCCACTTGGAGTTCAGACAAAGCCAGCCCCTGTACATTGATTCAGCCATGTTTGCCAAACGACATTGACTCTTCAAGTTCTTTTCTTTGGAAAAACATCATCATGGCTGAGAACAACTCACCCTGGAGTACACTGCCCTACCTGTTCAGACCTCGTTCACAGAGGCCACTTTCCTGTCCCCAGAAGGAGCCCAACACAGGCATTCTGGGTCTTATATCTTGGGGGTTGGATCCAAGGACTTTACGGATAGGACACCACTGAGTAACCAAGCGAGGATGCTCAGGTGGTCCCATGCCATCACCCTCACACCATATTTGTATTTTTAAACTTTTATGTTAGGGTTAAAAAACATTTATGTACCATCATTAGAGTGCTACATTATTCTGTGTTTGTATGTATAGTTACTTTGACCAGTGAGATTTATGCTTTTATATGTGTTCACATTGCCATTTAGTGTATTTTTATTTCAGTTTGAAGAACTTACTTAAACACTTTGTGTAAGGCATGCTTAGTGGTGATAATCTGCTTCAGTCTTGTTTGTTTGTTTGGTCTCAGAAAGTCTTTATCTCTCCATTAAAAAAGAACTAAAAGGCAATGTTGCTGAGTATCGTTTTCTTAGTTGGCAGGGTTTTTGAATTCTTTCAATACTTTTAATATATCATCACACTTTCTCTTGGCTTTTAAAGTTTCTGCTAAGAAATTTTCTGGAGGTCTTAAGGGGGTTCTCCTAATGTGAGGAATCACTTTTCTCTTACTGCCTTTAAATTCTCTCTTTGTGACAATTTGATTGTAGTGAGTCCAGGTGTGTCTTCTTTGGTTTGATCCAATTTAGAAACTTCTGAGTTTTGTAAATCTGGATGCCCATTTTCCTCCCAAGATTTGTGAAATTTCCAGCTAGTATTATTTAAATAAATTTTTAGCTTCTTTCTTTTTCTCTTCTCCTTTTGGAACTTCATTAATGTGTGTATTGGTTTTCTTCATAAATCCCTTAGGGTTTTGTCATGCTTTTTCAATCTTTTAAAAAACCTTTTTCTCCTCTGATTGGATAATTTGAAATAACGAGTCTTTGAATGTGCAGATTCCTTCTCCTCCTCCTCCTCCTCTTCTTCTACTTCTTCCTCTTGCATGATCAAATATGCTGATGAAGCTCTCTATTGAATTTTTCATTTCATTCATTTTATTAATCTCTCCTAGTTTCAACTTGACCCTCAAGAAGATGGCCATGGTGGGCCTCACTAATTCCTCTTGAAAAAATCCAGCACAACTGTCTGGAACCCATCTCAAGAAGCTATCTGTATCCATAACCTGCCAAGGCAGAGAGGGCGATTCCCAGGGAGGTGGTGTCACCTTTGCCTGTGAAGCAGCATACAGAAGGCCCTCCTTCTGTAGAACAGGCCTGATGGGGAGGACAGGACATGGGGTGGAACCTCTTGCATTGACTCTGGATTTACCACAAACTCACGAGCCCCCAGGGGCCAGCATCTCCTTGATCCAGCTGTTTCCTCCAGGTTTGTCTCTAACCATCTGCTTGTCAGTCTGGGTTCCTCTGTGTCTAGGTGCTCTGCACTGGGCTTCTTCTGGTATGAGTTTCCTCATGAGAAGGCACGTCTCTACCACGCTGGCTTTTCTCAGCTGGCTGCTCATTCAGATATGCCTTCGAATGGGTGACCTTTGATGGTTTCTCATGCACTGTCTTGCATGCAGGGGAAGCCTCTCGTCACAGCAGGCTTTTTCCCCTGGAGTGTTTTCCCCTCTCTGTATTAGAGGAGACCACCACTCCCCAGGACTGATTTTCATCAAGTTTCATATTCAGTCTCCATGACATGATGATTAAACTGGATTTCTGCTCCTCCTGGTGCTGTAACACAGTGGATTTTCTTTCCAGGTATCCCCCATTCCAGAAGTCTGACACAGAAGCTGCCTTTGGCAATACCTCTACCAGGGAAGTGGCAGAAAAGGCCATGGTTGCTGTGATGGCCAATGCCCTGCAGAGTGGGGATAGCCATCAGCACAGCTGTTCATGTTGGTGTTATTTTATTAACACCTTATTCCACCACCTTTCTGTGTAGGAAGCTGGAACCAGTTTAATACATGAGACTGTGAGGACAAGGAGGCTGAGAGAAACAGAATTTTTTCAAGAGGAATTAATGAGGCCCACCATGGTCATCTTCTTGAGGGTCAGGTTGAAACTAGGAGGGATGAATTCTCAGTATGTGAGTCCAGAACCCAGAGCAGACCTTGCACAGCCATGGCTGAGTGAGCTCCTAGGAGCAAAAGTGGACATCAAACTCTGTCTCTGTTGTTAACTCCAGCCACCAGGTGCTGTCTAAGCTCGCAAGACAAAGTGGTCTGCGAAGGCACGGAGACTGCTCCATGGCCTATAGCCCTGGATGACTTTGTGCCCTGTTTTCTCTGCAGGAGAGGAAGTGGTACTCAAAGGTCAGAACCGAGACCAGGCGATGTTGAAATGTATGGGGATGTATCCGGGAGCTCAGGGACCATCTGCCTCTTATGTGTGCAAGCCTGGGCCACAGATACCCTAGACAGGTAAGCACCTGGGCTGTGTAATGCAGCTGCATGTACCTGAGAGTGTGGAGAAAGGGCCCGTGGATGCCATTTCTGAGCAAGACCCCGTAGGAGGCCGAATGTAACAGCAACGTCAAAGGTGGGTCCTTCCTAGCCACCCTGGGCCCAGAGGAGGTGCAGTAAGCTTGATGTCAGTGCCCAAGTGATATGTCCACATCCTAACCCCTGGAACCAGGGAAGGTGGCCTTTTTGGAAACAGGGTCTTTGCGGATGGATTAAGGTAAGAATCTTGAGATGAGATCATCCTGCATTATCCAAGTGGGCCCTAAATCCAATGACAAGTGTCCTCATTACAGACACACAGAGGAGAAGACACCAACACCAGGAAGAAGGCTGTGTGGGGATGGAGACAGAGACTGGAGCGATGCAGCCACAGGCCAGGGGATGCCTGGAGCTCCCAGAAGCTGTGGGGTGGGGGGTAGTGGGTGGGGCAGGAAGGATCCTCCCTTAGAGCCTTCAGGGAAAACAAGGCTTTATCGACAAGATTAGCCTCTGGCCCCCAGAACCATGAAAATAAATTTCAGTTGTTGTGACGCCCAGTCCGTGGTGTTTTGTTCCAGCAGCCGCAGGAAACTCACACAGGAGGGAAGGATCTTGAAAGAGAAGCGAAGATTCCGGTGGAAGCTGAGCAGCTTTGCCCTCCTCCCCTGCACAGGCCAAGTGTGCAAGTTTCAGAGGCAGGGGCGGGGGATAATCCAGGCCAAAGCATGGCAGGGGAGGTGCTGGAGTGCAAAGCACTGCTCTCTCCTGGACATGCCTGGGCAGCCCTCGTCCTCTGGTCCTGTCCCTGCACTGTGCGTTGCCCCCCACCGCCTCTGTGAGCCCAAACCAGGCAATGCCGAGGTCTCCAGTCCAGCTGTGCGGAATGAACCAACAGATTCAGAGCATGTTCGGGAGCAGACGGCTCTCACCGAAGAGAGGAGTGGGCTGTGCTCACGTGCAGTGCTTTGCTTCTGGGCTGGGTAACTCCTTCTGTTTTTGCTCCCTGTATCTCCTCATCCTTGTCCCGGGAGAAGGAAGCCAGCCAAGCCTCAAGGATTTCTGCTAAGGGTAGAGTAAGGAGGGAAAAATAAGCCTATAATGAAAATAAAAGTAAGAGTAGGGAACATCCCTGAAAAGGCAGATGGAGGAAAGGAGTCTGAGGTTCTCCCGAGCGCAGGGTCTGCCTCCTGCTCCCCGACACTGCCCCTGGCTCCGTGGTGCACTCAGGGGCCCTGGGGGTCAGGGCTGGGATTCTGGGACTTCCCAGAGATGCAGTGCCCCAGGGGGTCGGGGAGGCCAGTTAAGCTCTGAGGCAGGGAGGCACCACCAAGAAGAGGCCCTGAGCTCCTCTGCCCCAGATAATATCAGGGAGTGAATAAGGAGGAGGAAAACCAACAGCAGGATACCTGCATGTCCAAGTTCAAGCCCGATTTTAGAAATAAACAGACCTAAAATGCAAAGGAAAACAGCCTCTGCCTGGAAGCAGAATCTTCGTTATAGGGCCAGAGAAAAGCAGGTCCGTTTAATACCAACCGGTTTTGGCAGGGTCATGCAGGAGAGAGACCACCCGCCCCTCACAGTGAGAGCTGAGCCCAGCCACAGCCGCCCACCTCCCCTCTAGTGAGCACGATGTCACTGTTCCAAGGACAGCTCGCCCAGGAAGACGGAGTTCCAAATGACTTTATTCTTCATTCCAGGGACTGGCTGAAAATCCATTTATCTCAGCAATAGACTGCTAAGCGGACCCTCCTCGGAGCAAATGGCCCCATCTCAGAACAGTCGGTCGCATCTCTCAGCTGGCCTTGTCGAACAGCTGCTCATTGCTCAAAGCTTGTTTGAAAGCCTCCCCCTTGGTGTCCACAAATCCTAAATTATTATCATGCGAACTCTGACCCATTCCAGTTACCCCTCCCCACCAGACACTCACACTCTGAAAGGCGCTGCTGGGGCGGCCCCCAGCCTTTACAAACCCCCCTCCTTTGCTGAGATGTTAGGAGACTATTCCGCTGGCACCCTCTTCACTGCAGTGTGCAATCAGCTCAGCTTTGTTAGAAAAATAGGTCACTTTCTGGGCCCTTCGGGCAGCGAGCAGGCAGCAACAGTTTGATCAGAGAAACCAATTTGACTCGAAGAAAAATAGTTTGCTTGGGTGCCACCACCCAGGACGGCAAGTGTAATCCACGAGGAGGGTCATCTAGAGCTTCACACCCTTCCATGCAGCCTGACATTCAGGCTGGAGAGTGCAGCGCAGCCTCCTGCCCGTCATCCAGCATCCTGAGTGGCAGAAAGTCAGGACTGAAGGCTGCTCAGGAGTGATCTGGGCCACTACCAGACTGGGGGACCTTACTCACTTTTAATTTTTTTTTCAAAGAAATTTTTAATTTTAAAATAGTTTGGGTTTACAGAAAAGTAAAGAAAGTACAGAGAGTTCCTATACACAGTCTCCACCATCACCGTCTTCTACGACTGTGGTACAGTTGCTAGAATCAATAGACCGAGGGTGATGTGTGATTATTCACTGAAGTCCATGGTTAATGCATATGTCCTTCGTCTTCACCTGTTGTCCCTTTTCTGTCTCAGGATCCCATCCAGAATCCCACGTGACATTTAGTCATCACGCTTCCTGAGGCTCCTCTTGGCCATAACAGTTTCTCAGACTTTCCTTGGTTTTGACAACCTTGACAGTTTTGATGACCTTGACAGTTATGATGACCTTGACAGTTATGATGACCTTGACAGTTATGATGACCTTGACAGTCTGGAGGAGGACTGCTCAGGTGTTTTGCAGAATGTCTCTCCATTGTGATCTGTCTGTTTTTCTAGATGGAAGTTGTGGGTTATCGGGAGGTGAAGGGCTATTTCCATCACATCTTTTCAAGGGTACAAGATGGCTCCTCACTGTTGGCATTGACCTTGGCCGCCTGGCGGAAGTGTCTGCCGGGCTCCTCCATGGTAAAGAGTCTCTTTCTTTGCCCTTATTTATACTCTACTCTTTGAAAGAAAATCACTAAGTGGAGCCCACCTCAAGGGGCAGGGAAATGCCCTTGAAAACACTGGGAGATGGACAGATTCCGGGTATTTAAGAAATCTCCATCCAAGCACTAGCTGAGCCCAGAGCTCATCTAATACTACAATATTATTACCCTTCTTGGTTCAGATTCTTCCAGCTTTGGTCATTGGCTGTTTTTCAAGGGCTTCCATGTCCCTTTGACATACCTCAATCGTTTTGCTTCTTGAGGTTTCCTTACTTTTTGGCACCACGTGGTGCTGCTGGCTCATGCTTCTCGATTTCCTGCCCCAGTTTTTGAATCTGCTGTTTTTCCAAGGAACCTTGAATCCTCCAGGGAATGGTGTTAGAAACCAAGGCCTGGGTGCTGGGGGTGCTCATGGATACTGGGGTGCTGATGTGTTTAGTGTTTTTCAAGGGACAGAGCTTGGAAGTATGTGTGCACATACTGTGTATATACATGTATCTATAAATAGCTCTGCATGTAACTGTATGGATCTCTAGTAAGCCCAACATGAGTTCTTGCTGGTGTCTCCAGCCCTAACCCGTGACCTCATGGGTCATTTAGCCTCATGCTGTTATTGATATTTAACTCTCACTCTGACAGCAAGAAATCCAGCTCCCCCATCCACCACCCATCATACGCATTTGTTCTGACTCAGCAGCAGACAAAAATGGCCTCAGAACTGTTAACCCACACCCCTGTGAACAACAACGCTAACATCACTACTTTTGAATTTAAATAACAGGTACATGATGGCAAAATGAATAAACTAATCATTTGGGATTTGGGAAGAATTTTTTTAAGGACATTCTTCTACTCGATGCTCCAAATTTGAATAGGGAAAATTGTAATTGGCACATCACAATAATTTTTCGTAGCGTTTTGCATGTAACATGTGCTCACCTCTGTGATAATGAAGGAAGCACAACAGCTGGGTGCAGACAAGTCCTCGGAGCATCAGGCATTCAGGGAGGCCCCAGGCTCGGTGCCTTATTCCTGGACATGTTTGCATTTTGCACTAAATCACTCTAGAGCTGTAAGGTGCTTAGTGCCGTTTTATAAGAAAATAAAGTGGATGGAAATCTGCCAAAAACATCTGGGATTTCTGTTTGAAGAAATGGGGGACTCTCCCCAGCTAAAAGAAAATGGACCGTGACCAAAATGTGTTAAATCTGATCTGATTTTGTCTTTATAAGAAGCGTACTTGTTGACCTGGTGTGCTATGGTGAAAATTACACAAGCAGGGGTTTTGCTGCGGTAAATCCAGGGTGGTAATTTCCAGGTGGTAATAAGAGGTATATTTCTCTGATGGCCCCCACTGCCTACCTGGGCTTATTTCTGACGGTGTTCAGCTCTTTAAAGAAGGAGCTCGTTGGTAAAATATACTGCAGCTCAGGCCGTTTGGTTTCTAAGCAATCAGAATTCTTCCATAAAATGCCCAAGAGCTCGCTGACACACACACACAAACACACACGTGCCACATGCACACACATGCATGCACATGTACTCACACACAACCCTTGGTAACCAAGAAGTGCAGATCTCAGCCAATCTAGAGGTTTATTTTTGCCAAGGTCAAAGACATGCCCAGGAAAAAGAAACACAAGTTACGGTAAGATCTGTGGCTATCCTTTTGCCAGAGAGGGTTTTGGGAACTTCTTTTTTTTTCTTTTAAGATGGAGTTTTGCTCTTGTCACCCAGGCTGGAGTGCAGTGGAGTGATCTCAGCTCACTGCAACCTCCGCCTCCTGGGTTCCAGCGATTCTCCTGCCTCAGCCTCCAAAGTAGCTGGGATTACAGTGCCTGCCACCACGCCCGGCTAATTTTTTTATTTTTGGTAGAGACGGGGTTTCACCATGTTACCCAGGCTGGTCTCAAACTCCTGAGCTCAGGTGATCCGCCCGCCTCAGCCTCCCAAAGTGCTGGGATTACAGGTGTGAGTCACAGCGCCGGGCCGGAACTTCAATATTTAAAGGGGAAGAAGTGAGCAGAAGGGAAAGGAAGAAAGGAAAAAAAGGGGTGGGGTAGACAGGCAGTGAGGCAAGCAGCTACACTCCTCTGAGGCTTTGGTAAGTGCTCAGTGAATCTACTTTGCACATAAGCCCAAGTAAACCTGTGAAGTGACAGCTCTCTGGGAACAGAAGGAAGGCAGGTTGTTTTCCTCATGACTCAGTTCGCAAGCTTCACTTTCCCTTCAGCACAGTGAATTTGGGGTCCTGACACCCTGCTTTTTCCTTTTGCTCCCTCTCTAAGGAAAACACGCCTGTGGACAGCAGCCACAGTGGCCGCAGCCCCTCCCTCGTGCCTCAGTGCTCCCTAAGGCTCCGGAAGCTTGGCCCGGTCCCTGAGAGAAGACCAGGAATGAGTAAAGCTGACGTTTCCATCACTGAGTCTGTCGGAGGCTGGAGTCAAAGAGGAGCTGATGTACAGGCAGCGGTGCCACAGCTTGACACTCCTGAGCCTGTGACCCAACTTTGGGCTGTGCCGTCATCTCGGCTGCTGAGTGTTCAGGTGGGTGATGTTGAGGGGCTGCACTGAGTGCCTCCTGTCAGGGCCTGGTGGTCTGTGGGGGAGGCTGCATGCTTCACCCAGTGTGTGCCTAGACATCCTCTTTCCATCTCCTCTGTTCAAAGCGACCCACAAGAGCTGCTTCTCACACAGAACAGCCCGCTCTGGAGCCGGGTGGACGAGCCCATCCCCGTTCTCGGAGCCCATCACACACACAGCACTGAGTGCTTGTATGAGATGCAGATGCTCCGACCTTCCCTAGATGCAGTGAATCGGAAGTGATGGATTAGGCCCAGTGACCTGTGCTCCAACCTGCAGGTGGTTCTCATGGATGGGGAAGTCTGAGAACCACTGAGTCGGAGACTCACACTCCCCCGGCCCTCCAGGGGCTCCTGGAACAGGGAGTCAGCTGGGGGTGGGGTGGGGCCAGTGTAACTGGGTCCTGTGGTAGACAAAATGTTTCTGCCCTACCCCCCGGTTTGTATATTGAAGC
Organism: Homo sapiens; assembly: GCF_000001405.40. NCBI lineage: Eukaryota > Metazoa > Chordata > Mammalia > Primates > Hominidae > Homo > Homo sapiens. Next base: position 49,286,131 of record NC_000022.11, on the reverse strand, counting down.
CCTAACTCCCAAAGCGATGGTATTAGGACCTTGGAGGGTAATTAGGGCCAACGAGGCCATGAAGGTGGCCCCCAGGGTGGGGTTAGCGCCCTTTATGGAGTGGGGTGAGAGCAGCTTCACACTCTCTGCCCCATGAGGGCACAGTGAGGTGGCGTCTTCTAGGAGCCAGGAAGCCAGCTCCCGCCAGACTCCGCATCTGCCTGTGCCTTGATCTTAGCCTTCCAGCCTCAGGATGTAAAGAATTAACATTTCTGATTAAACTGGCCAGTGATGTTTTACTGTAGCTCAAGCTGACAAGACAGGCCGTGAAGAGCAGTGGGTCCTGCTGGCAGTGAGGCTGCGTGGGAGAGGCGCTGGGAGCGGGTGAACATGGAGAACCAGATTCCCAGAGCCCAGAACCTCCGAGCATCGTCCAAGGTGGGTCAGCTGTGCCTCTCCCGCACCTCTTCCCGCCCCCACCTGCCCAGACCAGCCTAACTACCACCTTGGAGACCCAGGCTCCACTGGAGCAGCCAGGCAGGGTGGTCCACCCTCGGCCACAGAAGAGCCCAGAGAGGCAGCCCGAATCCACCCATAATGATGATGCCCTGTGCCCCTGGGCCTGAGCCTGTCTGCTCCTGCAGAGAGAAGGAGGGCATGTAGCTGGCATTACTGGGCTCTGGAATACAGTCTGCGTCCCCTCCCGAGATCCCCTCCCCATACCCCGACCATCCCTGGGCCGTTTGAATCTATGCCCCGCCTCTCCGCATCTCTCTCTCCTTCTGAGAACGCCCTCGCATCTCTCTCCACAGTTATTCCAAAGCCTGTTTCCTCTTATTTCCCAAAGACCCCCTTGAAATCAACTTTCTCCACTTTCTAAATCGGTGGAGACAGAGAGAAAACGTGTTTTTCTTCCGGAATTGAATTGCTCTCCTGCAGACGCATGCCTCAAACTCTGGTCCTGGGCATCCGGTTGGATTTCGGAGGAGCCTGTGGAGGGCAGAGGTCACAGCACCTGAGTTCGGCAGTGTGACCCTGGCACCGGGGAGGCGCCTCGTCCGCCCCTGCCCTAATATCTGCAATGTCCTGATGGAGTCTTGCAGAATTAGCGATGTCTAAGAGTTACAGGTGGGGAATTCACCCTGCCCCGAGCTCTGGGAGAGGAAGCCCGGAGCCAGCCTCGCAGCCTGAGACAGAACATGATGGAGAGGGCAAAATAGCCCCTGGATCACCCAACGTTAGCTCAGATCATCCACAATAAAAGCAAACAAACAAAAAGCAAAAGCTCCTGCGAAGTGTCTACATGTCCACGTAGCAGAATTGGGTCTATAAATTACGTACGGTGATTCCACGCAACCTCGAAAAAGAATGAGATAAGGAATCATCCATAAGATACACTGTGAAGTGAAAGAAAAATTAGCGTGTCACATAGCAGGGTCGTGGCAGCCATTGATGTAAAGTCGCATAAGAATCTATGGCTGCCGCCTAAATGCACCACCAACGCCGCGGCTTAAAACAATGCAAACGCATTCTCTGAGGGTTCTGTGGTCAGAAGCCTGGCGTGGGTCTCCCTGGCTGACGTCGTATGGGTGGGGCCGGGTCTTTTCCTGCACACTCCGCAGGTGGCCCCCACCCCGTGCCTTTCCCGCTCTCTGAGCTCTGGGAGCTTCCTGAGTCTCAGAAAGGTGGGTCCAGTGCTTCCACATCACAGCACTCTGATCTCCCCTTCTGCCTCCCTCTTCCACTTAATAAAACAGAGTTTATTTTTTAGAGCAGTTGCAGGTTCATGTGAAATTGAATGCAAGGCACGGGGAGTTTCTGCAGCCTCCCTGCCTACCCAGGCTCCCCCGTAGGGCCGTTCCCCACTGTGTGTGCATTTGACAGGATCCCTGAGCGGATGACACTGAGCATCGTTATCGTCCGCAGGGGAGATGTGCAATCTGTGGGCTTGGACAAAGCCGTAATGACAGGCATCCCCCATTAGACTATCATAGAGTTTCCCCTGCCCTAAACATCCCTTCCTCCCTCCTCATTCCTGGAAACCCCTGATCTTTTTATTATCACCATGGTTTTCTGTTTCCAGAATGTCATATGGTTGGAATCGTACAGTGTGGAGCCTTTTTAGACCGGCTTCTTTCACTCAGTAATATGCATTTAAGCTCCCTCCGTGTCTTTTCAGGGCTTCATAGCACAGGTTTTCGGCACTGGGATGATGCGCCATTGTCTGAAGGCACCGGTTCATTTCATTCTCCTACTGAGGGGCATCCTGGTTGCTTCCGAGTTTTGGTGATTATGAATAAGGCTGCTATAAACATGCCTGTGTGGGTTTACATGTGGGTACAGGTTTTCAGTCCCTTCGGGTAAATGCCAAGGAGTGTGATTCCTGGATCCGATGTTAAGAGTCTATTGAGTTTTGTAAACTGTCTTCCAAAGCTGCTGCACCATTCTGCACTCCTACCAGCAATGAACGAAGGTTTCTAGCTCCGTGTCTGCAGCATTTGGGGTCAGCGCTTTAGATTTGGGGTGTTCTAATAGGCGTGTAGTGCGGGCTCGTCATCATTTTAATGTGCATTTCCGTCATGACACAGAGTTCCGTACTTCCGGCCCAGGGATGCATGTACACACAGAGTCTTCTAGAAGCAGAAATGCCTCATGATTATCTTCAAATCATAGAGTGTTCTGCTCCAGCCAGGGCTCCCATTTGATTTTCCCGTGAACACACACATCCTTTATGTTGCAGAGCTCCTTATGTTGGCTCTGGGCAGCGGGGCCCACAGGGACCTGATTTTCTTGCTGCCCCTGCACCGATCGCCGAGCAGAGGTCCTCCCTGGATGGATTTGCTGCCGCTTTGATCTGGTGCCTGCTTGGTGTTTATCCTGGGACTTATTTTCTGTCATTTAAAAGTGGAATCTTCAGGTTGGTGGGAAGATAGAGCAAGACCTGGGATGGAGGAGGTGTCCAGCCTGGCCTCCTCTGCCCACCAGGAGCGTCTCCTCACAGCCCTGTGCCCTCCCTCCTGTTCCTGCCTCTTCCCGCCCTAGTGACCTGTACATTCCTTTGGGGGCCGACACTGGCTGGTTCACTTCCCCTGTCCCCCCACACCCCTAGTTCAAACACAGCACAGCCTCCTGGAGAGTATCTGCTAAGTAAAAAGTCAGGTGACATTTCATCCCTGGTTCCACAGTACGCCCACCTACCTCTGGAAGGCCAGCCACTGCTGGCAGGGTGTGGCAGGATGTGATTCTCAATTATTTGGTCAGATCAAGCTATTAAGAAGATGAGATTGAAGCTCCTGTTGTAATGAGCACGCCGGCTGATTCATGATGGACACGGCTGATGCGTGTTCTCATGACCAAGGTCACACGGGATCAGCCGGCGGCTGGGGCAGGGCCTCTGTGTCTCCTGGGGAACCCGGGTCCAGGCACAGGGACCTGGGTGGGGAGTGATGGACCATGGGTCAGTCAGGGACTCGAAGACGCTTGCCTCTTGCTTGAGGACCAGACCAGTGAGAACCGGAGTTACAGTGAGGACAGAAAACAGCCAAGCTCAGATTGGAAAATGAACCTCCCTTCTTGCTTGTTCAAGACTTCCACCTCCATCCCTGCCTGGACCCAACACAGCTGTGAAAGATGCAGCCACGGCAGAATTCATTATCCCGACATATCCGGTTTCTGCAGAGGAGCAGACCCAGTTGCACATTTATATAAAAGGGAAATAAATTCAAGGAATTTGCTTTGGTCATGGTGAGGGCTGGCAGGTCCAAACCCTGCAGGGGAGGCAGGAAACTCATTACGCCCAATCTACAGATGAGAAAACCAAGGCCCAGAGAGGGTAAATGGATTTTCTGAAATCACACAGCTAGAATTGAATGTTGGAATAACAGCCAGGGAGCTGGTATCGTGTTGGCTGTTATTTCTTCCTGTTTCTCAGACCTGTAGAAATGGGATCCTCGGGACTCAGCCCACTGCTTCTCTCTCTCTCTCTTATCGGCGTTCTTTCCTGCTGTCTCATGGCTTTGAACTCCGTCCAGACACTGGCCTCCCCTGAGTCATCTCTGCCTCCAGCCCCGAGCCCTTCAGGCTCCTCCATCCGGCTGCCTCCTGCTCGACCTCCTTAGGGGTCTTTTGGGCATCTCACCCTTAACTCATCAGCACCTGAGAGTGGACACTGGACATTCTCTTCCCCACAAACCTCCACCACCTTTGTTCATATGCTAACTCCCTCCCTCCAGGTGTCTACAAAGCAAGGTTTCCTCTCACAGCGCATGCACAGTCCATCTGCAAATCCGGAGGGCTTGACCTTCAGAATCTACCTAGATCTGAACCCTTCTCACCGTCTGTCTGGCCACCACCCTGGCCCAGTCACTGTCCTCTGCAATCAGGTTATTGTCAATGACTTTCTAAACTGTCTCTCTGCTTCCACTCCTGCTCCGCTTTTAGGGTCCTCTCTGCAGAGCTGCGGGGTAAAACCTTTCGAGTAGTTCTGACTCATCACTCCTCTTACCAGACCCTGCTTGGCTCTGAATTTCTTTCAGAGTGAAATAAGTTTCTTTACAATGAATATGAGGCTCCTAGGTGGCCAGTTCCTTCTCTACACTCAGCCTCATTGCCTCCCCTTACTCAATCTGTTCCATCCTTACAGTGCCCTTCCTTGTCCCTCAGACCACCAAGCCCACTCTGGCCCCAGGACCTCAGAAGCCCCACCCCATGAGACTCCAGTGCTCAGCTCCCTCAGGTCTAATGCACAAAGCCAGTGAACTCTGCAGTGTTTTAACCTGCCCTCTTCTCACGCCCCTTTCTGCAGCTCTGTGGTTGACTTGAAGATCAACAGCCTGCCATCTCTGTGAGCCCAGCAGCCCAGCACTCACAGGGAAGAGGAGCACAGGGCTGGGGCTCCTTCCAAGCCTCATTTGCAGAAGACTGTCATGACTTGACCTGTCTGGCAGTTTCTGGAGGACCTCACTTGCGAGGGTGTTTTTATTTGACCTGACTCAGAACTCGCACAATACAAAAAGCCTTCTCCCTGGAGGTGTTTGTTGAAAATTACTGGAGGAAATTGTTGAACTTTGCACCTACCTGAGGTGGTGGATGAGAGTTGACACAAACATTAGGCTCACAAAATATTTCAAAGGAAAATCTGGGGAATGAGATATCCTCTGCAGTTCGGAAAATCTCTGACATATTCTTGGGAATCTAGAAAGCTACCTGTGTGCATAGAGCTATGTGAATGCTCAGGAAAGATCTGAGAAGTTGTTCCTGAGCTTCCACCCTAGATGACTTTGAGCTTATGCACACACAGGAAGTAAAGCTATGCAGAATTGTACACTTGCTGAGTGTGGCGGGCACACCCCTCATGCACACAGAATATCCCTTCCAAACAGTCTGGGGGACGGACAGATTGCAGGTGTTTAAGACGTCTCCATCCAATCACTGGCTGGCCACAGAGCTAATCAAGCAGAGATGTTAGTGGCCAAACATGACAGAGAAGACATACTTTACAGAACTAGTTAACAAGAGTCACCAAACAACGATGACAACAAAAGCAAAAACAAAAAGCAAGAGCAACAAACCCCGGTTTGGAATCTGATTTGGAATCTGAGGGTAGGAATCTGATTTCCAGAGATGCCACATCATAGTATTTAAAATGTCCAGTTTTCAACAAAATATCGGTGGCATATAAAGCAACAGAAAGTTATGGTTTTATACATATAAGAGAAGCAGTCAGTTAAAACTATCCCTGAGAAAGCCCAGGCATTGGACTTAGAGGACAAAGACTTAAAATCACCTAATTTTAAATATGGTGATTTAACAAAAGGAAACCATGTCTAAAAACTAAAGAAAAGTATGAGAACCATGTCTCACCAGTGAGGCAATATCAGTAAAGACATAGAAGCTATAAAAAAATAAATTTCTGGAGTTGAAAAATACAATGCCTCAAGTGAAAATTCACTAGAGGAACTCAACAGTGGGTTGGAATAGGCAGGAGAAAGACCTTACAAACTTGAAGGTGGGACAATTGAGACTATTCAATCTGAGAAGAGAGAAAAAAAAGAATAAAAAAATGAACAGAGACTCAGAGACCTGTGGCATGTCATTAAATATACCCACACATGCACGATAAGAGGTCCCAAAGGAGAAGAGAAAGATATAAATGATTAGGAAAAAAGGTTTAAAAATAATTCCTGAAAACTTTTCAAATTTGGCGAAGAAAACATTAGTCTATAGAATTAAGAAGCTTAGACAGTTCCAAGTTGGACAAACTCTGAGACACATAGACACGTTATACTCAAACTATCAAAATTCAAGAGAGAATCTTGAAGACAGTAGGAGAGATGTGACTCTTGTGTAATGGATCCTTGGTAAGATTAACTGTTCATTTCTCATCAGAAACCATGGAGAGCAGAAGGCAATGGGATGAAATTTCAAGTGATCTATGCTGGGCGCAGTGGCTCACGCCTGTAATCCCAGCACTTTGGGAGGCCAAGGCAGGTGGATCACCTGAGGTCAGGAGTTCGAGACCAGCCTGGCTAACATGGTGAAACTCTGTCTCTACTAAAAATACAAAAATTAGACAGGCATTTTGGTGGGCACCTGTAATCCCAGCTACTCAGAAGGCTGAGGCAGGAGAATTTCTTGAACCCAGTAGGCAGAGGTTGCAGTGAGCCGAGATCACAACATTGTACTCCAGCCTGGGTGTCAGAGCAAGACTCCATCTCAAAAAAAAAAAAAAAGAAGAAGAAGAAGAAGAGGAAGAGGAAGAAGAAGGAGAAGGGGAAGAAGAAGGAGAAGAGAAGAAAAAGAAATTTCAAGTGATCTAGACTAGCCCAATCAATCTTGACAAGGAAAAACAAAGCTGGAGGGTTCAGACTTCCCAGATTCAAAACTCCCTGCAGAGCTACAGTCATGAACACCGAGAATCACTGAACTGCACACTTTTTTAAACAGGGTGAATTTTATGGTATCTGAATTATGTATTGGAGAAACTCAAGCCCGTCAATATTGCTGATGTCTTCACATGTGAGCAGTATCATGGTTGTGCATGCGAAGATTGAGCCTCCTTACAACGAGTCACTTTAACATCTCTGGCGAGTGCGTGTCTTGGTGTGGAAACATACTGGCATTGCAGACAGTGCTGCAAGTGGAATGGTCTTATAGTGGAAAACATCCATGCTGTCTGCATAACAGAAACACCCACAAGAAACAGCCTCCTGCAAGACGCCCAAATGTCCCTGTCCAATCTGCTAACCAGGTGTGTGGCTCCTCACCTCTTTAAATCTGTACAACATCAGCTGGGCCCAGTGCATGTTTTTGAATTTAAAATTAAAGTCAGATAGCATGGTTATAAAAATATCTGCTCTTTGACTCATTAATCTTGGTAGGAGATGGAGAACACAGACATTTTTTTCTCCCCGAACTCTTAATGAAGGCTTTGAGATACATGGATAATAAATCTGATTTCCCAGGCTTGACAGCAGCAATTAGCCCTGGCCACTCTATTTGCATTCGCAGCCCGGAAAGGACACCTGGGACCCCCAGGCAACCCCTGCACACAGCAGATGTCCACCTCCCCCATCAGCAGGAATTGTGTCTCTGGTCAGCCAACAGCTAAGTGGCCCCTTGTGCTGACCTCATAAACAGTGATGGATTGTGGCTGTTTAACTCGAACCCTGCGGCAGCTCAGGGCCCCATGGAAGGGGCAGCGGTACACGCTCCCAGGTTTCCGGGGTTCCCAGCGCAGGTGGCAGCCAAGGACACAGCTTGCTCATGAAGTCTTACACCTCCTTGACTCCCCGTTTGTCCAAGTGAGTTGGGAGATCGTTTCATTTATGCCTTGAACAGACTGCCCTGTTCTCCCACCGGACACCTACGAAGTCTGCCATTATTACGGGCTGTTTTTCTACAAAGTTTTTAGGGGGAAAGGAAACCCTTCCACCAAAATGAATTATCCTCTTTTTTGTTCTCACAGTGAATATTTAATAAATGAAGCAATTTAGAAGCCATTTAAAATGTTATTGGAGAGGCTGGGCCTTAGAAACCAGCACGAGGGACAGTGTGGGCCACTGGCCTGCCCCAGGCAGGTGTCCAGCCTGGCAACAATTTCAGAACCATAAATAAATCAACACAGGATTGCCAGGACAAGGAGTTCTCTGGAATTAAAAAAAAATTAAAATATACACAAGTGTTCCCAAGAGACACAAGTGTCCTCCGCAGGCACCTGCGTCCCCACTTCATGCTGTGGTCCTCTTCCTCTTTGCTCCTTTCTGTCCACGCAGAGGAGCACACGGCAGAGAGCAAAGCCTTCCTATGAAATGTGGGCGTGCCATCCTGCCACAGGGGAAGTGTCGGTGCAATTTCACGAAATGAAAGGGCCAATATGTGATCATTTTCATGGCCCACCGTCACTGGTTTCTACTTCTTAACTGGCAAACACTCTATCAATATTACCAAGGACTTATCAAACAGGCCACATTAAAAAATGCTGTCTGGCCAGGTGCCAGTGGCTCCCGCCTGTAATCCCAGCACTTGGGAGGTCGAGGCAAGAGGATCACTTGAGGTCAGGAGTTTGAGACCAGCCTGGCCAATATGGTGAAACCCTGTCTCTAGTAAAAATACAAAAATTAGCTGGCCATGGTGGCGTGAGCCTGTAATCCCAGCTACTTGGGAGGCTGAGTCAGGAGAAACGCTTGAACCCGGAAGGTGGAAGACGCAGTGAGCTGAGATCGTGCCTTTGCAGTCCCGCCTGGGTGACCGAATGAGACTCTGTCTCAAAACAAAAACAAAAACAAAAAAATGCCGTTCTTCAAATAGCTAATGCATGCAGGGCTTAATATACCTAGGTGACGACGGGTTGATAGGTGCAGTATACCACCATGGCACACATTTACCTGTGTAACAAACCTGTACCTTCTGCACATGTATCCCAGAACCTAAAATAAAATAAAATAAAAATGCGTTCCTTATCCTCGGGGGCTGTGTGTCCACATCAATGCAATTTCACCGCCCCAGGATGGATCAGGACACACTTCTGAAGTTGGCAGGTCCACGCTGACCCAGCAGAAATCACTCCCCACCTTGTCCACTCACTGTGAAAGGTCCTGCTCACACAGAGGAGCCTGGGCTGGAGGGTCACGGCTGCTTGGAATTCCCCTCGGTTTCCTGAACACTCTGGGTTCAGCTTGTACTCCAACTGCTCCCCAGCTTCAGAAGATCCTGAGAGGCTGGCTCCAAGGAAGGAAGGTAGATGTGCCCTCCCCACCTTGTGACCACATCCAAGGTCAGGCAGAATGTGGTCCGCTGTGTCTTTCCAGCAATGACGCTGAACCTGGGCCAGGCAGCATACAGGCTACAAGGGCCAACACCTGGCCCTCCAGGAAATCCAGGAGGGACGTGGACTCCAGGAAGTCAGGCTGTGAATCCCGGTCTCGGCTCAGGCCATGGGCACAGGCACACAGGGGTGATGCCAGGCAGGATGGGGGTGGTCCCGAGACGGCAGCAGCACATATATATCCTGGGACCTGAAGGAAGACCCTGGATGGGTGGATATAATGTGTGCAGGGCGCCAGCCCCGTCTGCAGTCCCCCCGGCTCAGTGCCGCTCTGAGCCCAGTCCAGCCAGGCTTTCCCAGGGATCTGATGCACACACTTCAGCTGGGGCTGGGGGATGGGTGTAAAAGCCAACTTGGAAAGCAGGAGAACCAAGAAGGAATGCTTGCTTTACCAGATGTTAAGAGTTTTCCAAAATCACAATAATGATGATGAGAATGATAGTAGTGGCGTAAACAATGGCGTAACCCTAAACACTGAGGACCTGTGGGTGGCAACACAAATCAATAGTTGTGATGGGTAATGCTGAATGTCAACTTGATTGGATGGAAGGATGCAAAGTATTGATCCTGGGTGTGTCTGTGAGGGTGTTGCCAAGGGAGATTAACATTTGAGTCAGTGGGCTGGGAGAGGCAGACCCACTCTCAATCTGCCAGTGCAGCTAGGATATAAAGCAGGTAGAACAACGTGAAAAGGCGAGACTGGCCTAGCCTCCCAGCCTACATCCTTCTCCCGTGCTGGATACTTCTTGTCCTCAAACATCGGACTCCCAGTTCTTCAGTTTTGGGACTCGGACTGGCTCTCCTTGCTCCTCAGCTTGCAGATGGCTCATGGTGGGACCTTGTGAGCATGTGAGTTAATACTTAATAAGCTCCCCTTTTTATATACTTCTATCCTATTAGTTCTGTCCCTCTAGAGAACCCTGACTCGTACACTGAGGCAAAGAGGACCCCCCAGTAGGTACTGTGGGTGATCCCGGCTCACTCTGGAGGAGAGGACACCTGGATCCATACCTGATCCAACACGTTAACATGGATCCCAGGTGGATTCAGGCCTGAATGCACAAGGCATAACGTTAAGCTGACAGGAGACCATGAGGACGAATATCCTTGAGGCCTGAGCACAGGGAACATGGGACACCACCAGGCAAGACCTGGGCGACTTCTCCATCAACACGGAGTGGTTGTCTCCAGTACACGACGCTATGGCCCAATGATCAGCTGAAAGAAAGCAGAACGTCAATGAAGAACTAATGTCGTGACTAGAGAGGCGATTCCTACTTCAGAAAGAAAAAGACAGAAAGCCCAATGGGAAGCTGGGAAAAGGCTTCCCAGGCTCATTTGAAATCAGTGAAATACAAAACACATCCTCGTCGCTGCCACCACCACTGCAGAGATGAGAAGCCAAATTACAGGTTTGAGGACCTAGTTATATTCCTTGTAATACCTTTTAAAATAAAATCATTAAACTATTAAGATAATAAACAACTGCCGTGTGCCCCAAAACCCCCTCCCATGCCACCCCGTGCCCTCCTCTTTGGAGTCTCCAAGACCCACCCCAGGGAAAAGTTGAACGTCAGCCAACTTCAGAGTGGTCCCAGTGAGCCGTGGAGTGGGTGGGGAACGCAGGGAGGTGGGGGCCTAGTGAACTCAGAGCCGCGTGGCACCACCCTCTGGTGGGCTGGCCCCCCGGACACCGAGCGGAGTGAAGAGGCCCTGTGGCCGCTGACCAGGCATTGCCTGTCCCGGGACGGTTCCAGAGGAACAGGAGGAAAGCAGCACAGAATCCTCTTGTAGCTGAAAATGCACATCCACACAAACCTTCTGAATCCTACACACAGGCCAGTGCACTTCAGCACATGGCGGAGAGAAACACACACCCCTCCAGAGCGTCCGTGCCAACCTTCCAAATCCTACACACAGGCCAGTGCACTTCAGCACATGGCAGAGAGAAACACACACCCCTCTAGAGCTTCCTGGGGGAGACCTGGCTGGTTGTTTTGGAATTGCTGCTTCCCTATCACCAGTGCCTTGTAGAAGTGTCCCCACCTCTCTGTAGCCTGGCAGGTGCTTGGGGAGGGCTGAGCACCTGGGTCTTGCTGCGGGTCCCAGAGCAGAGTCCCCCCTTCCCCTGACCCCAATCTTTGGGCTGAAGCCCATGACAGGGGCCCCACACCAAGGCAGAAGCAATTATTTGAGAGATCAAAACGTTGCTCCCTGGATAGAAAGCCTGCTGATGGTGTGGCTGAATCCAAGGACGACGTCGTCTGTAGAAACGGACGTAGGAGGTGTGCTTAAGGCAGGATTTCTGTTCCTAGGGTGTGTCTTGGAGACTCCAACGAGGAGGGCACAGGGTGGCATGGAAGGGTGGTTTTGGGGCATGGGGCAGTTGTTTCTTATCTTAATAGGTTAACGATTTTATTTTAAAAGGTATTACCAGGAATATAACTAGGGCGTCAAGCCTGTAATTTCACAGTGATATAAAGTTGTCTTCAAAATAAAAGTAAGACAAGAAATGGGTCGACTGAGAGGAAAAATGTAAGTTTAAGTGCACGAAGGTAAGAGGAGACCAGGCAGACGTGGCTGCGTGGCTCTGTGGTGAGCAGCGGGGACAGGTGTCCCTGGTGGCTAATTGAGTTGACCTTCTGTGTAGGGTTGCCAGATATAGTCCAATTAAATATTGAAGGATTCACACCAAAAGTGTCTGTGTTTGTTTTAGAATAATTGAACTCAGACCTTCATTTCTGACAGCCATTAGACAGCAGATCAGCTGATTTCTGAGACGATCCTAGTTAGTGACAATAAAACCAAGCCGTCAGCGTATAAGGCAATGTAGTCTTCGGTTTAATTACTGTATCAGCCACTTTAGAACTGCAGAGGCATTTCCAATGACACAGTAACGAGGGCCTGAAAGTTTAATGTCGGCCATGGCATTTGCTGAATATCAAGGAGACATTTGCACACTTTTTATTTTTGCCTGAACATTTTCATGCATGATGACGGATTTTGAGCTGATTTTTTTCCGGTAATGTAAACTGTAATCCTGTTTAGAGTTCATTTACCCTATAATTTGCAATGAAATTTATAAATTTAAAACATCATAGTGACACTACCAATAGAACTTAAACAGTTTTTATTTTTATTATTATTTTTTTGAGACGGAGTCTCCCTCTATTGCCCAGGCTGGAGTGCAGTGGCATGATCTTGGCTCACTGCAACCCCTGCCTCCTGGGTTCAAGTGATTCTTCTGTCTCAGCCTCCTGAGTAGCTAGGATTATAGGCATGTGCCACCACGCCTGGCTAATTTTTGTATTTTTAGTAGACATGGGGGTTTCGCCATGTTGGCCAGGCTGGTCTCGAACTCCTGACCTTAGGTGATCAGCCCGCCTTGGCTTCCCAAAGTGCTGGGATTACAGGTGTGAGCCACTGCGCCTGGCCAAACTTAAACAATTTTTAATAACGATCTCAAAATTACTATGCATGGTGGAAAATGGAAGTATTTGATTATCACTGACAATGATAAAAGTTTCACATTTTTAGATGGTAAATCACATATGTATATTTTACTTCTAACCCAAAATTTTTTAAGTTTAATATTTTTATGGATTTTTCAATTTTCATAGACATTTTATTTTTAATAACCCTGTGTCTGTGACAAAGCATCACAGCTTTGGTGTGGGTTAACTCCTGGTGACGTCCACACATTTGGGCAAGTTCTAAAACGTCGGTGCCTTCACCTCCATGGAGAGTCAGGTACCATTAGGCACAGGTGGGGTTTGATGTAGGGTGGGTTCCCAGCAGCCGACGGCTTCCTTCACATTAGCTTCCATGGCAGGTGTTTTTGGACCTGATTCTTTGGTGTGTAGATGCGTGATCCAAACAGTAGATGTAATTGTCACTCAGCAAGTATCGAGCCCCTCCTCCTTCTGCTGCATGGGATACATTTTCCCTCTTGGGAAATCTGGGTCTGGTCATGCATCTGCTAGTCGAGTGCTAGAGGGCGTGGTGTGAGCCGTAGCCCCGTAGATCCTGGATCTGGACACACGCGCCATGATCTGGCCTGGACAGCTGCCGCCCTTCAGCCTGGACTTCCCATCACACCTCACAGTCCAGACTCCAGTTCAGCTTTCAGCTTTGCAACCGAGCTGCCCAGAAAAGCCCAGAGCTGGAGGAGCAGAACTGCAGCCGCCCTGCAGGTTTGTGAGAGTGAGAATGAACACTCCTCATAGAAAACTAGCGGGCCTGGGGATAGTGTTTTCCCCAGCTCCATCGTAGTAACACTGGACTGATGGATTACACGTTGGCCTCGTCAGAACCATGACGAGAATGTGGAAGCTGTGCACAAGTAAAAAGTTTACCCAAGATCCAACATTTATTGAATTTAAAATAAACGTTATATAGGTGGACTTCACTGTGATCTCCTCAAATAATGCATTTGTTAGAATATATTCACCTGAGACCTCAGAAAGCGCTGGAAGAAAATAAGAAACTTAAGAGTGGAAACCATGAATGTAGGTACTTTTCTTTGTAAAGACAGAATTTTAGAGCAAGAAGGAAAGCTAAATTGCATCTAGCCTGGTAGTTTCTGTCTTGGTCTACCGTTTTTCTTACAGGTTTTCAAAGCTAGTAGTGGGGGTCTGAGACCTGTCTATAGTCGCTGAAGAAGCCTGAATGAGCCGCACACCTGCCCTGCATGGTGCACACAAGAGGCCAGTTCCAAGGACACCCAGCTGGCCATGTGACAAAGGTGCCTGTGGGGCCCCTGTTTGCCCGGGGACTTTCCTGAAGTCTTCTGTCCCTGCTGAAGGCATGGGAGGTACTTGGCTTGTCCCCTCCCCGGGGACGCTGGCTCCACCACAGACTTGACCTTGGGGTTTGGATTAGGGTTATGGCTGGGGTTAGAGGTTAGGATTAGGGGTTAGGGTTAGGGCTGGGGTTAGAGGTTAGGATTAGTGGTTAGGGTACAAGTTGGGGTTAGAGGTTAGGATTAGGGGTTAGGGTAAGTGTTGGGGTTAGGATTAGGGGTTAGGGTTAGGGCTAGGATTACAGGTTAGGATCAGGGGTTAGGGTAAAAGTTAGGGTTAGAGGTTAGGATTAGGGTTAGGGTTAGGGCTGGGGTTAGAGGTTAGGATTAGGGGTTCTGGTTAGGGTTGGGGTTGGAGGTTAGGGTTAATGTTGACACCACTCAGCTTTGCTGCAGCAACAAGCAACCTTCAAGTCTTGACTCTTGCTTTCAGGACTCTGGGTCCCTGGAGACTCACCTGCTGAGTCTGTGCTCCCTTTGAGGGTGCAGTTGTGAATGGGACATGAACATGCCTCTCTGCTCTGCAGGGTGGAACCTCAACCAACCTCACACCTCCCTCAAGCTCATGGTCCTGATGCTGAAACTTGGGGCAGTTCAAAAAGCCAGTGGCTTTGCCCAAGCCAACTTCTTCACATCCACAGAACAGGAAGTGCCTCTCCTGGGGGCAGCAGAGCCAGGTGAGGGTCTTTCTTCTGCAGGAAGGGGACCCGATTGGGGGTGAACCTGGACCCTGCGCCCTGCGTGGGAACCCTTGATGACGGGACACTGAACCCCCTTTCCAGGTGCCTGCACACCCCATCGTTGGGTCTCTGCAAGTCTTCCAGGCCCCATAGGGTGAGAGCCTTGGCCTGACTCCCAAACTTGGACTCCAAATCTTGCCTGCTGTTGGCTGGTCTGTGAAGGACTTCATTTAATGTAGGCTCAAGAGTTCCTTACGTAGGTCATCGCTTTGTGAGATGTGAGAAATCATCACAATTAGTGACCACATGCAGAACGAGAGCCACAGCGTGCTGTCTGGGTCCTGGGTCCTGGGTCCTGGGCCCTTGGATGGTGTCGGCTGCTGCTCCAAGCACCCAGACAGGCGCCGGCATCTCTGGTGCTGGGGTGTCCGTGCTGTTGCAGGGAGTTGGTTGTGACTTCTATTCCTCTTACCTTCTCTGTCATCCAGCAAGTTCGTTACTGACTGAGATCTGTTGCCATTGACTAGGCTCACGCTGCCATATTTGGTTAAACCTGGGCGGGAGCTGGGTGACGCATGCTGTTGGTGAGCATTTCTGACTTAGAGTGTTCTAGTAATTTCACTTGAAGACACACAAAATGCTTCAAATGGGAGTCATTTGTTCATTAATTTGTTGGACAGATGGATGAAGAATGCCCCCAAATTTGCCTGTTTGGAAATATTTAGCATTATCTCTGAGTTCCTTTTTATGGAAAACGAACCGGTCTTGTAGACGGGGCCAAGGCTGTCCTTCCGCCCTTCCTAAGAAGCCTTGTCAAAAGCATTTGAGGAGCTTCCTGCAAGGGATTCCATCACGGGGTTCACAGAAAGCTTGGCCAGGAGAAATTAGGGGATGAAGCCTTGATTGGGGCTGTGACTCTGCAGCTTTTGTTCACCAGCAAGCATCTCGTGTGTTCCAGTGAGCCCAGCCCCGACACTCCTGCACTCCTGCACCCCCCACTGTGCACCCCCCCGCCCCCCCCATGCACTTGCTGACCCCAGCACAGCTGTGAGCCCAGCCCTGGCAGCCCTGCGCCCACCACCCACCCCCGTGCACTTCCCAACCCCAGCACAGCTGTGAGGCCAGCCCCGACACCCTGCACCTCACTCCGTGCACTCGTGGACCTCAGCACAGCTGTGAGCCCAGCCCAGCCCCAACACCCCTGCACTCCTGCGCCCCACCCCGTGCACTCTCTGACCCCAGCACAGCTGTGAGCCCAGCCCCCACACCCCTGCGTCCCCCCACCGCCACATGCACTCACTGACCCAGCACAGCCAGGCCCTGTGACCCTGCAGCACGCATTCACCCTTGGCCATGTGCAAAGCTAAATGGAGCTCTTGGACAACCTGTCTGTGGGAGATCCCCCTGGAAGCTTCCCCGGGAAAGCGGTGCGGAGTTTGCATGGAAACCACCACGTAGTTTGTGTTGAAAATGCTAACACTTAATTTCAAGATGTTTAATTAAACAGAGCAGAGCGGCTGGGACATCTTTGAAAGGGATGAAGAGTTGTCACGGACATGAGAAAAGAGTCAAGCAGGGCCTGGAAAATAGAAATCAGCCATGTCTGTGGCCCCGAGAGTGTTTGAGCCTGATGTTGGGGGGGAGCGGGGGTGGGGGATGGTGGGAGGTGAGGTGGGACAGGATCGCTCTGAGAGCTCCTGTCGTTGGGGTGGGCAGATTCTTTGGCTTCAGGTCAGCTATTGTGTTTTAAGTTGACTGTTTGATTTGTAAATTAAGAGGAAAGAGCTCTACGGGGGGCAGCCAGGGAGCTGTGGCTTTGGGTCTCCAGAATGATGCAGGCACCGGGGAGACACAGGATGCCTTATTCTCACTCATAGGTGGGAATTGAACAATGAGAACACATGGACACAGGAAGGGGAACATCACACTCTGGGGACTGTTGTGGGGTGGGGCAGGGGGGAGGGATAGCACTGGGAGATATACCTAATGCTAGATGACGAGTTAGTGGGTGCAGCGCACCAGCATGGCACATGTATACATATGTAACTAACCTGCACATTGTGCACATGTACCCTAAAACTTAAAGTATAACAATACTAAAAAAAATAAATTAATTAAAAAAAAAGAGGGGGCTGCCACCTGCAGACACAGGATGGGGTCACAGATAGCAGCCCTGGACATGCGGAGGCACCTGCCTCAGGAGAGGGAGTGGGAGCTGAAGACAGGAGAAGCCAGAGGACCTTCCCCGGGAGGGAGATGAGATGGGGCCCCAGGGGTATTTGTGGATAGAATCTGCTTTGCTCCAGCAAGTGCACAGGAGAGACCCAGAGACACATCAGGTACATTAATATCAGATAAAATTAAACCACAGAAGGCCGAGTGCACCCTCACTCTGTAGTCCTAGGGAGAAGGAATCGTGATTTTCATTACAAACAAAGGAATCAGAAAAAATGATATGATGAGTGACATGCACCTGTTGTGGTCACTTTGTGTTAGGAATTAAATCAAAGGCAGAAAACAGCAAATATTTCTGGTGAACTTGACTCTGGCATAACAAATAAAAATTACCAAAATAACATGACAAATAACAGACAAGAAAAGACTCTGACACACAGCCAGAAAAAGTTTATTATTGAAGTAGAGGGCCCTTAAAATCAAAAGAAAGGGAAAACACTCTAATAGAACAATGGGCAAAAGTCCCCTTCGTTCATTCATTCATTCATTCATTCATTCCTTCACTCATCTTCCGAGTCTTGGACCTGGTACCTCCTCCAGCCCAGCATGGCTCCAGATGCCAGATGGACACTGCGCTGCTCCATGGAGCTGACGTTCCATGCAGGCTGGGAGAGAGTCAGACAACAGACGCGGAAATAAACTAATCCAACAATAATTTGTTGGTGGAAGATGCTAAGAAAGAAAAAGTGAACCAAAATACTGGGTGGCGAGTGAGCAGAGTTCTCTGCCAGACCTGTGCTCATGCAGACCTCACATTTGGGCAGATGAAGGGAGGGAGGAGGGCAGGGGAGGTGGGGAGAGACTCCAGGGCACCAGGACTCAGTGTAAAGAACCAGGGCTGAGCTTGGGCTGTCCAGTAGCAGCCAATGAGGCTGGGACAGAATGAACAAGATGCTGGGGGAAGAGAGGAGAGCCAGGCAGGGGTGGGTGGGCGGCACACAGGGCCTGGGGCACGGAAGGAGCATGTGGGTTTACTGTGCTTGGCTGAGAAGCCTCAGAAGGGCTCGTCCTCCTTCGCTGCTGCGTTATGGACGGAAGGGATCAGAGACAGCAGGGAGGGACTGGATTTCGCCAGTCCTGGTGAGCAGTAAACAGCAATGCCCACTCTTTTTCTTCCACTTTCTTTTAAACCCGATACTAGTATGGCTCTTAGAAAAGTGGCAGAGTCATGTAGTGCGGCTGAGATTTCCAATTTTTTTTTCCAGGAGGAGATTTGAAAATATGCAATGAAAGCCTTAAAAAGTCTCAAACCATTAGCAGTTTTCATTATATTATGCTCAAGAAACTTTATTCTGAGGGAATATTGATAGATCCGCTAATGGATTATGCAAAGATACAGTTATACGAATGTTCATTGCAGTGTTGTTTATAATAATGGAAATTAGAAACAACCTAAGTATTATATCTGACTCATTCATAAACCCCATATTCATAAAATGGAATATTGTGCCTCTATAAAAATGATGTTGCGGAAGGATGTCCCATAAAATGGAAAGTATGCACACTCATAAAGACGGAAAACAATTTACAAAACAATATATAATAAATAGAGCTAATGAGGGCAATAAAGTTTCTGCTTGAAATTACAGCAACGTTTTAAATCGTTACTAGGGAGGAGGGAGAAAGTGGAGGGTGAAGTCCGGGGAACAGGGACAGGAGACAGGAACGGACGATGCCCGCACGTGATGGCCGGACGCTGACGCACAAACCACACTGCACACCGCAGCCCGGGAGGGCGACCACAGCCTCTGCTGCTACCTGCCCGCGGGTCCAGAGACCCCCAGCTTCCTTAACCTCTGTCTCCACTTTCAACTCAGAGCCAGCCAGAGAACCCCCAATGTGGCCCCTGGCCGATCGCGTAGGATGCCCCCTTCTAGGGAGTGCCCCAGCTTCCCCAGGCCTTGACCTCTGATCAGGGGAGCCGGGAGCCGTCCCTGTCCCATGGTGAAGCGTCCCCTCCGCTGCCTGTCGTTAGGCCTCAGCGGGGCAGAGGGACGATGGAGGACTCCCTGCTGTAGGAAGCACTGAGTAAACGCCTCTGCTTGTTCTCTTGTGGGTGGGCTTCGTTTCTCTGTCCCCAGGGAGGTCTTGCTGGACAGCGACTGTGCTGCCCCTCCCGGCAGACCCAGCCACTTGGCTCGCCCTGAGCCCGCAAAGGCCCCTGCACCCGGGTGTCTGAGCTGGGGCAGAGTCCGCACCAGGTCAGGACTCAGGCTGCCTGGGGCCCTCCGCTGTTCAGTCCTGGTTTGAGGCTGGGTTCTGAGCTTGGGTCCCGCTTGTTTGGCGTCCTCTGCCGATTCAGGCCCCTCCTTCTGTTCCCCTGGTGCTTGTCGTCTGTGGCAAGCGTTTTGTGTTGTGCTGCCTGAAAGTGCTGTTTGCCGCAGGAGAGGCTGAGATACACAGGCTCCTGCCCTCCACACCTGCTCGTCCTGGTCTCACACACAGCGCGTCTGCAGTGCTCACCGCGGGCGCGCACGCGGACTCTCCACGTTGGGGTCACAGATGGGAGTGGTTGAGCGTCTCCTTCTGTCTCAATTTCGCGTCCTGAGAGCTTGGCTGTGATCCAGGGAGAGCGTCTCCTCTGGTTTTCCGCCTGCTGGGGTCACAGAGTGAGGGTCTGTATTTGGAGCCTGCGACCATCAGGACAGGAGGAGCAGAGGCCTCACTAGGTGGGCTTGGCCTCCCCCCTCTCCTCCACCGGGAAGCTCTGGGCCTCCCCGCTCTCCTCCACCGGGAAGCTCTGGGCCTCCCCCCTCTCCTCCACCGGGAAGCTCTGGGCCTCCCCGCTCTCCTCCACCGGGAAGCTCTGGGCCTCCCCCCTCTCCTCCACCGGGAAGCTCTGGGCCTCCCCGCTCTCCTCCACCGGGAAGCTCTGGGCCTCCCCCCTCTCCTCCACCGGGAAGCTCTGGGCCTCCCCGCTCTCCTCCACCGGGAAGCTCTGGGCCTCCCCCCTCTCCTCCACCGGGAAGCTCTGGGCCTCCCCGCTCTCCTCCACCGGGAAGCTCTGGGCCTCCCCCCTCTCCTCCACCGGGAAGCTCTGGGCCTCCCTCCTCTCCTCCACCGGGAAGCTCTGGGCCTCCCCGCTCTCCTCCACCGGGAAGCTCTGGGCCTCCCCGCTCTCCTCCACCGGGAAGCTCTGGGCCTCCCCCCTCTCCTCCACCGGGAAGCTCTGGGCCTCCCCCCTCTCCTCCACCGGGAAGCTCTGGGCCTCCCCGCTCTCCTCCACCGGGAAGCTCTGGGCCTCCCCCCTCTCCTCCACCGGGAAGCTCTGGGCCTCCCCGCTCTCCTCCACCGGGAAGCTCTGGGCCTCCCCGCTCTCCTCCACCGGGAAGCTCTGGGCCTCCCTCCTCTCCTCCACCGGGAAGCTCTGGGCCTCCCCGCTCTCCTCCACCGGGAAGCTCTGGGCCTCCCTCCTCTCCTCCACCGGGAAGCTCTGGGCCTCCCCCCTCTCCTCCACCGGGAAGCTCTGGGCCTCCCCGCTCTCCTCCACCGGGAAGCTCTGGGCCTCCCCGCTCTCCTCCACCGGGAAGCTCTGGGCCTCCCCGCTCTCCTCCACCGGGAAGCTCTGGGCCTCCCCGCTCTCCTCCACCGGGAAGCTCTGGGCCTCCCCGCTCTCCTCCACCGGGAAGCTCTGGGCCTCCCCGCTCTCCTCCACCGGGAAGCTCTGGGCCTCCCTCCTCTCCTCCACCGGGAAGCTCTGGGCCTCCCTCCTCTCCTCCACCGGGAAGCTCTCGGCCTCCCCACTCTCCTCCAATGGGAAACACCCCTTCTTCTCAGAGGCACTTTCCTTACAATCCTAATTCTTGCACCTGTCTTTCTAAACGCCCTAACTTTACCAAGGGAATAGGGTTGATCAGGCCCAGGGGACAGCCATTTTTGATTGGTATTCGGAGGCCTCCAAAGGAAATCTGATTTAAAATCTTGATTCACTAGAAAAAAATTATCTGGCCAAAACTAATCAGCAGTTGGACAAACTTCAGCAACAGCAGGGTGGACTCTTCACTGGGACCCTCCTCCTGGGTCCTCAGGGGCTCCATGTCCCCTCCCCCACCCAGCTCCCCACTGTCCCCGTGCCTCTCTCCACTCCTCCTTCCTCTTCCCCATTGCCGGACACTTCCCTTTTGCCGTGACTCACCTGGGACCCCAGATGCCAGGTGCCCCTAAGACCCACTCCTCCCGTGAGCCAGGACGCAGGCAATCGTGGAACTCGAATCCTGGACCTGAGTGGACAGCTATAGTGAAGAATGTCTCCAAGCCCAGGCAAGGCCAGCAGCTGCCCATAGTGCAGATTTTGGGGGGTTGCACGCAGCACAGGCTTTCCCGACTTGTATGGACTTGTACATGCAATGGTCAGAACCTCCTTCAGATCCTGGAGAGCAAACGTAGACTGGACTGAGCCAGAAAACGATTCCTAGGATCCTCTTCCCACAATAAACCAGAGTGTCAACAGCCAAAACAACACACACACGATAAAAAACCCAAATGCAGGACAAAGACACATAAAAGTCATAACCCAAAACGTTTCCAGTAACAATCAATTAAGCCATGATTCAGTTACACAAATAGAAAAGCAGCAACCATCTGAGATTTTTGGGGTAGACGTGAACACATTTTCCCACAAATTAAAGACTTAAACAAGGTGACTCTTTTACCTCATTCTGTTAATAAAATGAAACCTGAAACAGTCGATCTAATTTAAAACCAGAAATTAGAACAGGAAGGGAACTCTGTGGTTGAACTACATCACTCAGCAGAATATTTTGAGAGAATTTGGTGAGGGAGGGTTGAGGGAGAAAGACGAAGAAACAATCCAAAATAAGGCCACAGCCCTGCAGATCCAATAGCCAGGCAGCCACTTCCCAGCCACCGCCTTCCACGGGACACGATGGAAACTCTTAGCAGGAGGGATGCTGGACAAAATAGTGTCTCAGTGAAAAGCCAGGGCCACACAGGCCGGGTGCTGGGGCTCACGCCTGTAATCCCAGCACTTTGGGAGGCCGAGGTGGGTGGATCACCTGAGGTCAGGAGTTCAAGAACAGCCTGGCCAACATGGCAAAACTCCATCTCTACTAAAAATACAAAAATTAGCCAGGCACAGTGGTGGGCACCTGTAATCTCAGCTACTCAGGAGGCTGAGACAGGAGAATTGCTGGAACCCGGGAGGCAGAGGTTGCAGTGAGCTGAGATCGCGCCATTGCACTCCAGCCCTGGCTGACAACAGTGAGACTCCATCTCAAAAAGAAAAGAAAAGAAAAAAAACAAAAAACCAGGGCCAAGCATACGTTTCACCAGATCAATGAGGAAATTAGCTACGACTATGGACAGTAAACCTCGTGAATTGCTGGTAGTTCTGAGGGCTTCTGTTTCTATGTCAGAGCCTTCCTCAGAGTGAACACAGTGCGTAGGACGTCCAGGTTTCACATCAACTGCTCACGTGTCCTCCCTTCCCGTCCTTGACTGTTGCCCTGGGGGTCCTGCCTGGAAGACATGTCTGTGCAGGGCAGTACCTCCAGGCAGTTACGCCCTGAGCTTCACTTACACTCCCCCCATTTTTCCCAGGTCCTTGATAGAGACATGAGAATGATGACATTTTGGAAATGGAGGAGAGATGAGAGGTTGCCAGGGGTGGTGGAGGGGACGGGGTGGGAGGGCGGCGGTGCGGCTCTGGGGGGACCAGGAGAGGACCCTGCATGATGGGCATCCAGGGTCTTGACTGCATCACTGTTGACATCCTGGAGGTTACATCGTGCTATTGTCCTACAAGATGCCACCCCTGGGCGAAACCGGACGCAGCGTGAACAGGATCCCTCTGTGTCATTTCTTATACCCACACAGGGCTCTACAATGACCTCAAACTAAGACGTGTACTCAAATCAATGAGCAGCTGCAGAGCAGTGACCGAGACGATCCCTCTTGGAGCATCTCAAGCCGCCATATCCCAGGCCTTGGAGGCCTCCCAGATGGCGTTGGGAAATGCCGTGTGGACCAGAGAGAATTCTTCCATGGAAGAGGCTGATGACAATGATCTGGAATAATCTGGCAGGATCTGGAATCACTGGGTCTTATTCCTGCTGTGGCCCCACATTGCTTTGTTCTTGTGAGTCAGTGGCACCCCTGATCCAGACCTCAGTCTCCTCCTCCGTGACACAGAGCAGACTCTGGCAGAGTGATTGAAGAATACTCTTACTTTTTCCCTTTTTTTTTTTTTTTTTGAGATGGAGTCTCGCTGTATCACGAGGCTGGAGTGCAGTGGTGCAGCCTCACCTCACTGCAACCTCTGCCTCCCAGGTTCAAGCGATTCTCCTGCCTCAGCCTCCTGAGTAGCTGGGATTACAGGTGCACGCCACCATGTCCAGCTATTTTTTTGTATTTTTAGTAGAGATGGGGTTTCACCATGTTAGCCAGGTTGGTCTTGATCTCCTGACCTCGTGATCCACCCACCTTGGCCTCCCAAAGTGCTGGGATTACAGGCATGAGCCACTGCACCCAGCCTACTTTTTCTTACTCTCATTGTTAAGGCTCAACAAGAGAAGGAAGAGGTGAGAAGTCCATCACGTAGGAAGCAACGGCCCTCAGTGGCAGCATCGTAGGCAGCCTGATCCCTCGACCTGGACCTCACAGGAGGAAGCCGGGAAATTGCCTCCAGAGATGGCCCAGTGTGAGGAGCAAGGTTTCCAGATTGTTCCATCACAGGGCTTTGGGGTCCCCTGCAGGAGCAGCTCTCATCCAGAGGCCAGGGCCCCTGCGGTACCCAGGGGGAGGGAAGAAGTGAATGAAAGCGATGTCCCCAGGGCCGCTGTCGGGGGTTCATAGTCCCTTACTTGAGCTGTTCTGTGTCCTCAGGGCCAAGGCCACCATGTGAGGCAGAGAGGAGATGGTGGAGGCCGAAATACTAATGATGGTTACACTTATGTGGCGCTTCCTCCAGCCTGTACCGGAGCACACAGGAGAACAGACGGCCAGAGAGAGCGGTGTCAGAAGTCCACGCAGAGTAGACGTCCTCATTCTCTAGTAAATAACGGGGATTAAAAAGTGTAGAATTCAAATTTAAATTACAATCATGAGAATAACTGCATTGTCCTGCTGTTTAGCACAAGCTAATTCCTACTTGCATGCCTAAGCTTGTTCCTGAAACAAGCTGAGGTCGGTGTGAGTGTGGCCCGGCGGTTCGTCTGGCTCAGCTGCCTGGCGCCCGACAGGTAGTCCTGGCAAAGTCACAGGGTGGCTCCTGCACAAACCGAGAGGGTTCCCGGCGCTTCCCCTGGGCCTCGTGCGCCTGCGAGGTTCGCGTCTGTCTCCTTGACTTTCCCATCCTGTCAGTCCAGGCTGGGATAAGCAGAACCTCTTGGCAAGGGAGGCTCCTCAGCCCAGCTTCACAAAAGGGGAAGCTGAAGCCCGTGGGGGTACCCTACCGGAGGTCCCTCAGGTTGTCTCCTGAGCCCCAACTCCCCTGACTCTGGGCCCATGTCTGCTGGTTCTCTACCACGATGCCCAGCAGGCCTCTTTTGAGGAATTTGTCCAGTCCTCGGCTCTTTTGTCTTCTCTAAGTAAAGCCGTCCTCCCGCACCTGCCCTGCTCCCCCTTCCTAAATGACATTTCTTCCTGCATGGTGGCTTCCAGGCCTCACGTGCTTCTGGTGTGACTCCTGGACGTCTAAAGGGCTCCTGACCATCCCCGGCAAAGGCACAAAACTGGGGTCCTTGTGGCCCCTCTTTCTCAGGGCTCACATTCAGTGGGTTGGGAAACCTGGGGGGGTCCACCCTTGAAACACCCAGACTCTGAACCCTTCTTATCAGCTCCACCTGTACTCAAGCCCAGTCACCCGCCTCCTAGCTGGGCTTCCACGCCCATCACCATGCCCCTAACACCTATGCTCACTGGAGCAGCTTTGGGGGCTGTTTACCCATAGCAGGCACTCCTGCGTCCTCTGCCCTCGAGGGGGTTCCCTCTCTGAGGCCCTCCTGATGTCCCCTCTGCCATCTCTGTACATCATGGAGTCTGCTTCTATTTCACTGTGGCCTCTGCTGCACTGTGACACAACCAAGGGCCCTCCTGGCCACCAAGTGTGAACAGTCTCCACCCTCCCATCTCTGTGCACTGCTGCCACCTCTGAGGGTTCCTCCTGGCTGTCAGGTGTGAACAGTCTCCACCCTCCTATCTCTGTGCACTGCCGCCACCTTTGAGGGGTCCTCCCGGCCACCAGGTGTGAATGGGCTCCACCTTCCTATCTGTGTGCACTGCCACCACCTCTGAGGAGTCCTCCTGGCCGTCAGGCGTGAACGGGCTCCACCTTCCTATCTCTGTGCACTGGCACCGCCTCCAAAGGGTCCTCCTGGCTGCCAGGTGTGAACAGCTCCACCCACCCATCGCTGTGCACTGCTGCTCTCAGCAGCCACCCTGCCTCCCTTCAGTGTCCTCGTTACCATCTGACATGGTCCATGCAGTTTGGTTTAT
Organism: Homo sapiens; assembly: GCF_000001405.40. NCBI lineage: Eukaryota > Metazoa > Chordata > Mammalia > Primates > Hominidae > Homo > Homo sapiens. The sequence goes on along the minus strand of NC_000022.11, from coordinate 49,260,657 downwards.
TATCCCCTCCCCAGCAAAGACTGCTGGTCCAACGAAGGTGAACATTGGTTTTGTTTGGTTTGTTTCCTGCAACCTCTGCCCATAGAAGAAAGCTGGAGATGTGTTGGCACCATGAGTATGGAGTGAGTGAGTGAATGGATGGATGGATAGATGGATGGATGGATGAATGGATGATGGATGGATGGATGGATAAATGGATAGATGGATGGATGAATGGATGGATGATGGATGGATTGGTGAATGGACGGATGGATGGATGAATGGATGGATGGATGGACGGGTTAATAGATGGATGGATGGATGTTTGGATGAATGGATGAATGGATGGATGGATGGATGTTTGGATGAATGGATGGATGGATGGATAAATGAATGGATAGATAGATGGATGAATGGATAGATGGATGGGTGGATGAATGGGTGAATGGATGGATGGGTGGATGCATGGGTGAATGGATGGATGGATGGGTGGATAGGTGGATGACTCCAGCCCTCAGTGCCCTCTGTTATGCTGCCCCCCGAGTCTGATGTGCTGGTGGTGAGACCATCGGCTTCCAAGTAGCTCCCATCTGTCCCCCGCAAAGTCACAGCAGGGGTTGCTGGCAAGCAGCGAGTCAGGTGGGGAGGCTGGGCCTGGAGGCTTCTCGGGCCCCATGTGTGTAACCAGTGCTGGGTAATTGAAATTGGGTGTCTCCGAGGTCTGTCATCAATTCTTGTAAATGTCACTTTGTGCCTGGGCTTTTCTTGCCATTTTCTTTTTCCTGGAACCAGCATTGTTGTTCTCAGAGTGGCACTTGGGGATTCAGGGAGGTTTCCTATTCATTCCGTTTAACACCCCGCATCTCCAGCTCTGATTAAGCCTGACATTGTCTTTATAGAGTGAGTTGTTAAGAAGTGAAAAACTCTTTTCACAATGATTCTTTTTTGCATCCCACGAGATGACTTGGGAGAAGTGCCCTTGTTAGGACGAGCCCTCTGCTTCCAGGGTCTTCAAGAGCGTTAACATGCAATAGAAAATCTGAGGCCCTCTTGGTAATTATGGATACTTAAATTGCATTATAGAGAGATGTGGAATTGTGCATGATTAACTGGTAGGATCTATTTAGGAAAATAGAAAAAAATTACAGATTTTTTAGTGACATGTAAAATATTCATAGGATGTTGGTACCGAGCAAGAGAACAGAAACCATGCCTGTCTTGGTCTTTGTTGTATCTGCGTCACACAGCATGGTGCCTAGCACCTGACATATGCTGGAAAAATATCACCTGAAATAAAGATCACCTCATGCACAGAACAAGCTGCAGAATCAGGACTCGAAGCCTGGTGCTCGAACTCCTGAGTCTCTCCTTGTGTCTGGGCATCATGCAGCTCAACTGCCTGGGAGGATTCTCTCAAAGCATCATTGCCTGGAAGCCTGACACGCAGCCAGTTCCTCAGCACTCTCTGGAGTCTTAAGTCTTTCAGAGAGCAGCCAGCTGTGCCCCAAATTTCTCAAAGCAGACCCCCGACTCTGAGATCTCATCCTTAGGGAGAATTAGACAATAGCTCTTCATAGGCCAATCGCTCAAATGACTGTGTCCAAGAATGTAGGTAAAATTACCCTCTGCTCTATGATTAAAGTCGAGGCTAATCCTGCTCCAGGATACTTGGAATTTTTCATGACAAAGTAATGACTTCCAGGAATGAGATAAACCCTACATGCATTTTCATGGAAAATGGATCACTTCTGGAAAATAATTAAAATGAGTCCGATGAAGTCTTTTCCAGCAGTGCCAGAATATAGAAGCGGGTCATCCGTAACTACGGGGAGCGTGTTTGGGGCCGGCCGATCACCATGCGTGAACTATTAATAAAGTCTATTAGTGAGTGTCAGGATTTATGTGCTCCCTGCTGCCTCCTCTTCCTTAACTGTGCCATCTGGAAGCCACGAGTGACCTGTGCCAGGAAGGTGGTGCTTCGGAACAGCGCGCAACGCTGAGATGGCTAACGGAAAAGGAGACGACGGCTCTTTTCTCGAAACCTGTCAGAAATCCTTGAAAACATGTGAATCCTTACTCAGAAAGGATGGCACGGCTTCACGCGCAAAGCAGTCAGTTATGGAAATATGTTTGTGGTGTGCAGAAGCGGAGCCAATGTGTCTGACACCTTCGAGGAGGAAGCAGAATGTTGGGATTGAGTGTGAATTCAACGAGGACTTTCAGTTTAAAATAGGATCTGGCAGAATACCTGTGAGGACTCAGGAAATGAAACAACCAGCCCTGTTGAGAGCTAAAAGCAGCAGACGTGTTACGTGTTATGTGTTATGGGCACCCCGGCCGGGGAGGGAGACCCTCCCACTGGGGGCTGTGGCCGGGTGGGAAGCAGGCAGGGCCCTCCTGTAGAGGTCTTTCCATGAGGCTGCACCTGACCCAGAGTCCCGGCCTGAGCCAGCCCGGGGCAGGCACTTCTGAGACCACCGCCTTTCTTCAGATACCCCCATCAACATCTTTTTGAATTTTGTGAACAAAGGAAAGCACAACACAGAAATTTCTGCATTTTTAATTAAAACCTATTGAACATTTTTGGAGGGGTTTTAGGGCATTACTTTTAATGGACTCTTTTCCCCCAAAATAGATAACAAATTGCTGGAACACCGTACCTTGAACAGCACTGGTATATCAGTGCGGCCAGGCTGCTATCACAAAATAGCACAGGCTGGGCGGCTGAAACACCAGACATTGATTTCTCACCGTTCTGGAGCCTGGGAATCCATGATCAAGGTGCCAGCCAGTTCCATTCCTGGCCAGGGCCCGCTTCCTGGTTCACAGACGGCCACCATCCCCACATGCAGGGAGAGACAGTTCTGGGGTCTCTTCTGCTTCTTATCAGAATGCCAGGCTTAGGGGATTCAGGCTTACCTCAGGACCTCATTTAACCTGAGTCACTTCGCTGTAGGCCATGTCTCCAGACACAGTGACATAGGGGGTTAGGGCTTCCACGGACCGGTCCTGGGGCTGCCCCCAGGCAGTTACGCCCATGGCAGGCGGGATGCAGGCTCGCAGGCCAGGCACACACGGATGGGAACCCTGGTCTAGCCGGTGGGTCTGCAGCGTCTTGCCTGTGACAGCATCATGTTGTCTAAAACAGTGACCTCTGCACTTTTGTTGTTATTTTTGTTAAACAGATAAATATATTATAATATATATTATATTTTATAATATGTACAATAATATATTTAATACTATATTTAATGTATTTTAATATAGCATATGTAATACTATATTTAATACTATAGTATTAAAATATAATATATTTTATGACAATATATTATTAATAATGTATTTATGATAATATATTATTAATATAATATATTTTAGATAATATATTATTAATATAATATATTTTAGATAATATATTATTAATATAATAATATAAATGAAAATAATTGTATTATTTTATTTTGTTGTAATAGTTTTATTTCATTAGTTTTAATCTTTTAGGGTAAAATTCTCCTTGTTATAATACTTTCATGGTGAGACTTTCTTTTTCCTTCTAGGTAAGTTTCAAATGAACATGTCGAGTTCCAGGAAAATTCCTTTTGAGAACTGGGTCAAGGGGCAGCTCCTGCCCTGCTTTGCTGAAGGTAGACTTCTCAGCTGTCACTACCATCCTAGGTCCTGGGAACTCAGGAGACACAGAATCAGTGGCCCAGCTGTGCTGGCATCTGGTGGGAGGGTTCCAGCACCAACACTCCTTATCTCCGGAAGCCATTTATGCCCCCCACTCCTTTCCTTGACTTCCCCTTCTGTGACGTTTATCCTCTTCTTCTTCTTCTTTTTTTTTTTTTTTTGAGATGGAGTTTTGCTCTTGTTGCCCAGGTTAGAGTGCAGTGGCAGGATCTCGGCTCACCACAACCTCTGCCTCCCGAGTTCAAGCGATTCTCCTGCCTCAGCCTCCCGAGTAGCTGGGAGTACAGGCGTGTGCCACCACACCTGGATAATTTTGTATTTTTTAGTAGAGATGGGGTTTTACCATATTGGCCAGGCTGATCTTGAACTCCTGACCTCAGATGATCCGCCCACCTCGGCCTCCCACAGTGCTGGGATTACAGGCGTGAGTCACCATGCCTGGCCCATTTATCCTCTTCTTTATATAACTCTTAGTAACTTCTTATTCAACTTATTGATCTACACTTAACCTTCCTGTGACTACCATCAATGAAAATCACTACATTACATGTTCTAACGTGTTTTTTGCTTTCCTTACAGGGAGCTTTGATTACCTATGTTGATTCAGTCCAATTGCTGAATTCTCTGATCATTTCTAGTAATTCTTCAAATTTTCTCTTGAATTTTCTGCACAGCTAACATATTGTTTCCACGCAGTGACCATTCTCTCCCTCGTGCCTGCTCATGTCTTTGTGTGCCTGTCTGCGTTGGCCGTGCAGCTCAAGGGTACAGCCTCTGCATCCTGGTCTCCACCCCACTGCCATCACCATTACTAGGCTGAGACTACACAGCCCCATATCTCAGATCCTCCTCTGCCTCATGGGGATGGTTCTATGATGACGTCAGAGGTGTGTGAGATGGTTAATCTGCCCATAGCCTGGGAGGCCCCTGCGTGCGGAACAGGAAGGGGTCAGCGTCTTCAATCTCCCCATCTTCTTTTCTGATTAAAGGTCCTCAGAAGGAGGTCCCCTAGGTGACAGCAGTGGCCATGGGTGGTGGGCACCGCCGAGCCTGAGAGCAGGGTCCACGTCCTACTCATGCCAATGGCTTCCTCCAGGTGCCTTGAGAACACATCCTTTGTGGGATTGAGGAGGCGCCGGCAAATCGGGCTGAGTTTTACCCACTCCTCTTCAGCAGGCGGCCCTGAGCTTCTCTCTGTGACTGTGGCGAATCCCACTCACAGGCTGTGTTAATGGGAATCATCCGTGAATCCTCCCGGGGGTGCAGGCAAAGAGATTTCTCACAGGACTATGGAGATGCGGCTGTTGATACGAGTGGACTGCAGGGCTTATTAAGAAAGATGGGGAAAAAAAGAAAGAAAAGTCCCCACAGAAGAACCCTGAGGTCCAAAATCCACCTGCCAACAGTTTCAAGGGGAGGCTCAGGCAGGAGCGGGTGGCGGGGCAGCCTACAGGAGACTATGGTTTTGGGGCTCCACAAAGGGCCTGCTTGCTGGGGGCCCACAGGGTGGGGGCATCTGACAAGGGAGGTGGAGGCTCCCAGTGGTGTCCACTAGACCTGGAGGGGCTTCGCTGGGGGTCTGCTGCCGGAGAACAGCACAGTGGTCAGCCCAGGGCAGGGAGGGGCCCCCGGGGCTCTCTCTTCCCACACTCACTTCCCTACTGCCCCCCCGAGGCTGAGCCTGGCTGGGTATAAGAGGGGCTGTGATAGGAGCACCCCATAGAGCGGTCCCTCCAGCTGGCAGAGCAGGAAGGGCCCAAGGGGATGGAGCGGGACGCAGGGCACGCCTGCCACTGTGGTTTGAAAAGAGGACGGAGACATTCCCATCAAGTACGGAGGAAAAGTATGAGTTGAGTTGAGCCATCGCTGGGCAAAGTACTATTAGAGCAAAGCAAAGCTGTGTGTGCCGCCGTTTTCTTCCTTTAAATCCTATAATCATGTGTTACAGAGAGGCCACTTAAGTCCACAAGTGTAGGTTGAACGTTAGTGATTTCTTCTCTGTGGACTGTTTTGTGCTGTGGCGGTGTGAGCGGTGCTCCGTGGGCCTGGAAGATCGCAGGCCCATCCTCGTCCCTCCCCAGGTTGTGGCCACCTCCTCTTACGCATGTCACACCCCCAGCCAAGGGGGCACCGTACTGTGTGTTTTTGGCTTTTTTTTTTCCCCACTGTTTGCTAATTGGCTTTTACCTTTTCATGGTAAAGGCACAGCTAGGCAGGGTCATGTATGCAAGTCTTGCTACTCTAAGGGCAGGACTCTGGGGGACAGCGATTCAGATGTGCTTCTGCCAGAGTGACCAGCAGGCAGATCTGATGGGACAGTTCCAGCCCTGCCCTCACTGCCTCCTGCCCCCAACAGTGACCCCCAACGTTACCAGAACTCTGACCTGAGTCACGAAGGGTTACTTCTGTTTGTTCTCAGATGTCCTTCGAATGGTCATTTAGTGCCTTCAGTCTGTGGCTGTCCAGGGAGCTTTGCTCATCTTTGTGACTGTGAGAACCCTGTGTGGATGCACAGTAGCAGGAGGTCCTTTATGTGTGTGTGTGTGTGTGTGTGTGTGTGTGTGTATCCTCCATATATACACAGAGAGATTTATTCTAAGGAATTGGTCCATGTGATTGTAGAGGCTGAGAAGTCCTGTAGTCTGCTGTCTGCAAGCTGGAGACCCAGAAAAGCAGACATTGTGAGTCTCAGTCTGAGATTGGGGCAGATGGATGTCCCAGCTCATGGAGTCAGGTAGAAAGAGTGAATTCTCCATCACCTCATCTTTTTGTCCTATTTGAGCTCTGGCGGTGTTGGGTGAGGCCCACGCACACTGGGGAGGGCCATTGCTTTACACAGCACACCCATTCACACGCTAACCATGCCAGGAAACAGCCTCACAGACACACACAGAAATAAGGTCTAATCAGCTATCTGGGCACCCCCTGGCCAGGACAAGTGAAACGTAACATTAATCATCACTGGTCATTTCTAGTTTCTGGCTCTCACACCAGAAAGAGCATCTGGGACACCCTTCCCCTGCATGTCATTGGTGAATGTTCACACTGCCTTGGTGGGAGTGCTGGCCACTGGGAGCACAAGGGCAGTTGGAATGGGTGCCGCCAGAGACCCCTCACCATTTGCATTTACGCCCCACCAGCAGTGTACGGACATTCCAGTGGCTTCACGATTTACCAGCACATTTCTGATGTTAGTCTTTGGTGTGAGGGAGGGGTCCCACTGCACTTTCCTGCAGTTTCCTGCTCCCTCATCTGTGCCGAGGGCCAAGATCACTGGAAGCTGTGGCTGTTCTTCTCAGGTTCAGTGCCTGGGAAGAGGAGCTGCATAGGAATGGTTACATTCTGCTGGGCGTGGTGGCTCATGCCTGTAATCCCAACACTTTGGGAAGCTGAGACAGTGGATCACCTGAGGTCAGGAGTTTGAGACCAGCCTGACAAACATGGTGAAACTTCATCTCTACTAAAAAAAAAAAAAAAAAATTAGCCAGGCATGGTGGTGTGTGGTGGTGTGTGTGCCTGTAATCCCAGCTACTCAGGAGGCTGAGGCAGGAGAATGCCTTGAACCTGGGAAGTGGAGGTTGCAGTGAGCTGAGATCACACCACTGCACTCCAGCCTGGGTGACAGAGTGATACTCCATCTTAAAAAAATAAGAAAAAAGAAGAAGAGGAAGAAGAATGGTTACTTTCCAGTTGAATAAATTCCTCTTCTTCAGCTAATCTACTGTCTGACCTTGGAATGGTCACTTCATCTCTTTGGGTCCCAGTTAACTCATCCCTGGGATAAGATCGTAAACCAGTGATTCTTAGCTCCTCTCCAGGGCCACTGCCATGGAGGAATATGCAACTATTTCCTCCCTGATTGTGGATCCATGAGTAGCAATGCCCACTCTGGAGTGGGAGCCTCGTGTCACAGGGCCTGGAGGTCTTCCTGGTCTAGTCTTGCTTATTCCTAACTGATCACTGAGGAGACAGGGATGAGTTGATAACTGTTCCTGGCAGGTGTTTAGTGAAGGAGATGCTAGGGAAAAAGGCATGTTTACATTTTAACACATCCCAGCAGAATTAGACTTTGTCCTGCTCATTGGAAACATGGCCAGATGCTCATGTGTCTTGCTGCCCTCCATGTGACCCCGAGTGGGTCCGAGTGTGGGCTGCAGAGGCACAGCTGTGGCAAAAGCCTGCAGAGAACTCAGTGTCTTCTGGGCGTGCATGCTCTGTCTTTCCCTCGCTCCCTTTCTACATTCTTTATTATGGACTATCTCAAAAATGCAGGCAAGTAGAGAGGCCAATCTCTGGACTCCATCCTGCCCCTACTCTCCTTACTCATCAACACTTTGGTTTCAGTCCATTGCTAATGGCACATCGGGCAGTCAGCTGCCTTCATCCCTCAATGCAGTGTGGCAAAAACTGGCCTTTGTGGCAGGTAGCTGTTGCTATAGTCTGCTCAATTCACTCATCTTGAAGTCTCATTGTGACTGACTCATTGGATAGAAATCATGCATTTGCATGATAATACCTGTTTTGACACTTGATTATGCCTTAACATTACACTGCATGTATCATGTCTTTATGTTAACAAGCACTATGAGATGTATGACTTTCTTTTTCTCTCTTGTTTTTGAGCAACCTACATTGAAGAGCTCTGGATACTTGGGTGATATGCATGATCTAGAAACTGCAAAAATGGTATGGAGTAGAGAATAGGAAAACATATAAAGGATGAAAAAGTAGAGTGATTTGAAGTGTACCAAGATGCAGAGCACTTGCCCCTTGTTTTCTGTGAATTCAAGGCGTGTTTATGGTAGGGTGAAGAAGGCTGACCCATGATATGGTTGGATACTGGGTATTGCAGGGATTGATTTTTCTCACTGCCTCCTCATAAATCTGCAGCAGGCTGATTCTTTCCCTAGCCATAGATGAAACCCCGGTGGGTCCAGAGGGTTTTCCTGACTCTTGGATAACGGAAAGTGATTTGGTCACTTTCAGCTGCAAATACAGTCTTTGGTCAGAAAATGGAATGTTCATTCCCCAAACCTGATTTTATGTCACATTTTCCTCCTTCCCTCAGCTCACACTCCTTTAGGCTAGAGGTCTACAGAGAGAAAGATGGGTGTGATTGGATAGTCCCTGTTTACTTGTCTTATACTTTTCTCCCCCAGTCTCTATCTCCAGTTTGCCAGCCAGTGTCTGACCCACCAATGTTGGAATGGGGGGAGGTGTAGGCAAGAGGGTCTTACATGGTCAGGATGCCTAGAAACTGCTCTCATTCTTCCAGCCTTACAGATGTATGTATCTTGCTCTCTTCTCATGGACGTTTTTGTGGTTCCTCCCACATGGGCAGGCTGAGAGAATCCTCTGCGGTTCCAGGACCCTGAGCAGAGCATCTTTCCAGGTGGTCCTCAGGATGACCTCACAGCCGCTCCTCCTCCTCCCCATGTCTGTCTGCTCCGTGGGGACCACACCCACAGTCCTGCCCTGACAAAGACCAGGAGTGAGGCTGTATCTGAGTCAGGCCCTGCTGTCCTCCTGCCATAGGCACTTGGCTCCCTCATGCCTGTGTCCGGTCAGAGGACGTGTGCCAAGTTCTTTGTAAGGCACATGGAGAATACTCTTGATGGGTATGACATGAAATTCAACAAATATAGGACTCTCCTGACTTTTCAATCCAACCAAGATTGTCTAAGGAGAAACAGAAAGTGATAATTTGTCCATTTCAATGAAGGTGTTAATTTCAATTTGTTTATTGGCATAGAGATGCTCATCACATTACCTTTTGTCTGTTTATAGAATAAATAAAGGTATATTTTATAACCTTAGCACAAGGAATAAGTGGAGATATACTGCGGATCTCTTCTACCCTTTGGGAGTTGGTGTAGTCTCATTGGAAGGCACACTGTGAGGAGTTAAAGATATTTACTCTGACACCTGAAACAGCCATGGGAACTACAACAATAATGACTTAAGTAAACCAACAAAGGAGAAAATATGGAATTACAAAAATAATTAATCAAAAACAAGTCAGAAAAAGAGTAAAAAGGGAACAAAAAACACATAAGACAAATTTGCAAGATGGTGGATATAAAGAATAGCAATATTCACATTAACTATAAATTATTTAAATGCCCCAATTAAGATGAAGAGATGTCAGATTAGTCAAGAAAGCAAGACTCAAATATATGCTGTCTACAATAAACACATGTTAAATAAAAAGACACATAGATTTAAATAAAAGTATTAAATACATATATTCTATGCTAGCACTAATGTTAAATTAGTGACTATGTTAATATCATAGAAAGTACACCTTAGAGCAAAGAGTATTACCGTACATTTTATAATGGTAAATGGGTACATTCACCAAGATCTCATAACCATCTAAACTTCTGTATCTCTAATAAGAAAGCTTCAAAGTATATAAGGCAAAAACTGATACGATAAAGATAAGTTAAAGAAAATCTACGTTTATAGCCTGAGATTTCAAAACTGCTCTCTCAATAATTGATAGAGTAAGTAGACAGAAAAGAAGTAATGATATGGAAATCTAAACTTGATATCATTGATGTTTATAAAACACTCCACCTGACAACAGCAAAACTTACATTACTTTCCAGTGCACAGGAAACACTTACCAAGACATACACCGTGTTATGGGTCATGAAAAAGTCACAATAAATTTAAAAGTCTTGAGGGGATGGATGTCCTATTTATCCTGATGTGATTATTACACATTATATGCCTGTATCAAAATATCACATTCAACCCATAAACATATGTGCCTGCTATGCACCCATCACAATTTTTTAAAAAATTTAATAAATTTAAAAGATTTAAGTCAAACAAAGGCTGTTTCTGGATGCAGTAGAATTATAGTAGAAACCAATATGAGAAAGAACCTTGAAAAATTCTGAAATATTTGGAAACCAAGTAACACATTTCAAAATAACTTATAGGTCAAAGAAAAAATCAAAAAGGAAATTTAAAATACATTTTGAACTGAAACAAAATTAAAGCACTGCGGATCAAAATTTGCATCATGCTGCCAAAGCAGTCTTGAAGGGGAAACTTACAGCAATGAATGTCTCTATTAGAAAAGAAGAAAAACCTTAATCAATGACCACTAGGGATCTATAAGAAGAAGACAGAATTAAACCTAAAGAAAGCAGGAGAAAACAAATCATAAACTAGGAGCAGAAGGCAATAAAAGGTGAAACAAACAATAGAAAAAAATCAACAAAGCCAAAATTTATTTTTTTGAGAAGATTTTTAAAAATGATTAATCTCCCATAAAGAAAACTCCAGGTCTAGATGCTTCACTGGTGAATTCCACCAAACATTTATGGAGGTGAGAGCACCAAGTCCACACACTCTATCTCTGAGCTGGAGGGAGGGGGATACTTCTCTTCTCATTCTTTAAGGCCAGCATTACTGTGATAGAAAAACAAAAACAAAAGAGAGACATTCAAGAAAAAACAACAGCTAGCCTATTCCTCTTATCAATATAGAGGCAAAAATTCTAAATAAAACTTCAATAAATAGAATTCAACAAAGTGTAACAAATGAAGTAATAGTATTGCCAACTAGGATTTATCCCAGGAGCACAAGGTTTGTTTAACATCTGAAAATCAATTAATATAATTGACCATATTAGCAATCTAGAAGATTCAAAGTGTACAATCATCTCAATTGACGCACAAAAAAGCCATTGACAAAATTAAACCTATCTCCATGATAAAAAACAAACCAGAAATAGATTGGAACTTCCTCAGACTAATAAAGGGTATCTATGACAACCTTAAAATTCACATCAAACTCAGTGGGGGGAAAGACTGAATGATTTTCTCCTAAAAACGAGACAAGAATGCTGCTCTCATCATTTATCATCAACATTGACCTGGTGGTCCCAACCACTACAATAAGGCAAGAGTACACACACACACACACACACACACACACACACACACACACACAGGATCTATCTAGATTTGAAAAAAAGAAGTAACACCATCATTATTCAGAGGACATGATAGTCTATTTTAAAAATCCATTAAAACCTACATAAAACTCGCTGGAAGTAATAGCAAGTTTAGCATTATTGCCGACACAAGATTAATATACAAAGATCAATTATATTTTTATGTAATTGCAACAAAAATCCAGAAAATATGAAAAAATACTGTTTACAATAGTATCAAATAATGAAGTATCATGGGAAAAATTGACAGCAGATGTATAAGACCAATACACTGAAAACTATAAAGTGTTGCTCGGAGAAATAGAAGAACGGAAGGAAGAGAATGAGTTTGTGGATCAGACAACTCACAACTGAGGATGTCAAATTTCCTAAATTGATCTATAGATTCAAGACAATCTCAATGAAAATCACGTGCATTTTTGTTGCAACTGACAAGCTGATTCTAAAATTTATATAAAAATACAAAGGACCTAGAATAACTCATACAGCTTTGAACAAAAGAACAAAGTTGGAAGACTTACACTACCTGCTTCATGACTGATAAGATACAGCAATCGAGACAGGGTGATTTGGTTTGGAAACGGACAAATACATGAATGGGATGGAATAGAAGGTCCAGAAATAGATCCATACTTGTATGAACAGCTGATTTTGACAAAGTTGCAAAAGCAATTCAGAAAAAAAAAAGATAGTCTTTCAACATATGGTGCTGGAACATTTGGATATACATATGCAAAAAAAAATGAACTTCGATCCATATCACTCACTATATGCAAAATTTAATTCAAAATGGGTCATAGTCCTAAATAGAAAATCTAAATTCTCAAACTTCTGGAAGCTTACATAGGAAAAAAAATTTTTGTGACCTTGGTTTAAGCAAGTAATTCATAGATACGCTACCAAAAAGTAAAATCCATCAAAGAAAAAATTCATAAATTGAACTTCATTAAAATTAAAAACTTCTGGTTCAAAAGATTATTAATAGAGTGAAAAGACAAGTCGTAGATAGAAAGAAAGTATTTTTCAAGCATAAATTTGATGAAGAAATTGTATCCAGAATTTAAAAGGAACTCTCACAAAGCTCAGTAAGAAAATAACAACCCATTAAAAAATGGGCAAAATATTTAAATAAACCATGCACCGTAAAACACACATGGATAGCAAATAAGTGCATGAAAAGATGTTCAACATCATTGGCCACGAGGGCAATGCAGATTAAACCACACGAGATACCACTACACCTCAATCAGAACGGCTGAGAAAGACGGCGCCCACCCATATCCAGGAACGGGGGCAGCCGGAAGGAGTGGAGCCCTGGCGGAGTGGAACCCCGTTACAGTACTGTGTGGCCATTTCTCAAAATAGGTTAATGGAGTCTATAATCCCAAAGCATCTACTGAAATCCTCTTGTATTAGGAGCAACTCTCTTCTTCCAGGCTCGACATGAGCGGAAAAGAGTTCGTCAACAAAGTTCAGTTGGATCCTTGGGCATCCACGGGAAGATATTCGCAACAATAACACCAAGTGGCCGGAGAGCACAGGAGGGGGCTGTCCCCCAACCTGGCCTCCTGGAGCCCTTTTGGTCAACTCTGGTGTTGCACTTTTTCCTGTGTAACTCTGACTTGAGAAATATGCCCACCTGGTGGGGCTCTCTCATGGCCCAAGGACAATCTCACAGCCTACACGAATCCTGTGGAATGAGATGCTCTAGGAAAACCCTCCAGAGTCTGAAGCCTTGTCACCTGGGAACTGAGTCCAGAGTGAAGGAAACGCCTCCAGGAACCATCTTTCCTATTCCCCAGCAAACTCCTTTTCAGAGGCAGTTAATTCGGGCTCATCTCAATGCATAAAATGCTTTGTTGAGTTGAGGCAATCACATCTGTCTGCACTAGTTTATCCCTTCTTGAAACATTTATCAACATAAAACGCAAACTTAAATGCAAATTATCTTCCATCCTCTCTTTCACATGGTGCTCAAAGGTGATAAAACGATGAGTTCATGGGGGTTTTTTGACTCAGAAAAACGTTGCACTCCTGAGTATCTATTTCTTGAATTTAGTATCTTCAAGTTCCTAATTAACATAAGACTTTTTGCAGTTCAGTAAAGATAATCAAAACGATGTCTGTTTAAACCAAGAACACTTTCTCTTTCTCAGTCAACCATAATTTGATCAGATTTCAGAGAGGGTTTTTTTTTTTGTCCATACTTGTGGAAATGTGAAATAACTAAGCAGTTAAAATTCATGATCTACACTTTTGTGTCATTATTATTGCATTAGCATGAAATTATACTTCTAGTTAGTCATAATTATACTCATAATTATTCAATTTATCACTATAGGTCCTCCTGGAAGTTTTATTGGAGGATTTATTAACATTAATAAATTGTTTTTCTTAATCTCCATATTATGAATTCTTCTCATGTGTGATATGATCTATTACCCATAAAATTATAACAAACCCCAAGCATTGGTGGCTGCCCAGAAATGGGAAGGAAACCTTTTGTCAGCTCATCTGGGATGTGACTCAACTGCCAATGTCAGCGGGGAATAGCTTTGTGCCACCAGAGCTTGCTGCCATTAGAAGGCTCTCCAAGAAAAAACTCACAGTGGATGAAAATGAAATATTTTTCTTCCAGGCCATTCCCATCCAGCCAGTACAGCCCTGATGCTGGAGCCATTCTCTGCAGCTCACAACTTGGCATGGATTGGACGTAACATCTGGCCAGCTGGGCCCTTCCTTCTTCTGGCACACGGTCACGTTCATATCTCTGCTGAGGCTCTTTGGCCACTTGGTATTACTTTGAAACTCCTCTCCTGGAGATAGAGTCTCATTTTCATGAATTTGGTATTCCTTTTAAACTCTCCTCCTAGAGGCAGATTCTCATTTTCATGAATTCATCACTTGCTACTGACCACCTACCATCCTCTCTCTGTCTCTGAACTTGTACAGTATCCTCCTGCCTTTCTGTTCAAAGGCTTTCACGTGTGAACTTAGGGGAGTAACAACATCACTCCCCCAAGTTCATATGTTCATGTGCTCTATCACAGAGCTTCAGGATGTTTGATATTCCTGGTGGGTGTTATGGACGAAATGTTGTTACTGCCCAAAGTTCACATGTTAAAGCCTAATCCCCAGTTTGACTGTATTTGGAGAAGGGGCCTTCAAACATGTATTTAGGTTAAATGAGATTGTAACGGCAAAGCCCTGATTTAACAGGATTAGTGTCCCAACAAGAGACACAAGAGAGCTCCCCCTCTATCCACCATGTGAGGACACAGCCAGAAGGTGGCCGTCTGCAAACCAAATGGAGAGCCCTCACCAGGTACCCACCCTGCTGACACTTTGATCTCGGACTTCTGGCCTCCAGAACGTGAGGAAATTAATTCCTGTTGTTTAGGCCTCCCAGTCTGTTGAGCTTTTGTTATGGCAGCCCAGGCAGGCTAACATGGTGAGGGGCTGGATGATATTTACTTTAAACATGGTGCACCATGCTCTGCACTGGTAATGCACAGGGGTTGTCTTATGCAAAGTGGTTTACATGGGACATGTTGTTTGATCTTCACAGCATGCCTGTGGGGTAGGGTTTATTATTATCATCCCCTTTCACAGGTAAGACTACTGAGGTGAGTGGAAGGTAACCTGGGCAGCGAGTGGACATTCAGGTCACCCGCATTCTCCCATGCTGTGTGTAGGTTTTCATCTGAGCATCCTCATGGGAGCCCTTGTTCCCCTGAGATGGGGGCTGAGCTGGTCTCCTGGGCCTGGCTGATGCCCGGCTCACAGAGCCAATGCCAGATGCACCCATAGATTATGAACGAAGGGAGCAAGGTGTGCGGGGCTGGGGTGCCGGCCACCTCCTCTGGGGCGCACCATCATCATTGGCTGCTCCCTGTGTCTGTGACCTTGAGCAACTATGGGGTCTTTCCCCACAAGACAGGAAGCCAAGGAATCCCCCCTCCATCAACCCCAACCCTGCAGCAAGTGCTTCCGGTTACCAAATCCAACTCAAAATCCACACGATGTGGCACATCCTGCATTAGACGCCGAAATCCCAGCAACACATAACAGCTTCTGATCCCAGGAAACCACAGCTGTCTACAGGAGAGCCCAGCCAGGTGAGCCCAGGTGTGAGGCACACAAAAGGCAGCCATAAGACAGTCCGCAGGCAGGCGTAATTTGGAGGCTGAGGGGCCCTGCAGTCTGACTGGGTTCTCAGGAATCATGAATTCTCACAGGACAGGGCTTCTCACCTTTGCTGCTCTCTCCCAGCCATTACCACCTGGCGAAGGGTGCAGAGAGGTGCCCCTCAGTGTCCTGGGTGTGGCAGCTCTGGGATGGGGACACGCCTCCTGCCCTGCTCCAGTCACTGCCCCCAGGCCCTGCTGGAGGACCGAGGGGTCTGAGGCTCTATCAATCTTGGGTCAGTGCCAGTCCTGGGACCCCTTTGGCCAGTGGCCACCTCAGGATGCTATGTTCACTCCTTGGGAAATTAGTTCCTAATTCATTCTGCTGTAGGGCTAGTGTCACACTGCATTTATTTACATAGCTGCAGGATGAGGAGATAAATGAAAATAATGAATATCCATTAAACAAGATTCATAATGAAGCACACCTCAGTCCTCCTGGGCTCTGCTCTCCCTCGAGGCGCAGCTCCTGCCCAGGGAGGGTGGTTTCATGGCTTCCGTCTGCAGCAAACAAACACTCCATGCACAGTGGGGGGTTCCGAAGGTGCTGACCCCCACTGAGGCAGCCCAGAGACCTGCAAGAAGAACCCTGTGCAGGGTCCTGCTCGGGGCCCAGGCTCCGGCTGGCTCTGCTCATCGGGTCTTAAAGCCCAATGCATCACAGGGGAGTGGTCAGAGGCCTGGGGGAAGCCTGGCCTCTGGGGGCTGGCCGGTTTGTCCCTGTTTGACCCAGGCCCAGGGTTGGGTCACTGTGGATGGGGCTGTGGGTTTTCAGGAAGATTTTGGTGGATGGTGCAGCAAGCTTCCTATGGCTCTCTTCCCTAGCATAAGCAGTAGTCCTGAGGCCAGGACTGGGGAGCGAGGGGTTGGTCTCCAGCAGGACCCTGACTTGGGCCCTGTCTATCCAGCCCAGCCACCCCCTGGTGCCCACCTGGTAGGTGCACAGGGCTCAGGACCACTTGGGACTCTGGGTGTGTGCAAGGACAGAGCTCTTTGTTCTCGTTGGTCTGGGCAGTCTGGGCATAGACACGAATGGCAGGGAGGGGTCTGAGGAAGAGAAAATCACTGTGACCAGCACAGTCCATGCTCATCATTTGCAGGAGCTGTTCTGAAGTGGCTGCAGACACTGAGTGGGTGAATGCTGAACTCCCAGGGGGCATGGACCGGAGGTTCCTTAGAGCCTCTGGTCGCATTTGCATCAATAAACCAGCCCATGGCCTGGTTTTGTGTGCTTCTGCTGTAGACACCTCATTGGAAAATATGTTGTTGAATCATGAACACTGCACTCAGGGACAGCAGCTCTGGACCAGGCCTGAGCGAGGTGTACTCAAGACACAGTGAACAGCATGGGCTGGGGCACTGAGTGCTGCGTTTATGTGGCTACTCAAGTATTCATCCATTCATTTATTTATCCATCCATCCATCCATCCATCCAACCATCCATCTGTCCATCCATCCATCCATCCGTCCATCCATCCATCTGTCCATCCATCCATCCATCCTTCCTTCCATCCATTTATCCCTCCATCCATCTATCTATCCATCCATTCATTCATTCGTCCATCCATTCATCTACACACCCACTCATCCATCCATTCATCTACACACCCACCCATCCATCCATCCATCCATCCATCCATCCATCCATCCATCCATCCGTCCATCCATCCATGTGTCCATCCATCCATCCATCCATCCATCCATCCATCCATCCATCCATCCATCCATCCATCCATCCATCCATCCATCCATCCATCCATCCATCCATCCATCCTTCCTTCCTTCCATCCATTTATCCATCCATCCATCTATCCATCCATCCATCCATCCATCCATCCATCCATCCATCCATCTACACACCCGCCCATCCATCCATCCATCCATCCATCCATCCATCCATCCATCCATCCATCCATCTACACACCTGCTCATCCATCCATCCATCCATCCATCCATCCATCCATCCATCCATTCATTTAATGCCATTGGCCCAGTCATGTGCCAGGCCACAGTGACAGTGGAGAGTCACTGTGGAGACAGTGGAGAGAGAGTGGAGGACAGAGAGCCCCTGTTTCTGGCACCTCACAGCCCAGGGGAGATGGACTCCCACTGATGCTGTGTAACCAAAAGTGAGGACACAGCTTGACATGAAAGAGACCTTCATACAAAGTAACTTGGCTTGGGCTGGCAGCTGAGTCATGCCTTCCTGGGCTATGACTGCCCCCACAACCGATGGAGACCTAAACCCAGTGGGTGCGGAACTAGCAGCTGTGTAGCTACAGTTTCCTTCTTCCCTGGGGAGAGATGCCTTCGATGTGAATTATAAATGGACAGGTCAGTGGAGTCTGACTCGGAGCTACTGTGTTTTAAATACAGAGCTTTTTATTCATTTCCAAAGTGCAGGGTCTGCTCACCCCATAAAGACAAAGGTAAATAAACTGCTTTGCCTTACAAAAATGGCTCCACCATATTCATTACGTGATTAATTTAATGCTCTGATTTACAGTTGTCTACAAATTGCAAATTGCTTTAAAATACATCCTAAATTGAAAATGCATTTAAAATATGAATTCATTATCGTGGATCAGGGCAATATCACCCCAGCTCCACTTAACAAGCCGAGCTGGCCTCCTGACGGTGGGTTTGCTGGCTAATGTGAGTACAGACCTGATGTCAGCTACAGCCGCCCTGACTTCCAGGCTCATCTCTGCGTCTTCCATGAAGAATTGAAAGGTTTTTACGTGTGATTGTCGAGAGATGGGTGGCATTCATTACTTTTTACTTAATTTTTTTCTAAATATGGAAAGTGAGGGGCGGATCACTTTTAAATTATATTCTTACATGATAAACCAGCAGCCCAGAAGTACGCGGAGGCGACGTAATTGAGTGGAGATGAAAGCATGATCGCAGAAGTGATGACCAGCAGGCACCTATTTTGGGCCTGACGCGGGAGCGGCCGAAATGGAGGGCTCCATTTCACAGAGAACCGCCCCCCATTATCGTCTTTGTAAAAAATGGGCTAATTTGGGGACGGAGTCCGTGACCATTACACCGTGGACATCGCTGTGGCTGTCAGTGCCCTGGCCCGGCTGGATGAGGAGTTTCTATTTCTATCCTCCTGCGCACCTCCAGCTTATGGCGCGACAGACAGCTCTCCCGGTGACCGGAAACCTAGGGGCACAGGGACCCCGACTTGGACAGAGCTAGCGTCGTGTGAAGCTCAGTGACCTCCTGGGAAGGGGCTGGAGTCACGAGAAGCTCTGGTGACCTCCTGAGAAGGAGCCGGCATCGTGCAAAGCTCAGTGACCTCCTCGGAAGGAGCTGGAGTCGCGAGAAGCTCAGTGACCTCCTGGGAAGGGGCCAGCATCGTGCAAAGCTCAGTGACCTCCTGGGAAGGGGCCGGTGTTGCGAGAAGCTCTGGTCACCTCCTGGGAAGGGGCTGGTGTCGTGCAAAGCTCAGTAACCTCCAGGGGTGGGGACGGAGTTGCGAGGAGCTCAGTGACTTCCTGGGAAGGGGCCGGCACCACCCAAGCATTATGCTTCAATGTGATCAAGTCCGAGGAGAAAATAAAAAGAAAAACTCACATTTCTCTCCCAAAACCAGGCCTTTCAGGGCCTCCATCACCTAAAAGAAAAGGGAAGAATTGCGACCGTTACAGAAAAGAGAGTTCCCACACCATAAAAGCGCATTTCCTTTAATTAGTCCATAATGGTTTTGGCCAAGAAAACCCCAAAACAAACAAACAAAAACCACAAAATCCCTTTTGCCTGGAACTCTCTGCATTTTCACCGGAATTTCTCCTGGACAACATAGTATCCCGTTGTCTAAAGTAAGAGTATAAGAATTCTCAATCCGTAAGCTATAGAATGATATCAGCTGGAAAGAGCGTTGTAGGAAAGTGAACAACATGGAGAGATGATGGAACGCAATGACACTGATCTGTGAGCTAAATCTTCCAGTGCTGTTAGTCCTATCAGTGCCACCTGCACAGGGCTGAACACGGAGCTGCAAAGTAGAAGTGAATAAAACGGGGTGTCATGGCCGGGAGACATCACGGTGCAGCCCGGGGCGGCTGCTGTGCCCAGGAGGCTGTGCACTTGTCCTGTTAAAGAACCACAGCTCCCACCGGCACTGTCTCCCCCTGGGCTGGCTGTGGAGGCAGAGGGAGGGCTGAGCCTCCACCATTCCTGTTCTTTGTGGAGACGTGAGGCTGGGCCCGGGAGTTGGGGTGCCATGAAGGGGCCACACCTTCGGGTCCGTGTCCCCAGTTGGGTCCCTCCTGGGTGGTTTGGCCACCCAAGGATGCTGCTCACATGGGTCCCATCAATTCCTCAAGCTTTCCTGAGCCCCTTCCGAGTGCAGGCCCTGGGGGGCAGAGACAGACCAGTGGGCTGGGACTCTCACAGGCAGCTCCTGCCCATGCTGAAGGCGAGATAGGCTCAAAATGACACTGAAGCCCCTGGCATTGCTCCCCAGAGCTCCCTGCTTTATCTCGGTTTCCCAAGCTGATGAGAATCTCATCCTTTGCACTGCTGCAGGGGAAGGGAATGTTGTGGGCTCCAAGCTCCTGGTGCCAGCGGCTCATGACGGTCCCGAGAGGCCGGCTGTGCTCTCGACCAGGCTTATCTCTCTCCACTGTCTCCAGGGAGCTGGGAGAGGCAGCAAAGCCATCCGTGTCTGAGACGTTAAGGCACATATCTGTGTGAAATGTGTGCAGGCACACATGTGAGTAGAGATGTATTACAGGAAATAGGCTCCTGCTGCCATGGAGGCAGGCAGCAGAAACCCGGGAAGAGCTGGTGCTTGGTTTCCAGTCTGAAGGCCGGAGAAGAGCAGGGTCCCAGGCTGGAGGTCTCCCCACGCTGGGCAGGGCCATCGGCCATACTCAGTCCCCCAGTTCAAATGTTAACTCCATCCACAGACAGCCTCGCAGGAATGCCCAGAATCTCACTTAACCAGATGCCTGGGCACCCTGTGGCCCAGTCCAGTGGACACGGGAAAGGAACCATCAGAGCCTGTAGCCCAGGGACCCTGGAGGGTGCAGGTGGGCCCTGCGTGTTCTTTTCTCTGCATTTCTTTGGTGTGTTTTTCTGCACTGTCTTCAGGGGTCTCTCAGGGAGGCCCCTTGCTAAGCATGGGCCTTCGAAAGCAGAGAGCGCCTTCTCAAGTTGGTGGAAGAAGATGAAGTCAGAACCTCACAGCATGAGAGGGACCTGACTCACCACCATGGGCTTCAGGGAGGGAGGGGACCCTGTGGCCAGGAATCCCGGCTGCCTTCAGGGGCAAAGCATGGCCTGGGGCCGACAGCCACCAGGGAAATGGGACCTGGGACCCACGGCTGCCAGGACCTGGGTCCACCACACCCCGAGTGAGCATGGAGCGGTTTCCTGCAGACCCTCCCGGCAAGGGCTCAGCCCGGCCCACACCTGGATTGGGGTTTGTGAGGCTGTAAGTTGAGAACCCAGCTGGGCCTGCCCGATTGCTGCCCTGCAGACTGTGAGATAAGGCGTGAGTGTCTGATCCACAGCAAGGAGGGCAAGGTCAGGGCCGGCCTGTACTCCCCCACCCCTCACAGACAAAATGAGGTTTCCAGAGTCCCCTGGAAGCACCACAGCCCCCTGAGCCTCACCGTTCCCGTCCGTGGCCCCCGGTGGTACCTCCTCATCCCCCTGTTGCAGCCTCAGACCCCCAACCTGGAAATGGTGCTGGGAAAGGCTCTGGGCTCCTTCCCACCCCGTCTGGCCTCATGGCGCACGGTCAAGCTGACCAGTGATTGCATTTTAAGGAATGCATGGTGTTTCCCATTAGCCATTTGTGAACCCCGTGCGTGGCTCAGAACGCGGGTGATTCATCACAGGCCTGGGAGTTGCTCTGGGAGTCAAGGGAGCCGGGGCGTTTGGAGCGGTGGGGAGTTGGACGGTTCTCGGAGGCGCAGGCGTGGCAGGCAGCCTCTGTTTCTGTGATTCATGGATGGGCTCTGTCCAGCAAAGGGGCGAAGGCGCCAGGCCCTGTTGTTTGGGCGTGGAAACTGTTCCTCTCCTGGAGCACTGTGTCAACTTCCAGGGTCCACAGCACCAGGAGCTGCCCAACTCCCAAGTTGCTAATGTCACCTCCCTCTTTGTTGCCTGCCCCCAGGCATGCCCTGTGGGGACTGGAGTGTGATCTTCTTACTGAAGGGAGAACTGGGCACTTGAAGCTCTGCAGTGGGCTTTGGCACGAACTGTGGTCTGGTGCCTGGATGGTTCTTAGGCCTCTCTGAGGGACACTTGGTCTGGCCCCATGGCTGGGTCTCCATGTCATCTCCCCAGAAAGCCTGGCCAATCCTTGGTGGCAGGAACGCCCTGTTCTCCTTTGTGTGCCTCTTTCTGGGAGCCAAAAGCAGAAAGCGTCTGAAGAGCGTGGCCTGGGCTGCAACGCCCTGAGAAGCACCTTCAGCTCCTCCACGTCCCATTTCGTGGAGCCTCAGTTTCCTCACCTGGGAGACGTGAGGGACAGTTCTCCTGACTCTCCTGGCCTTTAGGGGACCACTCTGGGACTCAGGGGGGCTCCTGTGAGGCACACAGAATGTGTCCCCTGGTGGGAGGATGGGCCAGGACCTTCCTAGAACCCACAGCTGGAAGGCTGGGCAGAGCAGCTCCCAGGCACCTGCCGTGTAGGAAGTGAATTTGAGTCTTGTGTGGGCATAAGCTCCCTATGGCCTTTATCCATTTGAAGGTGACAATCCCCCTTTCTAATAAAATGATGCTTAGAGCCCTCCAGGGCCCACACCCTCTTCAGTTTCAGGAAGTCCAGGCCAGTTACACAGAGTTCTGACATTTGGGTCTCTAAGAAAAATATCCTCAAAAACTAGCCTCGAGTCGGAGCACAGCCCCAACTCAGCCACGAGCTCCACTTATGGTCTTCGGGCTCCTTGGTGAGGTGCCAGGGGCTCCAAGACCAGGTCAGGAAAACGGTGGGGGCTGCTGGACCGTGGGGGCCCTGGGACCCCCCTCCACATTGCAGTCAATCCCTTCCCCTGAGGCTGTTAAGAATACCTTGCTGCCTCCTCCCTCAGAAACCTCTCCATAGAGGGCAGGAGGCTGGCTGGTGAAGAAGACAGAGCAGGCGGATTCTAGAAGCAGTGAGGATGGTTGCTGGGAGGGAGGGAGGGAGGGAGAGAGGGAGGGAGGGGAGGGAGAGGATCTGAAACTCAGGCACAAAACTTTAGAATGAATACTAAGGATACAGAGCCCAGTCTCCCCCAGGGAGCCTGCATTCACCAATGTGGACTAAGACACTTCATTCATTCATTCATTCATTCATTCATTCAGCGAATACTGTTTCCCACATTCTCTTAACTGATGGATGTTGGTGTGTGAAAATCTTCTTTGTGTATCAGCATAATTGCCAGTCCTACAAAATGGATGGGGCTAAGTGGCCCCTCCCCTGGCATGAAACTGTCCTGGTTACTGTTAGTGTCAAGGACCAGTAGTCTGCTTTAGTGACTGCCGCCCACATTCACACACCAGCTGACTTGTTCCTCACAGCGTCTTCTCCTTGCAGTTTACAAAGTAGAAGAGCCAGCCTGGGAGGCGCCCTGTGAACGCCTGACAGGGCCGGCCCCACTAGTCCCATTTGCCCAGTGTTCCTGGCTCTCTGCCTTAACTTTAGAAATTATCAAAAATGTTCCTAAAACCTATCAGATAAAAATATACCTGCCTCGCTTTTTGTGCAGGGAGGCCGGCCGGAGTCTCTGCTGGGCCCTGTGCAGGGAGGCTGGCTGGAATCTCTGCTGGGCCCTGTGGTGACTGCCTCTGGGGGTCTCAGCTATGGCCCCTGACTATCCCACAAGACAGCCCACAGCTGCTTTGGAGGGGTCCTGGGAGCACCCGTGAGCCCTGAGATTTGGGGAACTGGAAATCTCTAGGGGGTGGGATGTGGCCCCAGTGATCCTGGAGCTGGGACGCCATGGTGCACCCTCACGAAAGCACGAGCTGGACCCAGTGCTAAACCTGAAGCCAAGTCCCACAGACAGACTCAATGGACAGAGATGGCGTGGGCCCTCAACCCTGTGTCCTGGGGTCCGGGGAGGCAAATGGTGAGGGCAGGTAGGAACCGAGGATTGGAGGCTGGGGAGCACAAGAGGAAAAGAAGACAGCAGAGGCCCGAGGGCCAGGTGGCTGCAGGAGCATCCACACCTGGATCTCTTGGTTCTACCCAGGTGGCAGCACTCGCTGTGTGCCCTGTGAGTGGGTGTCGGGCCACAGACCTCCTGGTCTCCCAATCAGGACTCTGTGAATGCATCGATCTCAAAATTATTCAGGAAATAATTATATGTGTATTATGGAGTGAATTGTGCTCCCTAAGTTCCTATGTTGATGTCCTGACCTCCAGCGCCCCGGAATGGAACTGTATTTGGAGACGGGATCTTTAAAGAGGAAATTAAATTAAGATGAGATCCTTGGGGTGGGCTCTGCTTCCATCTGACTAGTGTCTGAATAGGAAGAGGAGACGAGGATGCAGATACACACAGAAGGACTCCCACATGAGGACACAGAGAGAATGCTGTCTACACGCTGAGGAGAGAGGCCTCGGAAGGAACCAACACCTGGACCTTGGACTCCCAGCCTCCAGCACTGTGAGGAAATAAGTGTCTGTTCTTGAAGCCTCCTGTCTGCAGTGCATTGTTGTGGCAGCTGAGCAAAGACAATGTGTAAACACCACCTTGGAGTCAGCCAATAAAAGGGACATTGCAAGGATGTCACATGGCTCCCCTTCCTGCTGTCCCTGGAGACTCCACCCACCTGCCCTTCTCAAGGAGCCAGGGCCTGCTTTATTCTCAATAGAGTCTCTGATTTGAAGGGTCCCCATGCTGGACGAAGCTCCCCCTGCTCTGGGGAAGGCCCAGGTGCCACTGCAGATGTGCAGATGGTGTGGTCCTGGGGCCCTGCGTGCAGCTCCATGACCCATCTGCGGGGAGGATGGGATCCTGTCACCCAGGAAGTCGAGTCCACATACAGAAGCAGTGAGCAGGAGCACAGAGCCAATGACAAGGCCGAACCCAAAGCCTGCACAGCTCCTGGTGGGTTTGAAAGAGGGGATTGGAAGGCTGGTATCCATGTAGGAGAGAAAGGAGAAGCACATCTGCACACCCAGCCTCCCCCGCGGGGCTGCCTCCGGCGAGCCAGCAATACCTCCTGGTAGGAGGCAGGCACCCCAGGGGAAGCTGCTGCCACACCTGCCTTCCTTCAAGGCAAACTGGTGAGACCCGCAAGGGGCCTGGGAAAGGGGAGCCCAGGGAGCCAGGTTCCAGGTCAGAAGGTAAGACCGACAGAAAGACCCTTGCCAGGATGGCTAACCAACCACTCCCCAAAGCTTGTGGGGGTGTGGAGGATGCAGCTTTGAATTTAGGAGAAAAATACAAAAGCCCAAAAAAGAACACAGGCTAGCAAATGGGCAAAAAAAGCATAAATACATGAATTCATGTATCATTGGGTTCTACTTAAAATATTACCGCAGGCTGAGATGAGGGGGAAAAATTAAGCCTATGCACAGAACCGTGCGGTTTCCTGGTGACCTGCCACTGTTGATCCTTCGGGCATGAGATTTCCATGCCTTTCATCAGACACTCCTACATTTTCATATGCACAGTCCTATAGCTGCCTCATTCACTCTTTGCTTCTCATTAAAACCCGTGCTTGGCTGGTTCTTCAGATAAGGTCTAATAAAAACAATATCTTAGTTTAACAGCTAATGGGCAGCAGGCATCAAAATCTGCTGGGCTCTCCTCTTCTCAGACACCAACTGGATATTTAATCAGAGAAGCATACAGGTGGTTTTGTCTCGGTCATACTGTCAGAAGAACGCAGAGAACCTGGTCCGTAACAGGGTTTAGAATGCATGCAGGTATTCAGAATTTGCACCCACTTTTCAGTGCTCATCAGCAGAGCATTGCAAGTCTTGGAGAAGAGTCACAGGAGGGCTTTCTAGGGCCCATCTTTGGGTGTAGCTGGCTCTGACCTGTAGTGCCTGGGGTGAAGAGGTCCTCTTGGGCTGGGCAGTGTCAGCCTCTGCTGGCCTCAGGCTGCTGGGCCACCTCTCTGTGATGTGGGCATCAGAAGGAAGGATCCCAGAGTCCAAGGCCTGGAGCATCCTAGGACGCCACCCTGGGCTCCAGGGAGGAGCCTAAGGTATGGGCTGTTTGCCACCCAGCTGGTCCCAGCTTCCTTGCTGCCTGCTCCCCAGGCCTGAGGGAGGGAACAGGGCAGAGAAAGTGAGCATCCTCAGACCCCACTCAGACAGGTACGTAAGTAAGACAAACCAAGCACCTGTGCTCTGGTGCAGGAGGAAGCACAGCAGACTGCCTCTCCTTCTGGTTCTTCGCAGTGAGTGAGGCCATGTCACAGCCTCAAGGACGGTCAACTCCAGTTGTCTCCGGGCCTCTTCCCCCAAGAGAAGAAACTTGGGAGTCATGCCACTCAATCTGGGGAGTGGCTATTTTGGGGTCCTGTGTATATTTGAGCTTATGTTTTACACGAAGAACCTTGTAAATGGGAGCAACTCCTCCAGAAGGGTCAGCAGGTGAGCTGCCTGAGTGGCTGGGACTCCATGTGCCATCCTCGTGGTGGGGACATTATTTGCTTCCACCTTACCCAATAAGGCCTTGGGCAGCACTGAAGAAACAGGCTGGATGGAGTGTAGTGAATGAGGGCCACCAGGGAACAGCAAATGAGTGGGTGGCACGTGGGGTCACAGATAGGCACGCAGAGTGCAGTAAGCAAACCCGTCAATGGATCCCCATTTCTGCCAAGAGCAGGAGGCAGAACATTCTTGTCTGTTACAACTTTCGAAGTCAGACACTTTGGCCAAAGCCGGCCTCCCACTGCGTGTCCCTGAGGATCCCTGTCAGCCCCTCACCAGCCGTGAGCAGGCCTCCAGCGGTGCTCACTGTGTGGGCCACGCAGCCTGGAGCAGCTGCCGCTCCTGGCATTTTTCTCACTGTGCCCTTGCTCATTTCTCATCACCCTATCGATCACTCAACATCCAACATTGCAGAGCATTACACTTTCCAGATAGCCGAGGCAGGTGCCTAGATCGGGGACAGGTCTGGGCTCCCTCGGGGAGCAGTCTATGCAAACAAGGTGACCCTGTGTCTCCATCCCCCACCTCCCTCTGCTCAGAGGAGCTTTGAAAATCACCCTCCTCCCCACTGGGAAGCCTACAGAGGTCCCAAGAGCTACACTTCTGTTAACCCCTCAACAGACCTGTGGCCTGGGTGTTCCAGGCCACATCAGAGGCCACCTGTAAACGAGAAACCATGAAATCCAGTGTCGGGGGAGCGGGGTCTGTGTGCCTCACTGGTAATAGCTCCTAAGTGCAGTAATGCTTAATGAGAGAGACTTTGTTTACTGACCACGTACCTAGTTGGAATATAGCAAGAAATGGAGATCTTGCTGTAATATCATTTTATTCCGCTTGGGTTCATATTAATAAATGATAAGCAATAATAGTATACGAGGAAAAATGGAAACCTAATGGTCTAGGGTGGGATGACTGCGGCACACACTGTCTGCGCAGCACACTGACGCCAGCGTGGTGCTGATTTTGCATTTCATAAATTGGATGACAGGGGAGCGGCTGAGCATTCAAACAGCCACGGGAACCTCCTTCTGTCTTTAGCTTTATTTGTGGGCTGTGTATTAGCCCCGTGCCTGGTGCTTAATAAATACGCTCTCAATACCAGCTATAGGGATTGGGAGGGACACCAGCACCAGACAGTGTTGGGCACCAGCCTGCAGCCACTGGGACAGCTTTTCTCAACAGGGCAGCCACCAAAAGTCTGCTGGAGAGTTGGTCATTCATTCCAATTCACACCCGCGCCGTCTGCTCCCTGCACCTCCTGCCCCAGCCTGTGCCCCCAGCACAGCATCTACACCCAGGAATGGGAAGCAGCCGGCCCCTCCCGGAAACCTTCCCAGGAGGAGCAGGAAGCAGGGTCCCTCCCACGCTGGACTCTTGGCCAGGACAACCTTCTCCTCATCGGCTCACCCCTGTGCTCGGCACCGCTGCCAGAGCGTGGTGGGTAATGAGTTCCCGGAGCGGCTGAGCCCTGGAGGTCAGTTGCTCGTTAGAGAGAGACAATTAACCACTCTCTGACTTAAACATTGTTTCACCTTTTATTTATCGTGATTTTGAAGAAATTACTTTCACTCACATTAGCAGGCATGCGATGCCAGGGTTTCCCTGTATAAGCAGAACAAGCTGTGTTCAGGGACCTGAGGCTGCAGGACATCTCTCCCCAGCAAGCGCAGGGCTGGAGCATGAGGTAGGACCTGAGGGACTTCTCTTCCTCCACGACCCGGGAAAGCAGCGGGTCAGCGGGTGAATCAGGGCATGGCTCGGGGGCTGTGGAATGTGACTTTGGAAAGGCTTATAAACAATGGGGAAATAAAGCCCTGTTAAGTTTCTGCATAGAGAAAGCCACAGAAGGGCCCTCGTGGGCCTGCGTCACTCTGTCCCCAACCTTCTGCCTGCAGAGTCATAATTCCAGGGGAAAAATGAAGCAATGCTGGTTTTCTTGGGGCCCAGACCCCTCTGTGCCTCCCATGACCGCTTGCAAAATTGTATCTGCAGAAACAGTGGATGTCAGGTCTGAGAGGGGACTGGGAATCTGCACTGGGCTGCCTAGAGAGTGTGGCCAAGATAATCTCAGGCCCCCTGCAATTTTTCCACCACGCATACCGTTCCCACGCTGCCCACGCCACCTGCCACTGGGGTCTCTTCCACTCCCAGCCTAGACCCTACACTGGGGCCTGGCTTTGTTCCCTCCTTGTTGAACACCTGTCCAGGAGAAACTTGGCCCTGGGCTTCAGCAGAGGTATCATGCTTTGGTGATGGATTTACAAAGTTTTCTGTAGACAAAAAGGTGATGAGCCTATGCATTGTGATAAACACACCTCCTCAGGTCTTGGTTCTTAGCAAACAAAACCATCATTCACAGAATCATATTTGTTCATCTAAAAATGTGTGGGTGACACCCAGGAGCCCCTGTAAGGATCTGTGTGGTGGCCTTGGGTTCTAGGAGAGAGGAAGGTGAAAGGAGCTATTCACAGCCTCTTTTGACTCCCAGGTGACAAATGCCCAACAGAATGGTGTGGCTGGGTGCTCTGTGGACCCAGAGGACAAAGCCGGTCTCCGAGTGATGTGTGTGGAGGAAGAGAGTGCTGGAGGGGCTTTAGGGCTGGCCCTTATCAGGAGCACCTCAGCCTTGCAGAGAAAGTTGTCCGGCAGAGAGTGAAGCATGCTGCTGGGTTCTCTCCCAAACCACAGCACCCTACTCTCCTCCGGGATAAGGCAGAGGAAAGGGTGAGTCTCCACCTCATGATTAAATATTCACAGCTCAAAGGAGACAGAGGAAGAGCCAGGCCATATGAAATGAGGGATGCAGGCAGGTCAAGGAAGGAGGCCAGGAGACCCTGGCAGGGACAGAGGATGGGGCGACAAAAGTAAATACAGCTCTGCTGGTGGCCGCAGCATCCTCAAGGCAATCCCACAGCTTTTTATTTATAAAATATATAATTGCATGTGTTTAAATTTTATATAATTCATTAAAGCAAGGGTGGAAAGTGCTTTCCGATAATTAAAATGCAGGGGAGCCCATTCTCGGATTTGAGGCCATGAATAAAAGTGACACTTTGCCAATTGCACCTTGTTGGGTCACCGTTTAGCCACAGCCACGGACATCTCTCAGGTAATTGATTGCTCCTCGCTGGGGAAAAACAAATGCAGGATGAGCTGATTCTACTGCTACTTATGATGCTTCGCTTTAGCATGGAAATTGGGGCTTCAAATGAAACAACAAGTTAACCCATGAGCAGCGAAAATAGCAGTATTTTTTAAGAAGGTACAAGGGGGGCCGGGCGCGGTGGCTCACGCCTGTAATCCCAGCACTTTGGGAGGCCGAGACGGGCGGATCACGAGGTCAGGAGATCGAGACCATCCTGGCTAACACGGTGAAACCCCGTCTCTACTAAAAATACAAAAATTAGCCAGGCATGGTGGCGGGCGCCTGTAGTCCCAGCTACACGGGAGGCTGAGGCAGGAGAATGGCGTGAACCCGGGAGGCGGAGCTTGCAGTGAGTCGAGATCACGCCACTGCACTCCAGCCTGGGTGACAGAGCGAAACTCCGTCTCAAAAAAAAAAAAAAAAAAAAAAAAAAAAAAAAAGAAGGTACAAGGGGAGGACTCAGCCAAGATTTTCCGAGAGCCAACTCCTGGCCTCTGGGGCAGGACAGAGGCAGATTCCCATCCTAGGACCCTCCTTCACCTCCTCCTAGGAAGAGAGGGATTCCTGTTCATCTCGGGAGCTGTCCAAGGCCAGGGTGCTGAAGAGGTGAATGTAATGGGCCAGGGCTGCCTTCTGCCTAGAGCCCCTTCCTGGAATCCTGCCCTGGCTTCCCCGAGGTGGAGCATTGCTGCACCACTTTGGCCACCCCTCACTCTCATTGGACACCCCCACCCTGCCATCCTGTGGCCCACAGGGTCAGAGGGTCATGCCTTGGTCCTCCTTGGAGACCTGAGTGGGCAGGGGGACGCTGGGTTCTAGGAAAGGTGGCCCAAGCTCCATGCATTGTCCCTTCCACTGTGACTGACTGGCTTGCTGGCACCCTGGCCCTTTCTCACCCTGGCACTGTGAGTGCTGGGACGCAGCTATAGGCTTCCAGAAAGCTCTTTGGGCCAACTCTTGCCTGGGCTAAGGGTGTCCTCTCTTTGCCCCATCCAGCCTTCCAAGGTGTCTTGCCAGGATAGGGGACCTATACCAGAACCTGGACAAGAGGGTCCTATGGTCCTTGCTCCCGTGGCCCTGGGGTCTCACTCACACATCCATCCTCCTCACTCAAAGATGCTGCTCTCTTAACTCCTCCTACTGCATGCCAGGTGCTGCCTGGCTGTTGAACAAAGCAACGAACAGGAGGGATGAGGTCACCAAACTGAGAATGTCATCAGAAGGCAGGAAGTTCTGCTGAGAAAGTAAAGCAGCGTCTTCTTCTGGACCAGTGGTCGGGGATGGCAGTGGGCAACTGAGTGGAGGCCTAAGGGAGATGGGGGAAGGAGGTCGGGGGAAGGCACAGATGCTCAGATGCATGGCAGAGCTTGCCTGGAACATTCTGCAAAGAGGTTAGTGTGTATGGCACGGGGAGGGCAGGGGAGAAGAGACCGGAGAGCTGCATTCTGTGCGTGTGAGCAGCAGAGAACGTAGGGCCCTGGAGGGTTGAGCACAGCCTGCATCTTTTCCACCAACTGAGATGAGAGCCTCTGGAGGTTCAGAGCCAAGGACTTGGCTTAAATGACAGGTGTAGGTGTTGAGTTGAGAGCAGGCAGCAGGTGCATGACGAGGGAGCAGGGGGCTCTGTTAGGAGGCAAGTTCGTGGGTCCAGGAAGAGACAATGGTGCCTTGGTCAGGGTGTTTGTGAGAGGGGGTGTTGGGAAGTGATTGGATTCCAGATGTGTGTCTCAGGCAGAGCCAAGTAGGTTGGCTGCTGGATCAAGTGTGAGGGTGGGAGAACGACAGAGGCCTGAAGGGAACTCCAGGTCTTCTTGCCTAAGAGCCTGGA
This sequence comes from Homo sapiens, assembly GCF_000001405.40. Lineage (NCBI taxonomy): Eukaryota > Metazoa > Chordata > Mammalia > Primates > Hominidae > Homo > Homo sapiens. Next base: position 49,229,235 of record NC_000022.11, on the reverse strand, counting down.
AGGATGGAGCTTTCAGCACAGACATCAGTTAGATCTGATGGGGCAGCTTGATGGCAGATAGGCATGCAGGTATTTACTTTTCAACATGTTAACCTGAAGAGGCCTTTGTGATGTGTGGGCAGAGATGTCAAATATGCCCTGTAGTAAACCACTGGGATTTGAGGGAATGCCTGAGGCTGGAGCTATACATTTGGGGTTTATCAGTATACAGACAGCATCTCAAGCTCTGAGATGGGTTGGGTTTCCAAGGGCAGGGCTAGGAGTGGTCAGAAGGTGCCGACTCCTGCTCACACCACCAGCAGGCACATAACCCAGGACCGAGAGTGAGGTTTTCTGACCCCGATCCCAAAGCCTTTGGTAGGTCTTGCCATTCCACTGCCATTGTATATGTAGCGATGCTGTCCAGACCACCTGCCCCAGAGACCTTTGGGTAACATCAATATGCAGGTACCTGAGCTGATTGAATCAGGTCCTAGAGACAATAAGCCTGGGGATCTGAATTTAAAAGAAAATCTCCCCATTCCCTGGCCCTTGTCCAAGCTGAATGCTATGCAAATAAGAGTTTGAGAACCGATCCTCCATGAGGCAGGGCAGCTTGTTGCAGAAGCCATACTAGGCCTGCAGGTCCTGGGAGCCCCTCCCACTCAGAGGGTCTGAATGGCCACCCTTTCTCCTGAGGTTAGCAGCCCCTCCAGTCTGGTCAGAAGGCTTCTCTCTCACTATGTTCGCTGCCTTAGCCAGCTTCTCAGAATCCTTCAGGGGAGTTCAGAGGCAGTTAGACCACCTTATCCCAAACTCATTGAGTTCTGTACATTAATTATGTACAGCTTTTGGTACATCAAAAAATAGCAAATAAATAAAGATTGTCCTATCACATGAGAGGACGAATGGAGACTTTTTTTTTTTTTTTTTTTTTTTTGAGACAGAGTCTCGCTCTGTCGCCCAGGCTGGAGTGCATTGGCGCGATCTCGGCTCACTGCAAGCTCCGCCTCCTGGGTTCACACCATTCTCCTCCCTCAGCCTCCCCAGCATCTGGGACTACAGGCAGCACACTGCCACGCCCAGCTAATTTTTGTATTTTTAGTGGAGATGGGGTTTCACTGTGTTGGCCAGGATGGTCTCAATCTCCTGACCTTGTGATCCGCCCGCCTCGGCCTCCCAAAGTGCTGGGATTACAGGCGAGAGAAATGGAGACTTTCTAAGTAGGATAAGAGGGAAATGAAGCATGAGGACCAAGCGCCTGGCCTTCTCTCAGACCACGGAGAAGGTGCTCACTGCTAGGACAGTGTCAGCTTCCAGCCTGCCAGCTTCTCTCTTCCTGGGAGTCAGCCAGATCTCGGTTGATGCAGAAGAAACATCTTTTTTCAGATGATGCATTTCTTTCAATGCCAAGGGTGGACCTGTGCCCAGAAAACATTCTCCAGATTGCAACTACAATCCTGGAAGTTTAGCCCTAGCTTCACGCCTTTGATAACTGCTCTACTTCTGTGTTAGAGAATGGATACGTGCCAAGTGTTCACTGCCTATCATTTCACTCCATGCCCATAAATTTATACAAATAAAAGAGAAAGAAAGAGAATATCCTCCAGAGGAGAAAAGTATTAATTTTAATCATCTATTTTTAAAAACAGCAGCTCTATTGATATAAAACTCACATACCAGACAATTCACCCTCTTTAACTACACAATTCAAAGTTTTGTAGTGTATTCACATAGATACGTAACCAACACCACAATCAATTTTATAGCATTTCTGTCACCCCAAAAGAAACCTTATACCCACTAGCAGTCACTACCCATTTTGCCTACACCCCCAACCCTAGACAACCACAGCCTGACATTCTGCTTATTCTGGAAATTTCACATCATTTGAGTCATACAATGCCTGGTCTTGTGTAGCTGGCTTCCTTCACTCAGAACAGTATTTTCAAGATTGATCCGTATTGTATCATGCATCAGTACTTCATTTATTCATAGCCAAATAATGTTCACTACATTTTATTTACCTATTCATTAATGGATGGATGTTCAGGCTGTTTCCTCTTTGCGGCTATTATGAATAATCCTGCCATAAACGATGAACATTTGTGTCCCCTTTCATTTCTCCTGGTATACACCTAGGAGTGGAATTGCTGGTCACATTTTAATGCTATGTTTAACATTTTGAAGACTTGCAGGATTGTTTTCCAAAGTGGCTTCACCCTTTTACACCTCACCAACAGTGTCCGAGGGTTCCCATTTCTCTACATCCTCACCAAGAGGTATTAACATCAGTGTTTATTATGTCAGCCATCCTCATGGAAATGATGCACTTGCTTATTCTGGCCTTAATTTGCATTTCTCTGGTGGCAAAAGATGTTGAGCATCGTCTCGTGTCATTGGACATTTGCACATCTTCTGTGAAGAAGTTTCTATTCGAATCACTTGCCCATTTTTAATTTGTGTTGTCTTTTTTATTCTTGAGTTGCAAGGGTCCTTTTAATATTCTAGACAGAAGTTCACTACCAGATATGTAACTTTTCAAAACTTATCTGCCAATCTCTGGCTCACCTTTTTAATTCATGGAATGGCAATAAAATGCCATTTAGTGCTTCAAAAGACACTTTCTCGATGGTGTTTTCTGGAGCACAAAGGTTTGAAGTTTGAAGATGTCAAATTCATCTACTCTTTTTTTGTTATTGCTTATGATTTTGGTGTGTCACATCTCAGAAATGACTACCTAATCAAGGTCGTAACAACTTACGGCTGTTTCTTCTGAGAGTTTTATCATGTTGTCTCTACATTTAACTATTTGTTCCATTTTGAGTTAACTTTGTGTATCATGTGAGGTGGGGGTTCAGATGAATTCTTTTGTACCATTTGTGGAAAAGACTCTGATTTCCCACATTGAATTGTCTTGGCATCAGCATCAAAATTCAATTGACCGTGAACGTCTGGGTTTATTTCAACATTTCCAATTTTATCTCGCTGATCTGGGTGTTTCTCCTTATGTCTGCGCCACATTGTCTTGAATACTGTAGCTTTGGCACAAGTTTCGAAGTGGGGAACTGTGAGCCCCCTAATTTTGCTCTTCTTTTTCAAGATTATCTTGGCTATTTTAGATCCCTTGATTTTTCCACTTAAAGTTTAGGATCAGTTTATGAATTTCTGCAAAGAAGTCAGCTTGGCTTTTGTTAGGTATCACATTCAATCTATACCTCAGTGTGGGGATTATTGCCATCTAACCAATTTTAAGTTTTAATTCTTATCCATAAATATAGGAAAGCTTTACATTCATTTAGATCGTTTTGAATTTTTAAGCAATATTTTGTAGTTTTCAGAGTATCAGTTTATACATCTTTTGTTAAATTTATTCCTAAATATGCTATTCTTTTTGACGGTATTGCAAATGAAATTGTTTTTCTAAATTTCAGTTTTGGATTCTTTATTATAAGAGTATAGAAATACAGTTATTTTTCATAATGAGTGTGTTTCCCAAAACTTGCTGAATTTGTTACTTCTAATAGTTATTTTGTGGATTGTTTAGGAATTTTTGTATATGAGATCATGACATCTGCAAACTGAGATAGTTTAATCTTCTTTTCCACTCTAGAGGTATTTTTTTATTTTTCTAGGCTAATTGCCCTGGGCGGGACCTCTAGTATATTAATAAAGAAGAAGGTGAGAGTGGACCTCTTGGGTCTTGCTCCTGATCTTAGGTGGATAGCAACCAATCTTTCACCATTAAATATGATGTTAGCCATGGAGGTTTTTAATAGATGCATTTTATCAGAGTGAAACTTTCTTCTATTCCTAGTTTGTTGTGACTTTCTTTCTTTTTGTTATGAGGTGATGTTGAGTTCTGTTATATGCTTTTTCTGTATATCTGGAAATTATCATGTGGTTTTATTATTTGTTCTGTTGATAGGGTATAATAAATTAACTGATTTTTGGATGTTAAAGCAACCTTGCATTCCTGGGATAAGCCCAATTTTGCCACCGTATAGAATCCTGTTTCTATGTCACTGGACTTAGCTTGTTCATATTTTTTGAGGATTTTTGCATGTATGTTCATGGAGAATGTGGGTCTGTGGTTGTATTTTCTTGTGATGCCTTTCTGGTTTGGATAACAAGGCAATACAGGTCCTATGAAATGTCATGGGAAATGACCCCTTTTCTTTGACTTTTGAGAAAATATGTGAATAATTTGTACAAATTCTTTTCTAAGTATTTAGTAGAATTCATCGGTGAAGTCTTCCAGTTCTCGGTATTTCTTTCTGTGTATTTTTTTCATTTTCTATAAAAATTTTTTGTTGTAGTAAAATACATGTAACATAAATTTACCACCTAATTATTTTAAGTGTAGAGTTCAGTAGTGTTGAGAATACTCACCTTGTCATAAAACAAATCTCCAGAACTCTTCATCTAGCAAAACTGAAACTCAATACCAATTAAACAATATTTTCCCCTTCCCTGTATCCTCAGCCCCTGACATCCACCATTCTGCTTTCCATCTCTATGGATTTGACTCCTCTAAATACTTCGTATAAGTGGAATTATATAGAATTTGTTATTTTGTGATGGGCTGATTTCACTTAGCATCATGTCTTCAAGGTTCATCTATGTTGTAGCATATGTTAGCATTTCTTCCCTTTTTAAGGCTGAATAACGTACCATTGTATGGATGGACAAAAACATGTTCATCCATCCATCCATCTATCCATGCATCCATCCATCCATCCAACCATCCATCCATCCATCCATCCATCCATCCATCCATCCAACGATCTATCCATCCATGCATGCATCCATCCATCCAACAATCTATCCATCCATCCATCCATCCAGCCAGCCAGCCAGTCATCCATCCGCCCATGCATCCATCCATCCATCCATCCATCCATCCATCCATCCATCCATCCATGGAGACTTGGGTTGCTTCCACCTCTTGGCTATTGTGGAACAGGCTCCCATGAACTTGGGTGTTCAAATGTCTCTTCGAGATCCTGCTTTTGATTCTTTCATGCATATAACCAAAAGTGGAATTGTTGGATCACATGGTAGCTTAATGTCTAATTTTTTGAGGAAGAGCCATACAGTTTTCCGCAGCAGCTGCCTCATTTCATATTCCCACCAACAACGTACAAGTGTTTGAATTTCTCCATATCCTGGCCAACACTTTTCTTTCTAGTATTTTCTTTGTTTCTTTTGTATTCTATTGTTTTATTAGTAGCCATTCTAATGGGTGTGAGGTGGTATATCATTGTTTCAATTTACATTTTTCTAATAATTAGAAACACTGGGCATCTTTTCAGGTGCTTGTTGGTTATTTGTATTTCTTTGGAGAAATATCTATTCAAGTCTTTTGCTCATTTTTAATTTGTTCCTTTTGTAGTTATTTTGTAGGAGTTTTTTATAGATTTTCGACATTAACCCCTTATCAGTTATTTGATTTGTAAATATTTTCTCCCATTCTGTATGTTGCCTTTTCATTCTGTTGATTACATCCTTTGATGCATAGAAGTTTATAATTTTGATGTAGTCCCATTTGTCTATTTTAACTTTTGTTTTCTGTGTCTGTGGTGTGATAATCAAGAAATCATTGCCAAACTTATTGTTATGAAGCTTTCCCCCTATGTTTTCTTCCAAGAGTTTTATAGTTTTAGGTCTTACATGACATACAATATGAAGCACTTTTTTATATGCTTATCTGCCATCTGTGTATCTTCTTTGGTTTGGTGCCTGTTAAGGTCTTTGGCATATTTTTTAACTGGCTTGTTTTCTTATTGTTGAGTTCAAGAGTTCTTTGTGTATTTTCAATAACAGTTCGTTATCAGGTATGTCTTTTGCAAATATTTTCTCGCAGTCTGTTTAAGAGTTCTTTGTGTATTTTTAATAACAGTTCTTTATCAGGCATGTCTTTTGCAAATATTTTCTCTCAGTCTGTGTCTTGTCTTCTCATTCTCTTGAAATTGTCTTTTGCAGAAAATAAGTTCTTCATTTTAACAAAGTCCAATTAATTCATTCTTTCATGGATCATGCCTTTGGTGTTTCATCTAAAAACACATCATCATACCTGAGATCATCTATATTTTTCTCTTATGTTATAGCCTAGGAATTTTATACTTTTGCATCTTACGTTTAGGTCTGTGATCTATTTTGAGTTAGTTTTTATGATGAGTGTAAGGTGTGTGTTTAGATTCATGTTTTTTGCATGTGGATTTCCAGTTATTTCAGAACCGTTTGTTGAAAGGGTTATCTTTACTCCATTGCGTTGTCTTTGTTTGTTTGTCAAAGATCAACTGGCTGCATTTATATGGGTCTCTTTCTGGGCTCTCTATTCTGCTCCATTGATCTACTTGCCAATGGGTTTATTGCAGTAGACAATCAGATATGCAGTAAAGACATATCTGATTAAGGGTTGTTGTTAAAAATATACAGACTATGGGTGTATTTTTCACCAGTATCTCACTGTCTTGATTATTGCAGCATTACAGTCTTAAAGCTGGGTAGTAATACTCCTTCAACTTTGTTCTTCTCTTTCAATATTACGTAGTCTTCTCTGAGTCTTTTGCCTCTCCATATAAACTTTATAATCAATTTTTAAATCTCCACAAAATAAGTTTCTGGGATTTTGACTTGAATTACATTGAATCTAGAGATTAAATCGGGAAGAACTGACATTTTGAAAATATTGAGTCATCCTGGCCATGAACATGGAGTATTTCTCCCTTTATTTAGTTCTTCTTTGATTTCTTTCAACAGAGCTGCAGATCTTGTACATATTTTGTTGGACTTATATCGAAGTGTTTCAGTTTTTAAGGTGGTAGTGTAAATGTTATTTTGTTTTTAATTTCAAATTTCACTTGTTCATTGCTAGCATTTGGGAAAGCAATTTACTTTTGCCTATTAACCGTATATCCTTTAATCTTGCTGTAGTTAATTATTTATATTAGTTCCAGGAGTTTGTTGTTGTTGTTGTTTCTTATTTGAATTTAGTTCAAGAAATTTAAAAAAAATTTTTTGAGATTTCTTTTTGACTCATGTATTATTTTAATGTCTTGTTTAATCTCCATATATTTTGTGATTTTCCAGTTATCTTTCTGTTATTTATTTCTAGTTTAATTCTACTGTGGCCTAAGAGCTGACACTGTATGATTTATATGATTTTTAATTTGTTAGGGTGTGTTTTATGGCTCAGAATGTGCTTTGTTTTCGTGAATGTTCCCTGTGAGTTGGGAAGAACATGTATTCTTAATTATGTCCTTGCCGATGTTCTGTCTGCTGGATCTGTCCATTTCTGATAGAAGGGGCGCTGAAGTCTTCAACTGTGAGAGTGAATTCATCTGTTTCTCTTTGCAGTTGTATCAGCTTTTGCCTTGTATTTTGACACTGTGTTTTTGGGTGCATATCTGTTAAAGATTGCCATGTCTCCTGGGAGAATTGGCCACTTTATCATTATGTAATTCTCTTCTTTATCCCTGATGACTTTCCTTGCTTTGAAATCTGCTTTGTTTGAAATTAATGTAGCTACTTTTGCTTTATTTGGATTAGTGTTAGCATGACATCGTTCCCATCCGTTTACTTTTAATCAACATTTTTAAATATTTAAAGTTGGCTTCTTGTAGATTACATGTATTTGTGTCTTATTTTTTGATCCACTGTGACTATCTCCATCTTTTAATTGGTGCATTTAAACTATTGACTTTCAAAATGATTATTGATACAGGTAGATTAATATCTATCATATTGGTACCTGTTTTCTATATCTTGCACTTGCTCTTGTTTCTATTTTTGTCTTTCACTCTTTGTTCTGCCTTCTGTAGTTATAGCTGAGAATGTTATATGATTCTGTTTTCTCACCTTTCTTAGCATATCAGTAACCCCCGCTTTTAAACCTTTCAACGTGATTGCCCTAGAGTTTGCAATACACATTTACAAGGAATCGAATCCTACTTTCAAAGAACATTATACCACTTCACATGTAGTGTGATATAAGATCCCTCGTTCCTCCCTTGCATTCATTCCATTATATCTGTCATTCATTTCACTTATATATAGGCACACGTAAGTGTACACGTGCATGCGTATAGCTTATGTGTACATGCATACATATGTAGACACACATAAGATATATCATAAGCATACTTAATTGAAGACCTTGCTGCTATTACACACACATAAGATATATCATAAGCATACTTAATTGAAGATCTTGCTGCTGTTATTTGCCACAAACTATTATCTTCCAGATCAGTTAAAAACAAGAAAAATAAGTTTTTACTTTATGTTAACTTATTCTTTCTTCATGACTCATCTTTTCTGTGTGATCTGAGTCTATGCCTTCTCTTTAAAGAACTTTTGTAACATCTTTTACTAGGCAGATTGACTGATAATAAATTATCTCCATTTTTTATTGTTTTGATTTATTTCTCCTTCGCCTTTGAAAGATAATTTTGGCCGGGCATGGCGGCTCACGCCTGTAATCCAAGCGCTTTGGGAGGCTGAGGTGGGCAGATCACTTGAGGTCCGGAGTTTGAGACCAGCCCGGCCAACATGGTGAAACCCTGTGTCTACTAAAAATACAAAAATTAGCCAGGTGTGGTGGTGGGTGCCTGTAATCCCAAATTCTCAGGAAGCTGAGGCACGAAAATAACTTGAACCCAGCAGGCAGAAGTTACAGTAAGCTGAGATTGTGCCACTGCACTCCAGCCTGTGCAACAGAGTGAAACTCTCTCAAAAAGAAAAAAAAAAGATAATTTTGCAGGGTCAGAATTGTAGGTTGGTGGTCTTTTTCCCTTAGCACTAAATATTTTACCTTACTCTCCTCTTGCTTGTTTAATTTCTGCTTAAAAAGTCAGATGTAATTCTTTATTTGTTGGTTTATAGGTATGGTCTTTCTCCTCATCTCTCCCTGGCTTCATTCCAGATTTTTAAAAAATGTTCAAATTTCTGTTGTTGGAAAATAAAATGCATAGATTTTTCATTATTATTATTATTTTGCATTTATCCTACTTGGTGAACTCTGAAATTCCTAGAACTGAGGCTTTGTGTCTGGTATTAATTTGTAGGACATTTCCAGTCATTATTGTTTCAAGTATTTTCTTTCTTTCTTCTTTCTGTCTTTCTTTCTTTCTTTCTTTCTTTTTCTTTCTTTCTTTCTTTCTTTCTTTCTTTCTTTCTTTCTTTCTTTCTTTCTTTTCTTTCTTTTCTTTCTTTCTCTCTCTTTCTCTGTTTCTCTCTTTCCTTCCTTCCTTCCTTCCTTCTTTCTTTCTTTCTTCTCTTCTCTTCTCTTCTCTTCTCTTCTCTTCTCTTCTCTTCTCTTCTCTTCTCTTCTCTTCTCTTTCTTCCTCTCTTTCTCTCCCCTCAGTTCTTCTGTTCTTTTTCTCCTTCTGGTATTCCCACTACAAGCATGTTTCATCTTTTGTAGTCACCCCATACTTCTTGAATATTGTTCTGTTTTTTTCAGCCTTTATTGTATTTGCTTTTCAGTTTGGGAAGTTACCATTGATACATCCTTCATCTCAGATATCCTTTCCTCAGGGGCGTCCAGTTTACCAATACACCCATCAAAGACATTCTTCAGTTCTGTTGCAGTGTTTTCCATCTCTAGCATTTACTGTTGGTTCTTTCTTAGGATTCTGTCTCTGCTCCCATTGCACACCTGGTGTTCTTGCTGTCTGCTTCCTCTATTAGAGCCTGTAGCATATTTGCGCTTATAGTCTTAAATCCTTAGTCTGATAATTCCAATATTACTGCCATGTCTGGTTCTGATGCTAGCTCTATTTCTTGAAACTGTATGTGTGTTTTTAAGTACACCTTATAATGTTTTTCATAGGCAGGCTTTGTGTGCTCAATGAGAGGAACTGGTTTTAGCAGGTCTTTAGGAATGCGGTGCTACGGTGTAGGGGGAGGCAAAGTGTTATAGAATCCTGCAATTCGGTCCCAGCTGTTTAGCGACCCTGCGTCTCTGGACTGTTAACCTCACAAGTGCTTCTCAGTTCCTGCTAATTTACATGGGGCAGGATAGCGAGAGTGGGCTGGAGGTGAGCATTTTCCTCCTCGTACATGGAAAGCCAGGACAAGCTGAAATTGGGTAGTTCTCTTCCCTCAAGCAAGCTGGACTGTGATAAAACTCCAACATTTTAGGATCTGGATTGAGTATTTTCCTTCTCCTACATGGAAAGCTAGGGCAGGCTAAAGTTGGATATTTCTCTTCCCTCAGGTAAGTTAAACTCCAATAAAACCCCGGTATTTTATGCTCTGGTTGGATGTTTTCTCCTGAGGACAGGCCTTTTTGAGAACTGAGTGATCTGGTAGATTTCAGAATAGTTCCTTTTTTCCTCCCCTTGCTGGAAGCATAACAGTTTTTTTCTGCAGTATTTTCTTGGGGAACCTGGTTAGCTCTCACAGGTAAAACTCACAAGAGTGAGGTGGGCCTCCTGGTACTGGGTCCCTTTGGAGTTATTTATAACTCTCAGACTCATCCACTCTGGGCCTCTAGCAATCCATGAGTTGGAGTTCAGTTTCTTCTACTCTGACACTGTTTCCCACAGCGGTTTCTCATCCCAAATCTCTCCTCTAGCAAGCTGTGCCTCCCGGCTTCCACACAACTGTCTCTTCAATTTCAGGGGGAGTGGCTGGCACTGTGTGCTCATCCACTTACAGAATCAAAAATACTTCTGGAGTTTTTAATCTGTTTCGCTTTTTACTTGTTAGGTCAGAGTGGTGACTTCCGTGTTCCTTACATGTGAAACTGGAACTCACCTTAATTTTTAAAAAGCAGTTTCTGTGCATCTGATAGTCTTGGTTTCTGATTTTTCCTGTTGCCACTCGACTTTGCCGTCCCACTCGACTCTGCCGTCCCACTCGACTTTGCCGTCCCACTCGACTCTGCCGTCCCACTGTCTTCGGACCCGCATTGCTTCTGATGAGAAGTCATGTGTTCATCTCACCTGGAATCCCTTTGTGTGACAACTGATCTTTCTCTTTGTTGCTTTCAGGATTGGTCTTTGTCCTTTTAAAAAGCATTTTAATGATGACGTGTTTGCCAATGTCTGTTTGCCAATGTCTTTGCCTTTATCCTAGCTCATGGAGCTAGATAGATATGTGTAGATAACAATTTTTCATAAATTTGGGGAAGTTTCATGGTTTTTCCAGTCATTTTTCTGCTTTATCTCTTTTTTCTTGTATTCTCAGGACACATATACTGGTGCTCTGAATGGTTCTTCATGCCTCTGAGGTTTTCTTCCTTTTTTTCATTTGCTATTCTTTCCGTTTCTCAGATTGCTGAACCTCTGTAAATCTATTTTTATGTTTGCAGACTGTTCTGCCAACTCAAATCTGTTGAGCTCTTTGGTACATATTTGTATTAATTAGCATACTTTCCTTGTTCAGAACGTCCATTTAGTTTTACTAAAATTGATATTCTCTACTCAATGAGCTATTACCATAATAGATTCCTTTACCTCCTTAAGCATATTTTCCTCTAGTTCTTTGAACATATTTACAATGGCTGCTTTGCAGTATTTGTCTACTAAATCCAACATCAGGGCCTCTCACAGGCAAGTACTGTGGCTCACTTTTTTCCATGCCTCAGGGTCACACTTACCTGCTTCTTTTCTTGTCTTATAATTTTTTAAAAAACTGAACATTTTAGGTAAGATATTATACCAACTCTAGACACTAATCTCCTAGCACTATTTCTGAGGCTTGTTTTGTTGTTTGTTTTTTTTTAGTGACTTTGCTGGACTATTTTAATGAACTCTATTTCCACACAGTGTGAGGTTTCCGATGTCAACTCCACAGGCAGCAATGGACAAGGGCAGTCTCCCTGGGGTGATGGTGGATTAGCGGGGCTGTCTCTGTCTCTGTCCCTGACATCTCTATGCAGAATTCTTTCTCTTTGGTATTGCACCCAGCTGTTAGACTTTACTCATTGCTGGGTATGTTTTTGTTTTTTCACCCCCTATTCCCTGGTACATAAGTTGCTCCATAATTTGATAAAATTAAATTCAGGAAGGGAAAGTTTTAAGCCAGTATTTAAGGTTCATTTGAACCCCAAGAGGGCTCTCTTAGCTGTCTCTTTTCCTGGTTCTGTCTGGTAAACTAGCTAGCTTATGTTTAGCTTGTTCTGATGGAGCATGGGCCCTTTGATTTCCCACCACCACAATCTTCCTTATTTTCAAGAGATTCTTTTGGTTTGAACACACTATTTTGAACACTGTGTTTTGAAGTTAATTCTACTGGGGGAGAGCTTTGGCAGTCTGCATTCTTGTGGACTAAATTTCCCCCGAGCAAAGTCTCTGAAGTAGCTTCTGATCTTCTTCTCTTTTCTCTTCAAGTTTGGAAATTCAACTATGTGAGCCTGACCTGGGGCCCTCATATTCTCAGCCTGGCATGCCTGGGGCAGAGCCACTGCCCTCTGAGTGGGGGCTGGGTGTAAGAGGGAAGTCTCAAACTATTTGTTACTTCCCCTCAACAAGGACTCAGCTTCTGCACCTCGGAGGCGGTGGGGTTGGGAAATGCTGGCTACCTGCCCTTCCTCATACAGTCAATGCGGACTGACAGCCAAGGAGACAGAAGGCCCCGTCTTCCTGCCAATGGAAATGGAGCTCTGTGAAGCTGACCAGGGGAGAGGAGGTCATGGGACCATTTAGGGCCTCATGTGTCACAGACTCTCACTGCTCTTAAGATTTTGTTGAAATTGTGAATGAATGTAACTTCATTTGCTTAATCCCCTTAAAATAATTTGTAGAGATATTATTGTTTTTTAAAAGAATTTTTTACCAGTTTTGGTTGTTTTGCTGGGAAATGGATTCTTGGAAATTACCATTCTAGAAGTGTCTTAAAGGTTTCTTCATGCTCCTCTCATTAATAATAAATAATTCCAAGTATTCCTTATGGGGAGGGGATAGAGAACAAAAATGAAGTGGTTATATGACCCAGAGCATGAGAACTCCTGAGGATATAGATTAATCAGGGAGAAGGTTCTAGAAGGCCAGAAGCTCAACTTGATACCCTACAATTCCCTATAGCATTGCCAGTGGGAGGTGAGCAGGCTGGGGAACACGCCTCCAAGGTTTTAGAGCATAAATCACAGCGTACACTGTGGTCCAATGGAGGGGAGGGCCACAGTATCCTAACTCCTGTCATCCGTGAGAGTCAAGAATAGAAACACTATGCAGCTCCCCAGGCCTGGAATGGAATGCCAGTCCCGACATGAATGACAGCTGGGCAAGCCTGCGTGGAAGGTCAAAGGAGATGCTCAGTTTTCTGCATAGATCATAGTGCCAGGCTCCGGTGTGAGACTCATAGGATCACGAAGGAGTAAAGGAAGAAAGAAAAAAAGAGGCTGGGCATGGTGGTTCATGCCTGTAATCCCAGCACTTGGAGGGGTCGAGGCAGATGGACCACGTGAGGTCAGGAGTTCGAGACCAGACTGGCCAACATGGTGAAACCCTGCCTCTACTAAAAATACTAAAATAGTTGGGCATGGTGGTGCATGCCTGTAATCCCAGTTACTTGGGAGGCTGAGGCAGGAGAATGTTTGAGCTCAGGAGGAGGAGGTTGCAGTGAGCAGAGATCATGCCATTGCACTACAGCCTGGGCAACAGCAAGACTTCATCTCCAAAAAAGGAAAAAAGAAAGAAAGAGAAAAGGAAAAAGAAAAAAATGAGAAGGAAGAAGGGGGAACCAGACATGCAGAGTTTCACAGCCTTGAGTCCTGACTGGACTCAGGAGGGCCATGTGGCCGAGAGGAAAAGGTGTCAGGTCTCAGGGATGCTGGGAGCTCCGGCTCTGCCTGGCTGGCTTCATTATAGACCAGGTAAGAAGAATCTGGTTTCATCGCTATTGGCGTTCCTCTAAGGGACTCCTCATCTCTTCAAGAAAAGGCTGTTCTTATCCATACACCTAAGCCAGAGAGGGCCCCAGCTGTGGGCAGGATGACCCCAGAGGAGAGCGAACTCCAGGGCCAGCCTCGCTGCAGCCAAGGGGTGCTCCAGCAGAGCAGGTAGAGGAGTCCAACAGACGGGAGGCTGCATCCGCAGCAGTGCCAAACCCTCCTCCCAGGCAGAAACACAAGAGCACCCGTCCACAGCCCGCAGGTGAGGTACTCACGCCCTGCCGAAGACACGGTGACCAGAAGACGACAAGGAGGGATGGTGAGTGGAGTGGGCACCGCGGCACGGGCATCCAGGAAAGGAGGCGTTCCTTCCAGTCCCAGCGCGTGTGGCTCTTTCCAAGTCAGCTGAGTGCTTGAGGCAGGGAAGGGAGCTCTAAAAGATGCCCAGCACTGAGTGTATGTTCAGCTTCCTCTGGGAGATGCATCTTTTCACCAACCCATGGAGCTGATGACTCAGGGTTACCTCCACTGTGAAGCTGGTGTTCTCAGAAGCCCAAAGTGCGGAGGGCAGTGGGGCTGATGATGCTGGTCTTCTTGGATTAGTGGCCTGGGGGCTCCCTATGGCAAACATTCTGACCATGGCACGCCTAACTTTGGGGCTGGTCACTCTCTGTAGGGCTGACAGGGCTGTCCCTGCACTGTGGGGTGTTTAGAAGAATTTCTGGCCTCTGCCTACTGCATGCAACAGCAACCCTTTCACAAACACAAGGGTTATGACAAGCATTAATGTCTTCAGACATTGCCTGATGACCTCTGGGGGGTACAAGTGCCCCCAGTTGAGAAACAACGCTTAATTAGAGCGTGTTGTTGACACACATTTACACACCTTTCCCAACACCTTGTTCAGGGTTAGAGGTGTGGATTACAGTAAATAAATTAATGTGCCAATGAATGTGGCAGTTGGGAGCAGTCAAACAGCTCCATCAGTTCCCAGGTTTAGCAGAAACGCTGGGTGAAAACAATAATTAGACAGGGTGTTGAAATGGAAATTCTAGATCACTGTGTATTCCAATGCAAAGTGTTAGACTAGCAGGAAGATATTTTTAAGGTAAAAGACATAAAAATGTTTAGAGCAGGAGCGGGCGGTGGCCGCCTGTGCAGCAATGGCCAAGATCAAGGCCTGAGACCCTCGAGGGAAGAAGAGGAACTGCTGAAACAGCTGGACAACCTGAAGGTGGAGCTGTCCCAGCTGCGTGTCACTAAAGTGACAGGCGGTGCAGCCTCCAGGCTGTCTAAGATCCGAGTCGTCCGCAAATCCATTGCCTGTGTTCTCATGGTTATTAACCAGAGAAAACCTCAGGAAATTCTACAAGGGCAAGAAGTACCAGCCCGTGGACCTGCAGCCTAAGAAGACATGCGCCATGAGCCACTGTCTCAACAAGCACGAGGAGAACCTGAAGGGCAAGAAGCAGCAGTGGAAGGAGTGGCTGTCCCCGCTGAGGAAGGAGGAAGGAGCGCCTGTCCCTGCTGAGGAAGTACACGGTCAAGGCCTGAGTGGTGCATTGTCAGTAAAGCACAGCTGGCTGAGAAACAAAACAAGATGTTTAGAGCGTTTTGTCATTCCTCAGTGGAGGGTGTAACTGTAAGGCGCGTTCCATTTCTTTGGAGAGAGCTGTGCTGTCAATTCCACCTACCACATGGTTCTATCTCCCAACCCTGAGAGCAGTGAGAGGGGCTGGAGCAGATGACCCATGAGGGTTTTTGTAGAAGATTTCTCTGGAGATCTGCGCGGTGAGTCCCATCTAGGGGAGAGGTGGGGATGTGACACCTCCTGAGACTAAGTACAGTGGACTCAGGGACACCGTCAAAGGTGATGATCGAGAGATCTGAGGGTGTCGTAAGTTCTGCCTGAAGAAAGGCTACAGGACAAATCCCCTTTACCTCTTGGCAAAGAAGAGAGGCTTTGATAATACCCTCCACAAGGGTTAATACAGAGCCCTGGATAATCTGGGGGCGATGGGAATTGCATCTGAGCCATCTCTGAGAGATCTCAGGGTGAAAGTCTGATTGAGGTAGTTCAATATGTGTGAGGATTACCCCTGAACTAGATACAGGCACCCCCAAGAGTGCTTGGGGTTGCTCTAGATTCACCCAGGTGGGGCAAGAGGATGTTCTGAAAGAGATGGGCTTCCAGAAGCTGGAGGGAAGTGTTGAACGCAGCCATCCCAAATAGAGAAACCTTAGGATGGCTGGGCATGGTGGCTCACGCTCGTAATCCCAGCAATTTGGGAGGTCGAGTAGGGCAGATCACCTGAGGTCAGGAGTTTGAGGCCAGACTGGCCACCATGGTGAAGCTCTGCCTCTACTAAAAATACAAAAATTAGCAGGGGATGGTGGCAGGTGCCTGTAATCCCAGCTACTTGGGAGGCTGAGGCAGGAGAATAGTGAATCGCTTGAACTCAGCAGGTGGAGGTTGCAAAGAGCCAAGATCACACCACTACAGTCCAACCTGGGCGACAGAGTGAGACTCCGTCTCAAAAAAAAAAATCAAAAACAAAAAACACACCCCTCTACCTTAGGGCATATGAGGGAATGACAAGGGGGAGATCCCAGCCATGGGAAGAGTCAACTTAAGACAGCGGCTGCACCCCAAGGGGCAGTGTGTCCCGGCCGCCATGGTGCCAGCCCAGCAGGATGCCTCCCGCTGCCTCGTCTGTCCCCGCCACCCCTTCCCCACCATCGGGAGTCCTGGAGGGTGTCTGTCCTGGCTGGGAGGACCAGGCACTGAGCCAGGAAGGAGGGAAGGTGACAACTTCTCGCCCGGCCCAACTGCAGTCCTGCCCACAGCCCCAAACCTGCAATGTGGGATGGAAAACCGCAAACGTGAATGGAGTCCAGAGCTGTGGCAGCTGTAGGGGAGAGGAGGACTGCTTGTTTCAACAACTGATTGAGATGATGCTTTGTGACTTAAAAAACCATAGGACATTTTGTAATTGACCTCCCCAGGAGAGGAGCAAAACACGCAAATAATGTACAAGGGTGATGGGCAAAATCTCAGCCTTATTGGGGCACCCACACGGCTCCATCCACAGAATGGAAGCACCAGCATCAGCTGCATGGCAGGTGCTGTTTCCAAAGCTCCTGATGGATACTGGTCAGTCCTCACACTCATCCTGTGAGCTGGGCAGTAACATCATTGCCTTCTATAGTCAGTGAGGCCCCTCCACCGGCCCCAGCTTTCACAACGAACAAGTGGTGGGTCAAGGAATCCAAGACCTACATCTTTGGCCACAGAGTCAAGGAGGCCAGTTACCAATTGTGGATGAATGAGACCCGTGGGGCCTGCTGAGGGAGTCTCTGCAGATGGATACAGGATCCTATGTGCTGTTGTGTGGGTGACAATACAACCATGAGGGACCCAGGGGTCATGGAGAAATGAGAAACGGTGACACATTTTGGGTGCAGGAGAAGATGCTTCAGTGAAGGATATCAAGGGATGGTTGTCAGAAAAAGCAGGAACATAAATTCTGATCACAGGATCTCCTTGGTGATGCCAGACAGCCTTCGGTGTACACAGGCGGAGGTGACTTTCTCCAGCCTTTTGCCACCCCAAGCACCCCCACAATACTCACTGACACC
Organism: Homo sapiens; assembly: GCF_000001405.40. Taxonomy (NCBI): domain Eukaryota; kingdom Metazoa; phylum Chordata; class Mammalia; order Primates; family Hominidae; genus Homo; species Homo sapiens. Next base: position 49,211,771 of record NC_000022.11, on the reverse strand, counting down.
CCCCTGTCCTGGCCAGATGGAGCCCGGATCTCTTTTGGTCTCACCCTTAATATTCATCTGAAAGTTACATTTTCCCCCAGAGATTGATGTTTAGCACAGTTTCTACCCATAACCCTGCACCAACAGGATCCAAGCACTGTTACTATTTTTCATGGTGAGAGTCAAGGACAGCCTAAAATCAGCCTTCTGCCCACTTGATAGTGTCCCAAAATTGTCAGTGAACCCTCAGTGAGGCCACTCTCTCCATCCAGACTGGCTGCCAGCCCCCTCCAGGCTCTGATGAGCAGAGCCAACCTCTCTCATGGCCCTGACCTGCCCTGGGAGCTGGAAGTGCCAGGCCTTGGAATATCTGCCTCCCGTCTGTAGCCCGCAGCTCTGATGCTTCAGAATGGAGTCTAACTCGCAGTTAGACAGGCATGTGAGTGACTTTTGGCCTCCAGACCCGCTTGGCTTCTGGACATTCAGCATGGCCTCAGAGGGGCTAAGAACGTCCATTCTGGGGCTGGATGGTTGGGGTTCAAATCCCACCTCTGCCTCTTGCTGGCTCTTTGCCTGGGACAAGTCACCCAACCTCTCCATACCTTGGTTTCCTCAACTATAAGCTGTGGTCATACTTGTACCTGTTTCTTAGAGTTTTTGTCAGGGCTGCCTGAGTTAACACGAGTGAAGCCCACAGTGTTGCCCGCCATGGGCTGAATGTTGTGAGTCTCTGATTATTAAAGGCCACTGTTATGAAAAGGGAACACCCTGACACCGTGTTAGAGAACCACACATGGTGCTTTTGTCTCACTTCATTTAAAAATTGTAAAAAGTTCTTCTTTCCATGTGTTTGTTGAGATACATTATGATTTCCTCTCAAGGTCCATGTTAAACTAAAAATGAAGCTCAAGTATTGACTGACACAGCTGTAAGGCCAAGCCAGGCCCCTGCGTCTACTTCACGCCTGATCTTCACTGGGCCATGTTCAACGCTGGGCCAACCTCGCCCCAGGCTCTGTTTGAGGAATCTAATGATGATGACCAAGACCAGGCACCCTTGTGAGGTCACAGTCCCCCAGAGAAGCAGGAACTCCCCTTCTGCCAACATCAGTTCAGAGTGAGAGTAATGGTCCCAGAGATGCGGATGTTCATCCTCGTGAGTCCTCTTGGAAACCATGAGTTGTCTAAGTGCTAAGAAAATGTAGACAGTATTCTACTGCATTAAAAATTATGGCCGGGCATGGTGGCTCACGCCTGCAATCCCAGCACTTTGGGAGGCCGAGGTGGGTGGGCCACGAGGTCAGGAGATCGAGACCATCATGGCCAACACGGTGAAACCCCATCTCTACTAAAAATACAAAAAAATTAGTTGAGCGTGGTGGCAGACACCTGTAATCCCAGCTACTCGGGAGGCTGAGGCAGCAGAATCCCCTGAACCTGGGAGATGGAGGTTGCAGTGAGCCGAGATTGCGCCACTGCACTCCAGCCTGGGCGACAGAGCAAGGCTCCATCTCAATATATATATATATATATAATTTATGGCATCCAATTGTCAAGATCTAATCGTCCTACAGGGAAGTGGCTTGAATGTTCCTGCTGCTCTGTCCATTCTAGACATGGATCAATGGGAAATACAAAAGATTTGGGATGAAAGCGATTGAGCAGGAGGAAGCACACACATTCCCGACACTGAAGCAGGGCCCCTGGGCTGTAGCTCCCCTCCCCCACCCCTCCAGGGGCTGCCCGGCTGTCCTGGCATCCAGCCCAGAAAAGCTGCGCTCCCTGGGAACGGCTTGGAGCAGATGAGCGCTTACAGCATTGCACCATCCTGGTAATTCATTAATGACAGCGCAGCACAGCGTGGGCAGCTTTCCTGTCGGGGTGCGTTCTACAGGAGGAGAGCTTGTTTGCTTCCAAAGTTTATAAGCTGAAAATAGGAAAGGAAATTATTCTAAGGAAGTAGCAATCCTGCCCCCAAACAAGGAAACTTCTAGAAATTAAAGCATAATGGAAGAGAAGCGGCTTGTCTTTCTCCAGGCAGGTCAGCCTGAAGTGGGAGACATCTCTGCAGAAGCCACACAGCCATTCCGCAGCCATGGAGGGAGTGTCTGCTGTGCATGGGTCACTGTCCTGGGGCCTGGAGCTCCCTGGGGAGACAATGACCAAGGCCCAGGCCTGGTGGGATTTGCACTTTAGCGGGCGGAGGTAGGTGGAGAATATGTCATTACAGAATCACAAACTAAGCCTCAGGATGAGAGGCTGGGGTGCAGAGGTGCAGAAGGCCTCATGTGGTGGCAGGGGTGTGCACAGTGTCCATAGGTGTGGGGGTTAAACGGCAAATGAGCCCAGGGCCCTGTCACAAGGCCGTCAGGGACCTGGTAAGAATAAGGGCAGGCAGCACATCACACTTATATGGAGAGCGCCGTTTCCAAGGGGTTGAGTCTATGAATCAACTTAATTATCATAACCATCTTACGAGGTCTCCAAGGTCTACGTGACTGTCCCAGGGTCTCACAGCTGGAAGTGGTGGAGCCCAGATGAACTCACACGTCTGGCTACAGGGTCCATGCTGTGTCTACTGGAAAGACACGGAGAAAGCCCCTGCAAACGGCTCCAGAGAGGGCCAACAGTGAGTGCGGCAGGTGTGTGTGCCGCCCCCTCTGCCAGCCTGGTGGAGGTGAGGTCAAGCAAGGCATGGAGTGTAGTAAGAAGGTGACACTGATGGCCAAGACCCGGCATGTGAATGAATGAATGAGTGAAAAAATGAATGCCTGATGCACGGGTGAGCAGAATATGAATCTGGGGCAGCCTACCGAGTTAACGAAGGAGGTCACCCTGCCCAACAAATGCTTCGCGGCTCTGCAGCGGGGGTTCCCTACCCCGCCGCTCCCTTGCTTCCCTGACATCTTCAGCACCTGGGACAGCTCCTGCCACCCCTGAGGGTTCAAAGGCACCGAGCCTGGGGCAGAGAAGACTCAGGTTTCTATTCCTTTTCACAACAAGCCTCCACAGCCTTTAGTTCAATTCTCACAATCCCAAGAGGCCAGTGACGTTTCCTCTCTCGACAGATGATTTCACACATGAGTTTATTAACATAATTTTAGGCCATAAGTCTTTTTACATGAGCTATTTACTATAAAGGCAACACAGTAAAACCCAGTGTTCCACACTTGCTGGGCAAAAGCGAGGGAGGTGGTACACGTGTGATTCCAGCTCGCTGTGATCTGTCCATGAGGGGTGGGGTATATGTGGAGAAGGGGAGGAGGACCCTGAGGCTGGGACACGGAGACAGGTCTAGGCCTCAATGATGAGGTGCCTGGGAGGGGAAAGGGACAGAGAATGCAGCCTAGGGTCATGGTCTGGCTCTCGTTCCCAGGGGAATTTTTACATTCCTCCCTCAATTATCATGCCTGAGTTGAGGTCTGTGGCCTTTGGGGTGGCTGATGGACCCCACAGAGGGGCCAGGCCACTGGGGGAGAGGCACCCAGAGAAAGTCTTGGAAGCAGATGCCCCCCTGCCAAGCTCACTGGACTGTGATGTCTAGGGCCATCTAGGGCCACTCCTGAGCCCAGGCACAATGTGGGCACTGCCTGTGGGGGGTGGGCTGCCCAGACACTGGGAATGAGCTCAGGGTCCCCCCAAGACCCGGCACGAATGGCAGCTGCTACTCCCACACATGATACCTGTCCCTGTGTGGCTGCTGGGACCACAAGGAGCCTGGAAGAGCTTCCTCCCCACTTCTCTCTGAAAGCTGGATGCAGCTACAAACCACAGCCCTGAGGTTCCCTGATTTGTTTTCTTTGTGGGAAAACTTTGAATGAGAACTGAGGGTGTCTCTGGCCCCCATGTCCCAGGCTCATCAGGTTTTGTTCCTCAGCCTTGGCTATGGCTCCTTAGAAGCCATCAGGCCTGGCTCCGTGGCCTTCGAGGTTTGGGAGCTGACAATTTTGGTTACCAGGCAACAGCTGATTTTTCATAACCAACAAGTGCAATGCCACACATGATACATTTATCAGATCATAACGCGGCTTCCCCACACCAGCACAAGCTGATTAAACCCCAAAGAGCTGCTCTGCAAAGAACGCAGGCACCCTGAGTTAGGCAGGACCCCAAGATACAACTCAAAGGGAGAAGCCCCCAGAGAAGAGGATGGGAGACCCTCACACCAGAGTCCAGCTGTCGCCAGTTGGGTCCTGTGGCTGAGCTTCCATGGACGCCATCTGCCATTCAGTGTCGGTGGTGGTGGACATGAGGCCCGGGGAGCCGGATGTCGTGAAATCCATGGGCTCCTCCTCTGACTGTGGCTTGTGAGCCAGAGCCTGTGGATTTAACCTCTTCTGGTTCCTTCCCCCTCCCTCTCACTCTCTCGGGAAGAAAGGATCACCTACCTGGAGGGGCATTGTCTCTTCAAGACCAGGGAAACCCACGGCTCTCATGGCTGTGGCTGCCATGATTTGGGGATGAGTGGCTTTCCAGGACTCCTGGTGCCTTGCAGGGCTGAGGGTCGGGCTTGCTGGGCCTCTGGACAAAGCTGGACTCCAAGGCCCCATCTGAGGAGCCACAGAGAACTGGTTTGGAGACATCTGGGTGATGAGCAGGGGGCCCTGCAGCCATAGTCCCGCCTGTGACCTTACACATGGGAGTCCATGGAGTGTGGGCATCCACACCTCCTGCACCTGAAGGAGAGTTGAGCAAAGTCTTCCTGGGAGGGCGTGACACCTGCCCCCTCTCCAGGCCCCCTGGTTTCCCTGTAAGAAAATAGCCATTCAAGGGCTCTTCTGGGCCCCCTCCTACCTAAATAATGGAGCATCCTGAGGCCATTTCCAAACAGCCAGGACAATGCTGGGAACACCTTCAGTGATTTGTCACCACGGCTGACCCATTTTCGGTGTCTGTCCTTGGGAATTCTTTTATGGCTCCTGATAAATTCCTTCTGGAGAGAAGACAGGGAGGCGAAGGAGGTGAAAAAGCATTCAGGTTTTCACGAATACACAGCAGCACCCTCACTATGGAAAACATTTAGAAGGGGTTGTCTGTTTTTCATAAGACGCTCCCATGCTAACTTTGAGATGGTGGCAGGTGTGTTTTTCCTTTAGGACAGTGATTACTGAACCATGAGTCCAGTAGCGAGTTGGAGATTTCCACGTAGAGATAGGCATGTCCACGGAGGGTGTGGGTTAGCACGGGGGAGCCCATGAAGGGATGCAGTCCTGGTAGCGCACGCAGCACACTTCACACCTCACAGACACTTAGCGAGAGCGAGGCAGGCAGAGGGAGGGTGGCTGGAGGCAGCGGGAGGCAGCTCTGTGCGCTGCTGTGTTAGTAGGTGGAGGAGGCATTGCACGCTTTCACTGGGGGATGACAAGTTCTTGTTGAACTTGAAGGATATCTTCATGGCTGCTGAGGGACAGCTGACGTCACACTGAGTAACAGATGTAAGTCAGCACTGTCTATGTACAGAGCAAGTGTCTGGCAGGAGGTGGGGGACTCAAAGGTAAATGAGACAGAACCTTTGAGGTTTCACGGATCAGCATCGGGAGGATGGATCAGCGTCTGGAGGGTGCCATGACCAATGGTTGGCTTAAACAACACAGATTTATCCTCTCACTATCCTGGAGGCTGGAAGTCCAAGATTAAGGTGTGGGTGGGGCTCGTTCCTCCCAAGGCCTCTCCTTGGCTTGTAGACGTTTTCCCCTCCTTGTGTCCTCACACAGATGTCCCTCTGTGCCTGTTCTGTGCCCTCATCTCCCCTTCTTATGAGGACACTAGTCATATTGTGTTAGGACTCACCCAAATGACCTCAGTTTAACTTAATTACCTCTTTAAAGACCCAGCCTCCACATACAGTCACATTCTGAGGAGCTGGGGGTTTAGATCTCAATACATGAATGTGGGGGCAATTCCAACCCTCACCCACAACCTCACACTGGGTTGCAGGAGTCCCTACTGCCTGCTTTGTCATTATCAGAGTGGCCCCACCAGCCTGGAGAATGAGCCACGTCCACCCCTTCCTCCCAGCCTGGAGGATGGATCATGTGCACCCTGCCCTCCCATCATGGAGGATGGATCACGTGCACTCTGCCCTCCCAGCATGGAGGTCGTATCAGGTGCACTCTGACCTCCCAGCATGGAGGTTGGACCACATGCACCTTGCCCTCCCAGCATGGAGGTTGGACTGCCTCTACCCTGCCTTCCCAGCATGAAGGTCAGGCCACGTGCACTCTGCCCTCTCAGTATGGAGGTCAGGCCACGTCCACCCTACCCTCCCAGCATGGAGGATGGACCTCATGCACCCTGCCCTCCCAGCATAGAGGATGAGCCACGTGCACCCTGACCTCCTGGCTCCTCCATGCCTCCTACCCAGCGACCCTCCCTCTATCCTGCCTCAGTTCTCAAGGGACAATGACAGGACCTGCCAATGTCAGAAACAGCCTTATCCCCACCTTGGTTCCCTGGGTCCCTCTGGAATTATGGGCCTTGTCTTGGTCCTTCCCTGTACCCCTAGTACCACCCCCTGCCAGCTCCTTTGGTTTCTCTGCTTCCCTCTCCTCCTTTCTCTGCTCTGGATCCCAGCAAATGCCCTCCATGCCATCTTCCTCCCCTTTCACATGCTGGCCTGGCAAAGCGTTAGTCCCAGATGAACCTCCAGACCTCACCACCAGAGCTGGGTGATATCTCTGCAGAGCAGACATGATGCTGCCAGCCCCTGCCAGAGCCCCCCATTACTCCACTGCCTTCAGGGGTCAGTGTGGACCCTGCTGCCCAGCTGAGGCCCGCCTGAGTGTCCCAGCCACAGGGCAGTGCAGAAGGGGAGGAGGGTGCCCAGATAGGAGGCCGCTGGGGTCACCTGGGGGCCCATAGAGGCGACCTGGATTAGGGCAGCGATTGAGAAATCCAGTGAGCTGGACAGACTGGAGAGAGATGTGGGAGAGAGAAAAGCATCTGGGAAAGCGCAGGACGGTGAAACACCCTGAGTGTCCTGACACGCGTGGATCACGAAGGCCAGGATGGGAGTGGGTCGCAGGGAAAACGGGCACTGGCAGGGGCTGCGGGCGGCTCCTTCACACCCCGAAGCCCTTTCAAATCCTGGTAATGCTATTGCACCACCGTAAACATAATTATGAAGTTAAAATTACTGAAAACAATATCGCGCTGCTTGTTTTATGCCCAGCGAAAGTCACATTGGGACGTCAGCTTTGGATAACTGGAGAAGTGGTGCTGAGATCAATGCACAGAGCCGCGCTGCACGCGGAGCTGAAACGACCTGCCCCGCCACGGTCAATACCGCACAATCGTGATCATAAAGTAGAGAGGGAAGGAGCCTCCGGGGTCACCCAGCCCAACCCCTTCATTGAACGGCTGAGGAAATTGAGTCCCGGTGAAGGGAAGCAGGTGGGCCAAGGTCACCCGGCACTGGGGCCGAGGAGCTGAGAGCAGCCTCCATCCGATTCCCGGGCAGGGCTCACTTCGCGGCAGATGCCCCTTGAACACAATGAGCATTTCTCTGTCTTTCCTCCCATTAGCCCCGACTCCGGGTGCTTGGGAAGCCCGGGGGGACCGTTGCTATTGCACATATTTGTTGAGAGATTGACTTACGACTTGATAAGATTCCCAGCTGCACCTGAGGTCCAGCCCAAGACAGACTCACACAGAGTGGCCTTCACCTCCCACAGGAGGGAGGCCAGGAGCCCTGAGGCTGACCGCAGGGAAAAGCAGCCACAGAATCCCCACGACGTGAAGCGTTGCATGGAAGTGTGTTTTCCATTCGCAAATACTCTGGGTTTATCATGCAATCTGCCCTGGGCAGCTGCCCTTTGAGTATCATTGTGGTGCTCTAAAGAATTCAGGCTTCTCACTGTCAACTTTCTGAAGCCAACCGGCGTTGCGCAGAGCTGGGTGTGTCCAAAATGAGACATAGTGTGGGCCTGTGCGTTTAATCCCTATGAGATGAGGCCTCCAGAGCTTAATCAGCTGCATTTCCCTTTGACACACACGCAGGTTGAATTGAATATTGTCGCTTTTGTTCGGGGAAGATAGCAGAGGCTGAAGCAACTGTCGGAAGCTGATAATGATTCAAATTGTGCTCTTGTGAAATGAAAGTGGTCTGGAAAAATGAAGGAGGCAGAGAGAGGGCAGGTTGGAGCAGGGAAGGGATTCTCCAGCCCCCGCGCCGGCAGGAGGATGGCCTGGTGTAAATAAAAGGCGAACCAGGAGGCGCCCCTTTGGAGTCTAAACTGAGCCGATTTTCCTGGCGGCCGAAGCAGGCTGCAGAGCGCCAGTGGGTCCCGCCTCCTGGGAACTGCCGGCTCCTTTCCCTGCTGGATGACACTGTTTGATCAGATTTTATCGCAGTGACAACCGACCGAGCCTTGTAGAACCTGCAGCACAGACGATTTATCATCTTAGATGAAACCCCCTTCCTTCCTCTGCATCTTGAGGAGCCTCGTTGCATGGAAACGCGTGGCGCGGTTCTACAGCTCCCCCGCAGCCGCGATGGCGTTCCAGGCCTCCAGCAAGAAAGGGGCCATCCATAGAAAAGGCAGCTTCAGGGCCTCAGGCTGGGAGCCCACCCGGTGCCTGAGGGCGCAGAGAGATGGAGGCTCCAGGCTGGCAGTGTGGACGGCGGGGCTCAGGTGGAGGCCTGCCCCGCGCAGTCACCAAGCGCTTTTGACTCACTCTCCACCGGCTCCCACGTGGCACGGTGCCCCTGACCTGGGGAGTGGGGCATCCCACGCTTGTCTCTCCTTAAGTCTTTAGGTGATTAATATAGAGATCGTGCAGATTTAGTAAAGAACAAACGATGTAGATACATAGGAAACAAAACAAAATCCAGGAAGGCAGCGAGAAACAGCTTTTCCTTCTCTGCACTGTTGTCAGGTGATGGGGACAGGGAGTGTGGAGGTAGCTGCAGGCTCTCTAACCACACAGCCCAGAGGCGCCCTTCACCATCTCTTTCTCTGCCTAAGGCTGAGGCTGGGATTTTTTTTTTTTTTCAGACGGGGTCTCGCTCTGTCGCCAGGCTGGAGTGCAGTGGCGTGATCTCGGCTCACTGCAACCTCCAGCTCCCTGGTTCAAAATATTCTCCTGCCTCAGCCTCACAAGTAGTTGCGATTACTGGCACGCGCCACCACGCCCAGCTAATTTTTGTATTTTTAGTAGAGACGGGGTTTCACCATGTTGGCCAGGCTGGTCTCAATCTTCTGACCTTGTGATCTGCCTGCCTGGGCCTCCCAAAGTGCTTGGATTACAGGCGTGAGCCACCTCGTCCAGCCTAGGTGTGTCTTTAAGGCCCTCCCTCCGCTCCATGGCTGCACAGACGTTGCTCTACAGCAAGACATTCCGCAGGGTCCACGGAATGCACAGCTGGGCCTGAGCAGAGGTGGTGAGACCTGCAGCTGACAGGGTCTATCCTGTGAGAAGGGGATTTCATACTTCAGTGATAAAACTTGGAGCAGGCCGGGCATGGTGGCTCACACTGGTAACCCCAGCTCTTTGGAAGGCTGAGACGGGCAGGTTGCTCAAGTCCAGGAGTTCAAGAATAGCCTGGGAAACATGGTGAAACCCCATCTCTCCCCAGAATACAAAAAAAAAAGCAGGGTGTGGTGGCGTGACTGTAGTCCCAGCTAATTGGGAGGCTGAAGTGGGAGAATCGCTTGAGGTCTGGAGGTGAAGGCTGCAGCGAGCTGAGATCCTGCCACTGCACTCCAGCCTGGGTGACAGAGTGAGACCCTGTCTCAAAAATAAATATATAAAAATAATAAAAAATTTAAAAAAACTTGGTGCAAACATAGACGGAGAGCTGAGAGTTGTCTGTGTGTCCTTCATTAGCACTGAACAAGGGAAAGAGAAGCAGACCAAACCCTGAGTGAGTGCAGAAGCAACGTAGAGACAGCCGAATCAGGAGGCACCTGGAGCTGGAGCAGGAGTCTTCCCCAGGCCTGGACTGGCTGGGGCAGGGTTGGATGTCCATGGTTGACTTCCTTGCACAGGGCTCACGGTCACTCTGTGGTGGGGCTGGAGTGGCTGGGGCAGGCTTGGATGTCTGTGGTTGACTTCCTTGCACAGGGCTCACGGTCACTCTGTGGTGGGGCTTCCTCTTCTTGTGCAGAATCCCAGGTGAGATCATCTCCTACAGAGACTGAGCCAGGTCTGTACACCCAGGGAATCCAGCCTCTCAGACACTAGTACTTGGACAGGTGGGAAAACGTATTGGAGCTAAAGACGGTGCACAAAGCGTTTTCAATCCCACAAGGGGGGAGGTGGGGGTGGCGGCATCCATGAGGCCTCCTCAGATGCCTATGCATCTTCAGCTTCCAGCAATAATGCAGCTTCAGCCACACACGTGCAGATGCTCAGCTCTCTTTCACACACACCTGTGCATGGCTTAGGACATTAAAAAGAGGAAACCTCTGGTATTAGCAAGGCTAATAAATTTGGAGCAGGCCAGGCATGGTGGCAGCAGGTTAAAACCCAGCAGTGTTATATGAATGTGCAGGTTTTCTGACCCAGGGAGATGTGGCCACCCATGAAAGGGGCAGGCACAGAAGGGTCCCAGGGCGGGAGGGCTAGCAGTGGCAGCGTGTGACCGTCACCCGCATGTGTAGGGAGTCGCAGGAATGGACGGGCTCGCGCAGCCTCCGAATGCTCCGTGGCCATTTAACCCCGAGGAACATTTGAAAGCACCTCCATCGGCGAAGGACTTAGGACAGTCCCAGAATGTAGAAAGTACAATGATGTCATTTGCTATCTGTATTTTGAAGGTTATTTGTGATATGTTGTGTGGCAACATTAATACAGGACAAAATAGAGAAAGCAGAGCTGTAAAAAGAAAAGCGATGATTATTTCTCATGGATAGAAGACAGAATCTATGTTTTAAAAAAGAAACATTTCCATGTCACATCATAAAATATCTAAACACACAGAAGAGCTGTAAAAAACACTTGAAAAAACAAATGTAAATCACAGTAAAAACTCTTGGCATGCAATGATGACTCAATAAAAATGAAAGTAAATGATGATAACACATTACATGGATCATTCTATAATATATGGGACCAAACACGTAAGTAAATACCTACACATCAATATTCGCATACAGATAGAGTTTTATACTATATATCTGAATAAAATGACTTGTCAAACATTGATGGGAAGCTCACAAAAGTTGATACTAGGCCATAAAGAAAATGTCAAGAAATTATCAAAACATACGTTGATAAATGTATCTAAATATAGAGTTTTATACTATATATTTGAAGAAAATGACTAGTCAAACATGGATGGGAAGCTCACAAAAGGTGATACTAGGCCATAAAGAAAATGTCAAGAAATTATCAAAACACATTGATCAATGTATCTAACAGTAAAATTAATGAGGAGTTTAGTAACACAATCTCAAAGTTTGTTTTCCATGGGAAGGGTAAAAACTTCAGTAACATTAGTTCAAATAACTGGTCAGGGAAGTACTATTTTTTCTGTCATGATTGTGTGTATACGGCTAATAGAGCATTTCTGGATATTTATTCTAACAACATATAAAATGTGATAATTGGCCAAAGGTATACTTTAAGGTACATTCACAGCCTTAAGATGAAAAGAAAACAGTATATTAATATCCTGTCAATTGAGAAACTTAGGGAAATAATGGAAAATACTGAATAAATCAGGAGGAAGGGAATAATAAGGATGAAAGAAGAAATTAATAAATTAGGGAACAACTGAATTTATAAACATTGATTGTGCTGTGTACTTTAAAAAATAAAAATCTGAATTTCCTAGGAACTCAAATCATAAAGCGAAATAAAACATGATAATCACATAGATGAGGGTGAAATGTATACATTTAAGCTGTATACAACTGTCAGCATATTCTAATAAATTAGGAAAAAAGTTCGATACATGTATGCTATTTCCAAAAACAGAAATGATCAAATGGGTTCCAGGAAATGGAATTCCCACAGGGCTCCCTCTGCCCGACTCCCAGGGCAAAGGGGAAGAGAGTTAGGTTCAGAGCTGACTGCCTAGAGATACTTTGTTGAGAAAGTAGAGAAAATGCCATGTTAAAATTGTTAGCAGGAGGGCTGTGCATGTCTAGGGTAAGCCATTGCCCGGCTCGTGGTGAAGGTCCAACACCTCTCTGTTGAATGAGTTGGGTAAGTGGATGGATGAGTCATGGTTGGCAGAAGGGACAATGTTTAGAAAAATCTTCACAGTGGATGGATTTGTGTGGGCAGCCAGTCACAGCTCAGGTTAGGAGCCCCTTCCCCGCTGCGTGGAACAGAGCTCACCCTGCTGCACTGCACCAGCCCAACTCTCCTCTCTGAGCAGCAGCCAGAATTAGAGAGGAAAAAAATGCCTTGGACCTTCACTGTCGAGGCTGAGAGCTTTGCTTGACCCCAGAAGGCATCGTGGCGACCAGGAATTGATCAGTTCTGCAAGGAGTGGTGTTATGGGTGGGAGGGACTGGAGGTGAGAGAACAGGAAGTAGCTGGGGAGGGGGAGGCAGAGAGCCCTCAGGGAAGCCTCCTCAGGGCAGGGGTCTGACCTGACCCTAAAGTTCTCCCCAAGCTCCACGTGACTCCACGCCCAGTCTGCGGGGACCTCGTCTACCCTGAGTTGCAGAGGGGACTCATTTCCAGGGCCTCTTTCTGTTTTCAGCTTCCCTTCTCTCAAGGGGACCTGTCTCTTTGGGCTCCCATGTAAATCTGCACCATTCACGATGCTACATTTGCATCTCCACCCATTGCATTTTTATAATTATTAGTTAATTGTTTCCCTAAAAAATAAAATGGTGAGCTACACGGAGGCAAATGACTGTGTAGTTTTCAAGGTTTCATCCCAGGCTGTCCCATTTATCCAAGCATTCACCTACTGTTGAATGAATGAGTGAATACACCTCCTTCCACCCTGGCCCTGGTCCAAGGTCAGCCCCGACAGTCCGTCAAGTAGATCATGTTCTTGGGACCTCAGCCCTGGGTGGGGTCTGGAGCCCCCACTCAGCAGGTGGGGAGTTTGGCGACTTCCAGATCTGATGTTCTATGACTTTCAATCGGGGTCTCCCAAAAAGTGCTTCACCATGTCCAGAAAGGCACAGACTAGGGGCTCAGTTGGAATTGCGGGATTCTTTTTATGACTTTCCTGATACCGAGCAAAGCATTGTTGGCGTTCAAGCTTTCTTAGAGAAGCCTATACGTGGCTTGATGCACACACCTGATTGCTCATTACCTGTGGGGTGGATTCCAGGGAGGCGGCCAGTGTGGGCCCCACACAGCAGATGGTCACGGAAGCGCCTCCCTTCCAGCTGGGCGTTCTCTAGTCCACCTCACTGGAGGGCTATTTGATTCCACCTCCTGGGTTGATGGATGCATTTTTGTGCCTTCAAGCTTTAGGGGTTGGGGTCTTTTCATCTTCTCCCATCTTGATCACTCATGAGAAGACCAGCCTAAAATTCACTCAGCCACGATAGAAAGACATTAGCACTGCTTTGTTTGCCCCACATCTGCCTGTGGAGTGAGGACGGCCCTGTGGCTGGCTGCCCGCTAAACGGTGAATGCTGCCTCCCCAAAGAGCAGAGACGCAGCCCCCGTACTCCCCTCCCTCACCTAGTGCCACCTCCCAGGTGCGATGCCGCTTGCCCCTGACGTGATGTGAAGGCGGATTTTCCCAATTTGTTATCTCTATTGCAGCTTTTCCAGGAGCACTTCCACCCGGGGAGGGCTGACACAGGGAGGCTGGGTCTGGGTGATAAATGAGAGACCACCTTCCCTCATTTGTCTTTGTTTCGTGTTTTTATTTAATGATAAGGGAAACTGGTCTAATACAGGATGGAGAAGGGAATAGCAGAGTCAGCACGCACTTCCACCTGTTCTACTTATGGCTCCTCCTGGCTGGAGCAGCTGAATTAGAAAGAGCTCCTTCTGCAGAAACACGGCTGGGAGCCGGGTGATTAATGTTGTACTGGGGAATCGCGAGGCAGGCGGCAGGGAGGCAGTCTTGTTAGGAAGAGCTGGAGCTGGGCCGGCTTCCCGCTGGCGCATCTCCCCACACTCCTGAAAGTAGCCTGCCGGTTCCCAGCGCCTTCTTGGGGATCCTGTTGGAACGAGAACCTGCTCACTTCCCCTAATCACCCGAGCACTCTTGCTGCATCCTGCTGTCCGCACTCAGCACCGCCACCAATCACAGGGAGTCCTGGCAGTGCTGGGGTTTCTGTTTCGAAGTGGTGAACTTCTGGAGGCTTCCCGAATAATTATTCTTCAGGCATGGCAGAGGAGCAGTTGAAGGGCTGTGTGGCCACACAGGCAGTGCTCGAGACTGAACGAGTGAAAAGCTGGACGCCGACTTTGCTTGGGCACAGTGATGGCGAAGCTGCCAAGCCACAGGCGTGTGGACTGAGGCTGAGGGTTTCTGGGGGGGGATCAGCGTGGCTGACATTCCCCCAGTTCTCCAGGGCGAGTGGGATGCTCTTTACTGTTGCCCTCGGAGAAAAAGGTAAATAAAACTAGGTTTCTCGATTTGCATAGTAAAAGTCGCTGAGTGTAAAGTTAATGCATTTCTAACCTGCAGGTAATTTCCACTCACTGTGAAGCTTCAGGCCACCGGGTCCTCCCCAGTTCTCTACTCCAGGGTGGGGAGGCCCCATCGCCAGTCCTCACCATGAGCATCCAGAGCCTCTTCACTGTCTCCCTGTGTCCTGTGGAAGCCACAGTGAGCCTTTATTTATTTGTTTGTTTGTTCATTGAGACACAGTCTTACTCTGTTGCCCAGGCTAGAGTGCAGTGGCACAACTGTGGATCACTGCAGCCTCCACCTCCTAGGCCCAAGGGATCCTCCCACCTCAGCCTCCCAAGTATCTGGGACCACAGACGTGCACCACCACCCTTGGCTAATTTTTATTTTATTCTTTGTAGAGACAGAGACTTGCTATGTTGCCCAGGCCAGTCTCAAACTCCTGGGCTCAAGCCATCCTCCCAACTCGGCCTCCCAAAGCACTGGGATTACAGGTGTGAGCCACTGTGCTGGGCAGGAATCCTTTATATAAAGCAATGATGTGGCCCCCTCTACTCAAAACTCTCCAGCCCCTTCCTTCCTTGTCAGGACACAGCCAGTTGGGTCTCAGGTCCTGGACGCTGTGCTGCTCTGGTCCCCTCGATCACTGGGCCCCAGCTACGCCCTCCTCTGTGGAGCCGGCAGGGTCCTCTCTGGTCCCCTCAGTCACTGGGCCCCAGCTATGCCCTCCTCTGTGGAGCTGGCAGGGTCCTCTCTGGTCCCCTCAGTCACCAGGCCCCAGCTACACCCTCCTCTGTGGAGCCATCAGGGTCCTCGCTCACTGCTCCTTCAGCTCTGTGCCTTGCAGGACCCCCGGCTCCACGCATCCTCCCCCAGGGCTCTGCCAGTCTTTCTGAGTGACTGCTTTCTGTCTCCTGAAGCCCAGCAGTCCTCCTGAGATGAGATTCTCACATAGACCTGGTCCAGGGGCCTCCTCCCAATCTCCAAGTGGGGTGGACATCGCTGCCCAGGGGCCTGGGAGAGCTGGGGCCGGTGTGCCCAGCGGGACACAAACCACAGTCAGGGGAGGTGGCTTCGTGACCGAGGTTGCACCCAGCAAGGCTGCTCCAGAGCCACAACCTTAATTACGTGCCCCAGACGCCAGGCCTGCAGCCTGTTTGCTGATGGTGACTGGAGCACCGGTTTCCAGAGCGTGGCTTTGGGTGTGTGTCCTTCTCACCCGTCAGAAGCTCCATCAGCATGGCCCAGCCTGACCTCCTGTGTGACCTCACATCGGGGGCTGCGGGATCCAGCACTCTGGCTGTTGTTCTCCCCTGGGACCCTTCTCCTCACACAGAGACCACGCTGGCAGGGCGGTCGGAGGCTCAGTCTCGGGAGGAGTGAGCGGGGCAGCACTCACCAAAGGACTCGGCGCAGCCAAAGCCCCATAGCCACCCCCAGACAAGGGAGGTTGCCCGGATGCCACCATGGCTCACGGTTCCCGGCTGGGCCCTCCCTTCTCTCTGAGCACCTTCCCAAGGCCACCCCACCCTCATCCACTTCAGAGTTTCAGCTCTGACCCCGCCTGCAGCAGCATGATGTCCCAGCAACACTCTCCAGTCACAACCCTGCTCCCCATCATATCCCATGGCTCACTCTTGCCTTCCACGCAGAGCGGCAGGGCCTCCTCCAGGCCTTAGTCCCTCTCTGCCACCCGGGCTCTGCTGAGACTGAGGCCCCCGGCTCTTGATCCTCTGTCCCCATGGTGGAACACGGACGGTTGGATCTATCCCCTGCCTGCACGTGAGGTCCCCGCCCACCCTGATCTATCCCCTGCATGCTCATGAGGCCCCCGCCCACCCTGTGTCTTTGCCGCTCAAGGTCGGCTTCTTTTCCCCTGGGGTCCAACCTTGGCCATGTCCACTCCACACCAGGACACCCTGCTTTGAGGCTTCTTGGCTGGGACATTAACTTTAGAGGAGTGAGCGGGAGGATGGGCTTAGAAGAGTTTCAGAAACACAGCACAAAGCAAGAAGTCAAGCACAAATGAAAATCTGGGTTGAAGGAATGGAGGGAACCTCAGGAAGGCTGGGAGGCCGAGAGGAAGGAGGGGTCTCTCCGTACCCTGCCCTCCCTCCCTATAAAAGTCAAAGGTCCTTTGGGGACTGAATTCATGGGATTTCCTTTAGAACAAGCAAGGTGAGGGAGGCTCTTTTTGGAGGCTGTTGGCTGAGTGAGTGCCTGAATTTCACCCTCACCCTCCAGCGAGAGGCGGAGCCGGGAGGACAAGCCCCCTCGCCCGTCACCCTCGCCTCATTCTCACAGACCTGTCTCTGGCTCCTGCGCGCTCCTCTCCGTGTGTTTTATTTATTTCAATGAAGGGACCCAGGCCTGGATCTGTCTGGTTTTTTTTTTTTAATTTTTTTTTCTTTTTGAGACGGAGTCTTGCTTTGTCACCCGGGCTGGAGTGCAGTGGCAAGATCTCAGCTCACTGCAAGCTCTGCCTCCTGGGCTTCCGCCATTCTCCTGCCTCAGCCTCCCAAGTAGCTGGGACTACAGGTGCCCGCCACCATGCCCGGCTAATTTTTTTGTATTTTTAGTAGAGACGGGGTTTCACCATATTAGCCAGGAAGGTCTCGATCTCCTGACCTTGTGATCTGCCCACCTCGGCCTCCCAAAGTGCTGGGATTACAGGTGTGAGCCACCGCGCCCGGCCCTGTCTCCATTTCTTGGAACCTTGAGTTACAAACCCTTTGGGGCACTTCCTGTGTGGGTGTGGGCAGGCCTGGGCTCCTGTGACCTCTGTGGAGTGCCCGTGTTTAGAATGTAACAGCTCCATCCATCCCCGCCCCACATCTGCTCAGCATCCACAGCTCTGCTCACAGGGCAGTGGCAGCAGGTGCTTCAGGGGACAGAAGTGACCAGAGGGCCCTTCTCTTTCGTCCTGTTCCACCTTCTAGTTTGTCGGGACTGGGCTCACGGGTGCCACCTCTGTATCACTGCACTGCAGACCTGGATGGAGGTTAGAGGAGAGGGGCCAGGCACACAGGACGAGCATCCAGACACTCAGAATGGCCGCTGGGAGGAGACGGACCAGGCACACAAGGACGAGCATCCAGACACCCAGGATGGCCGCTGGGATCCCCCGGAGGAGGTGGGCGGCTCTGGACCAGCCACTCTGTCCATCCTTCCTATGCCTCCTTCTCAGGGCTTGTGCACAGTGCAAAGGAGGTGCCACCACAGCCCTCGCCGGGGAAGCCTGAGCCCCATCCCAGGGAGACAGAACCCAGCAGAGAAAGAGGCAGCCCCAGTGCCAGCCAAGGGGAGTCCTGCACATGGAGGAACCCCAGCCTCTCTAGCAGATAGTCCAACAGCTGGGGAAGAGGAGGAGGCTACAGGGCTGGAGTGCCTACAGTCCTGGAAAGTCCACCTGCTCTAAGTCTCTTCTTCTATCCCCAGGGGAATGTGTCCTGGGAAAAAACATTTTGCATTGATACAATAGGAAAAAGTGTAAATTTACAGAGAGGCTGGGCAAGTGCTATCTGTGGAGTGCACCCTACTAATACTGTCAGGAAGGATGCTTGGGGGAAGCTGCGTTTCCCAAGGTCTGGCCTCTCTGGCTCGGACGGCAGGGTTCTTGGGGGACGTGTTCACAAGGCAACAGGTGCAGCTGCCTAATTTCCAGCCTGGGCAGGGAGGGGGTTGGCTGCAGAGATGGCACCAGTACCTGCGACCGGACAGATGGCCTCTGGGTTGGACTCTGCCCTGACACCTCTTTGCTGTCCACAGTTGCAAGACATGGTGTCGAGTTAATGTACTATTTATAATGCCGTATCATTACCAAGCTATGAGCCAGGGGACGCCTGGACCGAAGGTATGTGCCAGGGGACGCCTGGACCGAATACAGCAAGATAAGCAGTGGGTAGCACGGGACCGCCAGCATGGAGAACACACAGCCTCTGCTCTTCTTTGTCCATGCTCTCTCTGTGTGCGCCTGTGTGTAAGCAGCATTCCGGCTTCATTTGCAAGTTAGACCTGGGTGCATCGGTGATAGCTGCAAGGTCTGCTGGCGCGGCTTGACAGTTTGGTTTGATTCTATTCCTTTTTCAATAAAGGCAAAAGAAGATGCCTGTATTCTGGGTCGTCTGTCCTTATCTCCAGGACCATAGGGCAGGCACCATCCATCCGTCCACACTTGAAGGTGAGCAGCCTGCTCTTCCCAGCACCTGCCCCTGTGCATGCTTGCTGGTGTCTCCCAGGGAGGACCATGGCCCACCTCTAACCACAGCGTGCTCTGCCTATGTGGGGCTGACATCGAGCCCCTCCTGGAGAACCTGTCCACAGCCTGGGCGAGGCCACGGCTCAGAGCTCTCCTTTAATCTGCTACATGCAGATGAGAAGCTTGTTCTACTGCCAGGGTTGAAAAGAAAAAATAAAAGAACCAATCTCAGCATATTAGAGCCCAGGTTTGAGAAGAAAAAGACTTTGTACTTTCTTCAAGTCAGAATCGTTCTGGACTGTCTGGGGAGTCGGCCACACGCGATGCCCTCAGCCCCCACCGTGCCGATCGGTGGCACCATTGGCGCTTACAATCTGCCTCTGCCATGCCTCCGCGTGCCTCTTATCTCCCCAGCCAGCTGGGGCCTCCTCCAGGAGAGGGGCCTGGCTCACACTTTGAGCCCCAGAGAAGCAGAACATCTGTGGCCATGCACACCTGTTTCCCTGAACAACAGGGAGGCGTGCTCAGGGGAGCCGGGCTCCTGCGGCTTTCCCTCCACTCAACGCAAAGACAAGTCCTAGCTCAGGTCACGAGGTTCCTACGGAGCCTGAGCCCAGGGCAGGATAAAGGACGGGCCTGGACAGCCCCAGCACTGCTCCAAGTGAATTCCCGGAAGCAGCTGGGCAGTCACTGCACGTTTGACCTGCAGCTCCGGGCTCACGGAAGGCACCCAACATCCTGCAGGATGAATGACTGTGGATAACTCGGCTGTTACGCCCCATCAGGGGACCCATGTGTCTCCCCTTGCACCTGGGTTGGCCGCTGCAACCACAGGCAAGGCAGCTGCAGGCAGGGCCTCTTTCGTCATTCATTGACAGAAGCAGGAGCCACCAGACCACCAGAGAGGGACCTGGAGCTGGGGAGAGTGGTCTCCTATCAAATCATGATCGTCATCAGACCCAGGTGTTCCTGGCAATGGGTGGTGAACCCCGAGTCGTGGGTACCCCTGTTCCCACGCTGACTGAGCCGGTGTTGGTAAGGCCAGACTATCCAAGAGGGGCCCACATACTGGTGGATAAAGGAAGGTTCCCTGGCTTTCCTGCACTTGGAATTGAGTCAACGTGAAATGGAGAAGGCTTGTCATGTGGACCTCATGGCCAAGCTCTTCAGCTCTTGACATACTTCATGGAGGGAATGTCAGCAAGAGGTGACGGGAGGCTGGGGCTCCAGGGCTTCTCCCTGCCCTTCCTGTGAGGTGGGACGTGGGGGATTCCGCCGGGAGGCCTCACACCCAGAACCTGGGTGGAGCCCTCGTGCCTCTGGGCCATCTATGTTAGTGAGGCCTCCTTCAGCCGCCAGGGCAGCAGGGACCCTGGGACTTGAGCAGGGCGAGTGGACACAGAAGGCTATGCTGTCACCACGGGGGAACGAGACCACCCAGGGTCCTGCCACAGAAACAGTAATCCCTCCCCCCCTGACTTCACTGTCCCTGTCAGGGTGGATGCCGCGCTGCTTGGAGGGAGCCCTCCAATCCCGTCTCCACCTGACCTCACTCTCTTCCTCTCGGGGTGGATACCGCGCTGCTCGGAGGGAGGAAGCCCGGCTTTTCCTTCTCCCTGAGTTCGGCGTCCTCTCCTCCTTCCGAGACGGAGCTGGGACTTGTTATGTGTTGATGCAAACTTCCGGGAAATGCACAATCCACTGACATATTCAAGGGACTGAAGAGTTGGGGGGTCCCAGAGTGGGGGCTCTGCCAGCCTGCTCCGCGAGCTCATAGGTCCGGCCCCTCCCGCGTCTGCAGAGTCTGAGGTCCATACCCAGATTACCCTGTGGTCCCAGGAGTGTAGCTGATGGTGGATCATTTCCCTTCTAACCCAGGATTCATCAAAGCTCGTGGGTGGCCAAGGGCAGCCACGGGTGGCCGTAGGTTCTCACGTCTCTGTAGGGTCCCCCATCAGTGGTCTATAGGACGGGCCTCACTCAGGAATTGTCTGATTAGTTCTGAATGGGTCGATGTGGTTGAGCAGCTCCTGGTAGGAATTCTGCAGAGTGGTGTGTTCACTTCTGACTTCCTGGCATCTGCGGCCGTCCGGACAGGTTGTCCCACAGCACAGGGAAGCAGCAGAGCCTCAGGCCCAGCAGTGACCGCGATGTCTTCTCCCTGGAGAGGTCTCTTTTCCCTTCGTAATTATGACTCATCTGTAGGGTGACACCAGAGTCCAGGGGAATGACCTCCTTTCTGCCACTTTTCACCTGGGGTCTGCAGCAGCCCCTGATGATCTCTGCACAGCTGGACTCTCCCTCAGAGGCTCACATGTGTGACTGCAGTGCCACTGCGTCCTGCATGAATTAGCTGGTGTTCTTCTGAAGGGAAGACCCTTTTCTCCCTTCCTGTCTCCTTCTCTGCCTCGCTCCCTTCATCCTTCTCTGCCTCCCTCCCTCTCTCCCTTCCTTCCTTCTTTTCTATTTTCCTCTCTTATTGCTTTCTTTCCTTTTAAAAATGTTCCCAGTTTGGCCGGGCATGGTGGCTCACGCCTGTAATCCCAGCACTTTGGGAGGCCGAGGCAGGCGGATTACTTGAGGTCAGGAGTTCGAGACCACCCTGGCCAACATGGTGAAACCCAGTCTCTACTAAAATTACAAAAATTAGCCAGGTGTGGTGTCGGGCTCCTGTAATCCCAGCTGCTCAGGAGGCTGAGGCAGGAGAATCGCTTGAACTCGGAGGGCAGAGGTTGCAGTGAGCTGAGATCGTGCCATTGCACTCCAGCCTGGTGACAGAGCGACAGTCTGTCTCAAAAAAAAAAGTTCCCATTTTTATTACACTACGTTCTTGGGTATATTCTCATGTGATCTAACCCATTGCTGTCATATTTTTTTGTTCAAAATGGGCCAAATTTGGCCAGTGAGCACCTCCCTCGGGCCGGCTCCTGTGCCGTGGGACAGGGCCCACTTGTCCTTGGACACTTCTCTGCCTTCGGGAGCCGAGCGCTTCGGCTCACCTTGCTCTTCTTCTGGCCTAAGCCCTGGACTCAGCTGCTTCTCCAAGGAGCCCTCGCCGCAGTGAGCAGGACTGGCATCGATCGGCTGCGATCCTGGCACTCACTGCTTCTGCTCTGCCTGCCTGCTTTAGACCCTTTCGCTGGACAGATAGGAAAATGTATTTTGTAAAAAGCTCAACTCCAAGATCTCCAACTTCAATCCAACCCACCACAGTCTTCCTTAACTTCTTCACTCCAGAGCAGCATTTACTCAAGGGCTTCCAAGACACAGACTGCTTCTCACTGAAAACTTCACTCTCCCCCAGCCCCTGCTGAGATGGGGCCTTATCTCTGCCCTCAGGGAGGCCTCTGTAGTTCACGGTATCTTGAAGATGAGGTGGGATCCTCTAACTTATGGTTGTCTGGAAATGTCACTTTATCCAAGCACAGGGATACCCTCGTTTTTATCCTTTTCATATCACTTTGACCATGTTTTGTTCGCAACTCCCTCCTGTAACACAGACCGCAGAGGCACCGGTGAGCTCCGATGGAGGGAGGGCACACAGAAATGACTTCGTAGAGGACAGGCCTTCTGGGGAATGTGTACCCTTGAGTCACACAGGCATCAGAGGCCCCACCTGGACGCCCCAAACCAAGCCTTAAACAAGCCTGTGAATGGGAGAGCTCCGCCATAGCACCAGGCCCGGCTCCCACTGCCTCCATCTGCTCTTCCCAGAGTCCAAGCTCGAGACCCAGTGGCTGGACAATCAGAAATCCATGGACTGATGAATGAGGGCAGCATCATTCTGTTTTGATTGATAACCAGATTGGAAGATTCTTCCAGGAGACACACCTGGTACTGCAACTGCATTCCCTCCGAATCCGTGCCATCCCAAGGATGACGTAACTTTGATGGTTTGAGGCGCCCACCTTTGTTCTTGTTAATGTGAGAACCAGGTAGTGACCTAATTTGAAGAATTTAATTGAGACTGTCTCTTTGCTTTCTGCCCAGCCCTGTAGGCCCTGACAGCTTCTTATGTTTTCCCCTCTCTGACTCCAGCACATTACGCTGTGCCGAGTCAACCTAGATGTCTTTGATTTCTGATAAATGCCACTGGGTAGAAGTTCTGATTTCTACTGAAGGACGCAACTCTTTATCTCCATGACTCACATCTGTCCTTGGTAAGTCCTGTCCACAGGCCACGGCAGCCCCGTCAGCATCCTTAGAACCTCGTCCCTTGATGGGTTCTGCAGGACGCATGGCTTTGCGTGGCTGGAAGGAGCCACTGAGTGTCTGAGGAGTGCATCCAGAGCAGCAGAAAACAGAGGGCTTGCTCCATCATCCACGTGCTGGCCATTCCCCATGATGTTCAGCCCTGAGCCAATATCCCACGGTTAAACAAAGGGCTGGGAGCTGGAGAATCTCACATGTGAGGCTGCATGGGAAGAACCCAGGTCTCCGGGCAGCTGTGGTTGCAGGTACCTGTCATGCAGGGAGAAGCTTCGGTCTGAGGTCAATGCACAGAATCTCAGAACTCAAAGAGGTATGATATGGTGTGGCTGTGTCCCCACCCAAATCTCATCTTGGGTTGTAGCTCCCATAATCCCCACGTGTTGTGGGAGTGGCCCGGTGGGAGGTGAGTGAATCATGGGAACGGGTTTGGAGGGACCCAGTGGGAGGTGAGTGAATCACGGGAACAGGTTTGGAGGGACTGAGTGGGAGGTGAGTGAATCACAGGAATGGGTTTGGAGGGACTGAGTGGGAGGTGAGTGAATCATGGGAACAGGTTTGGAGGGACGGAGTGGGAGGTGAGTGAATCACAGGAAGGGGTTTGGGGGGACCTGGAGGGAGGTGAGTGAATCACGGGAATCGGTTTGGAGGGACTGAGTGGGAGGTGAGTGAATCACTGGAATGGGTTTGGAGGGACTGAGTGGGAGGTGAGTGAACCACGGGAATGGGTTTGGAGGGACTGAGTGGGAGGTGAGTGAATCACGGGAATGGGTTTGGAGGGACTGAGTGGGAGGTGAGTGAATCACGGGAAGGGGTTTGGAGGGACCTGGAGGGACGTGAGTGAATCACGGGAAGGGGTTTGGAGGGACCTGGAAGGAGGTGAGTGAATCACGGGAAGGGGTTTGGAGGGACCTGGAGGGAGGTGAGTGAATCACAGGAACAGGTTTTCCCGTGCTGTTCTTGTGATAGTGGATAAGTCTCACGAGATCTGATGGTTTTATAAAGGGCAGTTCCCCTGCACGGCTCTCTTGCCTGCCACCATGTAAGACGTGCCTTTGCTCCTCCTTCGCCTTCTGCCATGATTGTGAGGCCCCCCCAGACATGTGGAACTGTGAGTCCATGAAACCTCTTTCCTTCATAAATTACTCGGTCTCAGGTATGTCTTTATTAGTGGCATGAGAACAGACTAATACAGGGTGTATCATCATTTTTAATTTGCTCTCCACTTGATTATAATAGACAAATAAAAAATGTATATTTAAGGTATACAATGTGATTTTTGGTATATGCACACATTGTGTAGTGACTGCCACCACCAGGCTGAGTCACACTCTCATCACCTCCAGAGCTTTCTTTCACAGCTGTGTGGGGGATTCCGGGGATCTATGCTTGGCACATTTCAAGTGTCCAATACATTATTATCAGCTACGGCCACCCTGCTGTCCCTTAGAACCCCATATTGTGTTCATGCTGAATAACCAAAATGTTGCACCCTTCAAACCATATTTCCCTTTTTCCCACCTCCAGCCCCTGGGAACAGCCATTCTCTTCTCTGCTTCTAGGAACCTGACTTTTATTAATTCCACAATAAGTGAAATCATGCAACATTTTTCTTTCTGTGTCTGGCTTATTTTGCTTTATCTTAACATCCTCCAGATTATTCATGTTCTCACAAATGCCAGGGTTTCCTTCTGTTTTAAGACTGAATAGTATTCCCGTGCATGTGTACACGCATGTATGTCCACACACCCACTCTGTACAGAGTTGCAGTCGCAGTAGCAGCACTGATAGTCACAGCTGCAGTGACAGCGTCTGCTTTAGGCTGGCCAGGTGGCATCTGACAGTGGCAGCCGTGATCATGATGATTACACTGCAGCGGTGATGCCATTCATAGCAGTCATCGTGATCATCACATGATGGCCAGAGTGAGCGTGACGGCTGCCCTTTCCAAACCCTCCCGCGTGGCTGGTGTCATCCTCACTGACTGCACATGAGGACACACAGAAGTCCTGTGACTGGCCTGGGGCCATGTCGGAGGGTGTGGCTGGGGTCATGGCTGAGGCTGGAGGAGCTGCCGTGTGTGAGAGGCCAAGCCAGAACCAGCCTCCCAGTTACCCTGGGCTCTTCCCTCCTCCACCCACAGCCAGGGATGGCTGACTCCACTGCTCAGCCCTGAGGCTTCCAAGAACCTGTCCTTTGCACCCCATGTCATGAGAGTCACCTTCCAACCACCTGAGCTCCACTGACAACCCATACCAGACAGTGCTGGCCACAGGGCCCATGTATTCAGTCAAACATTACTTTGGATATTTCTGTGAAGGCTTGTTGTATATGGTTAACTCTTAAATCCATGGACTGGGTAAAGCAGATGACCTCCTTAATGTGGGTGGGCCTTGCCCAATCAGTTGAAGGATTTCAGAGGAAAAGACAGACCTCCCTGAGAAAGAAGGAATTCTGCCAGCAAGGCCTTGGGACCCCAACTGTGTGTCTCCCTGGGTTTCCATGTGAACAAATCTCTCTCCCCCACACATGTGAGTGCACATGCGCACACACACAAATGCACACACACAAATGCACACACACACAACCTTGCACACATGTTGTTGATTCTGCTTCTCTGGGGAACCCTCAATAACACACAATCTCACCTCTGTGAGAAGAAGGCTCCCAGGGAATGTCACAGAAACACTGGGTCATGGTCATAAAAATTCAACTCCTTAAGTCAAAGAAGGGAACCCAGGACCAGTGGACATGTTTCCAAACAAGGCTCAAAGATGGTTACTTTCTACTCAGCCCTGAGTGACCCAGGCTCTTCCTCACCCTCGACAACTGTTAGAATACCATGGAAGCCTCCCCTGCTAAAGAGGTGTAGACACACAAAGCACAGCACAGAGACACTCACAAACCACCTGGCCAGGGCAGAGGCTGGACTAGGACCACCATGTGATCCCTCAACCCTGGCCCAACCTTGTATCCTCCAGCCTTGGGGAATCAGCTGCTCCCAGCTCATGACTTTGTGTGTGGCCACACTTTGCTCACTGCAGAATCCCGGACCTGCCTTTGCCTCTGGGAGAGCTCTGCTGTCTGCTTCAGAGAGTCCAAGGGTCCTCCAGGACTTGTTTACTATGTGTCTCACAGTGCTCAGCAATGCTGTTCATTGTTTTCCTGACCACTCCCCACACTGAACTAAGAGTCCCTGGAGCCCAGCAAGCACGGCTACACAGAGAAGCTTAGAGAAGAGAAGGATGGATGGGTGGGTGGAGAGTGAAAGGATGAATGGATGGATAAATGGTAGATAGATGAATAGATGGAATGGTGGATGGTGGATGGATGGAAGGCTGAGTGGACTGATGATGAGTGGATGGATGGGTGAGTGAGTAAAATGATGGATTAATAGGTAGATGAATGGATGGATGGATAGATGAATGGTAGATAGATGGATGGATGGATGGATGGATGGATGGTGAATGGGTGGATGGGTGGATCGTGGATAGATTAATGGTGGGTGGACGAATGGTGGAAAGGTGGATGGGAAATAAATGGATGGATGGATGAATGGATGGGTTGATGGGTGCCTCCCAGAGGCACCATCTGTGGATACAAACACACTGGGGTTCGGCTTCAACAAGTGAATTTGGGGAGACAGAATTCAGTCCATAGCATTCAAAGAGGCTTTGTTCAGTGCAGAAGCCGTCCGAGTTTTCTGGTGACAAGGAAGTCCTAGAGCCTAGAGGCTGCTCCCCTCCCTCTGCTCCTCTGGGAAGAACCCACCTTAATCAGAGCTGTCTCTGGGTGTCCTGCCTCTCCGTTTGAGGAAAAGCTGGGATTCCCCTGGGTGTTCTAACGAAGAATGCAACGAAAGCACTGTGCGCTGTGAGCAGAGAAATGAGGTGACTAGGGGCAAACACGTCCACGGTGGGACGTGTCTGATGCGACTCGCTGGGGACGCGCCTCTCCCTGGGGACAGAGGTTGGAGGCTGTTAGCGGAGGACGGTGCTTCCAAGAGGGCTTCCTCATCCTGAAACCGGCCCTCTACCTCTGCACAGCGGCTCTGTGGGGATTTATAAATCCAGCTTTGAGTCTTCACTTGGAGTGAATCTGAGAACTGTTAGCATCTCTGATTTTGTTGCTTGATGCCAGGAACTAACGCTGACCTGAGCAACCCTTTGTTCAAAGAGATCCTTTGGGGCATTGGCTCCAAGAGGCATTTCTCTGCCTGCAGCTTCTCTTCTTTTAATCTGTTCTCTGCTGTAGAAGACAAAGCAAGGGAGAGCTGCTTTGCTAACGCTGGAGTTGGCAGTGGAACAGCTGGGCAAGAGCTGGGTCTCGGATGCCTCTGGCACGTCCATGGTGGTCAACCTGGCCAGCTGTGGCTCGGCCCCATCAAGTGGGGTGTGGGTGCCACATTGTTGGCATTCAAGATGGGACCCATGCCTCTCACTGCAGACACTTGCGGATGTGCACAAGGAACAGGCGCCGGAATGCTCCTGTGTCTCCCTGAGCACCTCACCACGGAGAATCCTACCCAGGCTCTGACGGCTCCACACTAGGGCTCCACGAGGTGTCCCTCAAATTACTGGCTGAGCAATG
Source organism: Homo sapiens (assembly GCF_000001405.40). Classification (NCBI taxonomy): domain Eukaryota; kingdom Metazoa; phylum Chordata; class Mammalia; order Primates; family Hominidae; genus Homo; species Homo sapiens. The sequence goes on along the minus strand of NC_000022.11, from coordinate 49,184,290 downwards.
CCCCCAAAAGCAAGACTGCAAAGGGATAAGGAGGAAAAGCGAAGTGAGAAATGAAGTGAGGGGGCAGAAAACCCAAATAAGGGAAGCAGACATGATGGCCCGGCAGGGACCACGGCCCCCTGGGGTGCACGAGATAAATGACTTGGTGCAAACAAACAGGATGGTGCGTCATCCCCACAGCACGCCTCCCACGCGGCAGCGTCCACCCCTGTCCTCTCGCAATTCCAGTTCCTTCTGCGGCAGGCGCCGGAGGATGCTTCTGGCTGCCTGGATGCACCATGGCTCTCCCGCTCCATAGGGTAACGCCCAGCCGGTTAACTCATCACAAAGCCTCTGCCCACTTCCTGCCTTACCACCCTCGCCTCGTACCACGCATACAGCGTGGAGTCGCGCCGCCGTGGAGCAAGCGGAACTGTGACACTCGGCTTTCACAGGGCCAAGGTGTCCTCAGCCCCGTCCTGCCCCCGGAGTCCTCAGACCAGTGGGCTCCTCTGCACCCCTCAAGGCCCCTTCCCACCCGCCTGCCCCCAAAAGTCCTCTGCACCTCCCCCATGGGGCCCCCCTGTACTTGCTGCTGTGTTTCCCAGCCCTGTGCACAAATCAGCCCCGAGCTTTCCATGGGAGGGGCGGCCCCCAGGGCCAACGGGAGCTCCAGGACGTCCCTGATGGCTGACGCTCTCCTCTGGGTCACTGAGGTGACAAATGCTGGCCTGGGGGTTGGGAGAGCAGAGCCATTGTCCTGCTTTGCTGCTGGGCTGCTCTGAGCACTGAGTGTGTCCCTTCCCCTCCTAGACTTCGGCGTCCACGTGGGTCAGACAAGGTTGGGCCAAGGCCCCTTCACTGCCCTGTAGGATGCTGCTGGGTCTACAGCTGCCACTTGCACGCCTGCCGTCCTCCGGGGCCTCCTCCGCTTTCTGTGTGTGTCGTGCGGTGGGTGGGACCCCAGTGACGCCGCGGGCCAGTCCCCATTTGTGGCCTGTCAGCTGGCAGATGGAGCAGTGCTGAGAAAAATGGCTCCATTACCCAAAACAATCACCGTCTTCTCCTTTATACTTGACGGGAGACCCTCCTGGCACGACTTCTCTATCCACCCTGCTCACTCCTTGCAATAATCCGCTGGGTGGGAGTCGTCGCCTACGCTTTGCGGATAGGAAAGCAAAAGCCAAACGAACTAGAGCTCTTGCCGGGGTCTTCGCTTGGCCCCTGGGAACCCCTTATGGCCACTGCCCTCCTTTGAGGAATCTTTCCCCAACTGCCATAACCAGCGTCCTCTGCTTCCTCCGCCTCCCACCCCTCAGTTTGTTCTGTGCCTCTGCAGTCCTTGCTGTCGAAAATTCTTTGAAACACAGATGTGCCGACATGGCTCTTACGGCCTCTGCTCAGAGGCACGCCCCTTGGTGTCAGGAGACCCGGCTGTGTCCTTCTTGAGGGCTGCCCAGCTCCTCAGCCCTTGCCGGCCCTAAGAGGGCACTTAGTTGCTGTTTGTTGAATGAATAAGTGAGGGATATATGGATGAGCGTCCCGCAGCTGTGAGGGTGGGGCCTGGACTTGCACATGGAGAACCCTCTCGGTCGCCTGCCCTGTCCCCAGGGCGACGTGGTTAGCAAGGGGGAGCACGTGGCGCCGAGGGGCTCTCAATTGCGAGCTCAAGCTCAGGGTGGGTGCTGTGCGGAGAGTTCACAGGTGAGTCAGAGGCAGTCAGACGGGAACGTGAAGGAAGACGGTTCAGGGGCTCCTTCCACATCCAGGGGATCAAAGCCAGTGGCAGGGCCGGTAGGAGCGCCGAGCGTGGGCCTTGGCATCCTCACCCCTGTTCTCTGCTGCACTCCTGGCTCTGCCTCACAGGGATGTGGGAGGAGGTTGGCGCAGATGACGGGGGAAAACAGAATTAGGCTTGCTTTGCCCCAGACTGCTCTGGATTCGAATCCATCCGGTAACGATGTTGCCCCTGTGTGATCCTCAGGGTTTGGCCGAGGCGTCTTCCTGGGCCTCATCCCTGGCAGATGCATGGCCTGCGTGGGGCTTGTGAGTTCGCCCGGATGAGGGTGGAGCTGCATGGGTGATTCCAAGGTATTGACAACTTGTGAAGTCCTAACCCCAGGGCAGAAATGGCATTCACCTCGTCTGTGTCCTGCTGACCCTGATGAAAGCCACTGCCAAGTCATTGATCGCTGTTGACCAGTTCCTGGGCCCGTGCGCCGGCTGCTGGAGCTACGGAGAAGATTCCCCAATGATGAAGAAGCCATCGGCAGAGGGGCCATGGCTTCCTGCCCACATTAAGTAGTGTGGGAAGTCCAAGCCGCCCGGACATCCTGTGTGCACAGGGTCCTGTTGGAGTTGTAATCGCACATGCTTACCCCTGGGCCTGCATGCTAGTGGGGAAGAGCTGCCGGGAGTCCAGCTTCCCAGACCAGTCCTGTGGGCAACGGTCCCTCCTGATCCCTGAGCCTGCGTCTCAGGTGGTGCTTCTGCCTCGGCCTTCATTCATGCAGTCCAGAAATGGCCAGAAAGCCTGGGGTGCCAGAGCTGACAAGACAGGAACGCCACCCTCAGGGAGCTGTGTGGCAGCGGGATGGGGCCAGCCACGAAAAAGCTAGCACAGCAGCTGCAGCGTGGACGAGGGAGTGGCGAGGCCTGGTCAGCAATGGGCAGTGTCCTGTGTCCACTCGCTGGGCCGTGGGACCCAGATTCCTGGTTCAACACCAGTGCAGAGGCCGCAGTGAGGGTGTTTCTTGGACAAACATTTAAATCAGCCGACTTTGAGTGGAGCAGTTCAGTCCCCATGACATGGGTGAGCTGCCACCAATCCGTTGAGGTGCTTAAGACAAAAGGCTGGGGTGCCCCCGGAGGAGGGAACACTGGTTCCGGGTGGCCTCAGACTTGGGCAGCAGCATCAACCCTTTATCCATCCTGCCAGCTTGGCCTGCAGGCTGTGGACTTGCCAGTACCCCCTGTCACATGAGTCAATTTCTTAAAATCTCTCTTTCTCTCCATATATGGATATACGCAGAGAGGGAGACAGCCCCTTGCTCCCGGAAATTATCATATATATATGTATAAGATGTACTAATAGGCTTTATATCTATATGTAAATACATATATCTATGTACATATGTATACATTTACATATATCCATACATATATGCATACATTCACATATATGCATACATTTACATACATGTATACATTTACAGACATGTAGCATTTACATATATATGTAAAGCCTATTTGTACATCTTACACATATATATGTATAATTGTATACCTGTGCATGGGTGTGTGTGTACATGTGTGAGTGTGTGTGTGTGTAAAGCCTATTTGTACATTGTATACATATATGTATATTTGTATATCGGTGTGTGCATGTGTGTGTACACGTGTGAGTATGTGTGTGTGTGTATCTGACTGTCTGGAGAACCCTGATAAACACAAGGACTTTGGACAAAAGTAAATAAATCAGGGAAGTGGTGTGTGGGGTCAGGAGGGAGGTTAAACCCGGTGAGGGCAGAGAACCAACAACTACATTTGCAGCACAGACATCACTGAAGGCCTTGGCGAGCCCCGTTTCCATAGAGAGATGCCGGCCGGGCAGTGTGAGTCAGGAGAAGGTGGAGACGGGAAAAGGCTACCGACTACAGGCCCCTTTCTGGGCATTTTAACGTGGTGGGGAAACAGGAGCAGGGAGGTGGGTTGAGACGGAAGTGGGATCCACAGGGGCTGGAGGACCTGGGACAGTCCAGGGGTTTTGTGAGCAGTGGGCGGGCAGAGGCGGCTTCGCCCAGCCGGAGGTCCAGGAGGTGACTGGAAGGAGCTCAGCCACTGTGCCTGTTTGATGGACGCATGTCTGAGGAGAGGCCATTCTTGGAGCTGGAAGAACTGGGGGTCCTGTGTGCTGTGGCTGGGCCATCCCCCTACTCGGGTCAACCCCAGCTAGGCTCCAGGTAATCCCACATGTGCAGAGGGAGCCTGGGGTTTTGGGATGTGCTGAGCACTCCCCTAGGTCTTGCTGCAGGCACGACCCCGTGGCCCCATGCATAGGACCTTTAGGGTGGTGAGCCGTGGGGGGAGCCCAGGACCACACTCAGGTCTTCCTGCCACTGCACGTCACTGGCTGTCTCACACACCTCCTGTGTGCAGCTGGCACCAGCTCCTGATGGCTCACCCAGCCTCCCATTCCAGAGGTGGATCTGCTTCTTGGCTGGGGCAGGCATTGGCAGAAAGCTGGTATGAGGAAGAAGACAGCTCCCTCAAAACCAGCAGGGGGTACGGGGGGACGGCGGCCTCCACTACACTCAGGGGCTGGTCATGGGTCAGGAGGACAACTCTGCAGCCCAGGGGCAACACAGGCGGGGCCAGGGCACCCCCAGGGACACAGCTGGGACGGAAATTCCTCTTAGAGGGTCCACAGCATCTCCAATTGCATCTCCATGACTCAGGGACTCAGGCTCGATATCAGGAATGAGGACCACAGTGGGGTGACCCCGTGAGCAGACCTCTCAGGGTTAGGACAGGCACTGCCTGTGCCCTCCAGGAAACGTGGGGCAGGGCTGGAGCCTGGGCGGCTTTGCTGGAACCACAGAGGCTCCCAGGCAGTGTATCTCTGCCCTGCCCCGAGGCTGGACGTGGTCCAGGACACAGTTCCCATCCCTGAGCCCCAAAAAATGCTTCGACCAGCAGCAAAGACCACAAAGAGGATCACAGGATGCTTCCCTCGTTCATAACAGGGTCAAGGACAGGAGTCCCAGAGACAGGAGGCCACACAGTGCAGCTGATGAGGGCCCGACCTCCGGGGGGACAGAATTGCCAGGGATGGTGGCTTCCCGGAGAGAGTGGGAAGCCGGGCTGTGCAGGGCTCACCTCCACAAATTCTGAAGCCACAGGCAGGGAGCCAGGGTGGGTAGCGCCTGCCGTGGCCACGGGGCCGCCGAGGGCCTGGCGGGAGGAGTTAATAGATCGCGGTGGCGCTGACGCAGCCGAGCTAATGGATGGAAACACTTGGACCGTGGGCATTAAACAAACTCGTAAAACCCCCAAAACAAAAGCTGTGCTGAGCTTCCAAAGTGACTCGAACAAATAGCAAATACAAGTCTAAAAATATTGGAAAGCTTTTAAGGTGATTGCCCCAGAGGCCCCATCCGGCCGCTCCAGCCCTCTATAAAGACATTACGCCTTTTTTCTGACATCATGGTTTTCATAAGAAAACATTTGGCAACATTTCCCGCCACGGAGCTTATCATTTTAGGTCACTTTTGGAACGGAAGGTTGATTTTTAGATAATTTACGAAACAGCTGAGGGATGAGGCGTCCTTTTCATAATGTGGCCACATCCAGCACCTGCAGAGGGGCGCCCCGCTTGGCAGTGACCGCTCAGGTCCTGTCTTCTCATTAGCCCTTAGCAGGCAGCCACCCCCTCGCCCACACTGCACAGAGGCAGGAGACCAGGCGTTCTAGGCAGGTGCGCTGTGGCTGCTCCCACCATGAGCCGTTCCGACGCTGTCCCTGTGTGGCCTCACCACGCGGCCTGCTCCATCCCCTGTGGGGAGTCCAGCAGGAGCTGCTCGATGACTAGGGAGCCAGCCAGTGTCTCGGGCCCACAGAGGATTCAGGGGCCAGTCTGCCAAAGGAGCTTGGAGGATGTTAGCCAGGGTGAGTTCTCAGAAGCCCTGGGCCCAGCGGGGAGCTGGGTCCCCCTGACCCCTGAGCAGATATCGGTCAGCTATGGGAAAACTCAGCAGGACTGAGGAGTTAACTCTGAGGATTAGTCCCCAGGGGCCCTCCTGAGGCTGGGTTCCAGAGAGCCGGACTCTTTCTGGGCTTGACAGGTGAGTGTCCACCGTCCTGAGGGCCGGTCCTCATCCGTGAGTCCTGGAGGCCAGGTAGTGCAGGATGAAGGCTGTCTGTGTCCCTGGCTGAGCGGGTGGGGCCCCCCCAGCTCCCCCATGTCGGTTCTGTGGATGCTGACCAGCTTCTCCAGTGGTCAGGTTGAGATGGACGTCGTCCATGCCGTGATGTCCAGGGCTTGGGATCATCCCAGAGAAGTCGGTGCATGAAGGAAGGGGCTGTTGCTCTCCGAGGGCTCCTGATTCAACGGTGCAGAGACTGAGCTCGGATAAGCATCTCATGGAGGCTACAGCACCCCAGCAGGCTGTGGAGAGTCCACATGGGGCTGAGAGGGGAGAACTCAGCCATGGGCACCATGGGCAAGAGCCTCTGCACCCATCTGGGCCTGGATGGAGCTCACACTGGCCTCACTGTGGGGTCCTGGCTTTGTCGGCTTCCTGACACACAGGCCACGGACTCCACGTGATGTCACACAGCATCAGCATAGGGCTGGGATTCTGAGTGATGTCCCATAGTATCTGCACGGGGCTGGGATTCTGAGTTGGTTGATGTTTGCCGGTTCCTTGGCATCCCCAGGGAACTCGACACCTCAGAATCAGGGAGGGCCAGGCCGTCCCGGCCATTCAGCCTGTGCACCAGGCATGGTGGGTGTAGGTGCGTTTTCTCCCACCCCGTCCAGCTCTAGTGGCTTCCAGTTCTCCAGGGCAGCCTCAATTCACGACCTTGGGGAGCTTCACTCCTCTCTGACGGTGGCAATCCCTTCACCATGGTATGATAAAGCCACGTTCATTAAACACCATTCACTCTGGCCTTGGTGGAAAATCTACCTGTGCTCTCTTGGTGAATTCCTTAATGACCAGGCAGTGCCTACACCACCCAGACCCCTTCATTTGGTGGGGCTTGGGGCTGCTAGTGCATGAATCTTGGAGGTGAAAGATGAGATTGTTCACTCAATGGCGCCCCTTCTCTATCTCGCGGAAACGTTTCCTCACCCATCGAAACTCATCGCCCAAGACGCTGAGGTAGAAGCTTTATTTTTCCATCTCTTTTACATTCAATGATTCTATTCATTTGTAAGAGAAGTAAGCACACCACTCCAACAGTGGAGAAAGTCAGACTGATTAAACAGGTGTACCAAACACGTAAATGTTTTTGAAGAAGGAAGGGGCAACTCTGGTGAGCCCCGCAGAGGTGCACAGGACTGTTATGAGACAGCAGTGTCCAGTCCATCACTGAGGGCACAGAGCAGGTCCCCACCTCCCTCAGCCATGGCTGCAGCTGGGGCCCTTCTTGTGCCAGCCCCAAGCCCCCCACCGTGGCCTTCATACCATGCTGATGTGTGTGTGATGTTCATGAAAGGGCTGAAAAACAGGAGGGGCTCTTCCCACCCCTGCTGCATGTGTGTGTTTGTGGGGGGACGAGAGTGCTTGGAAATCTCCTGCCATAATAGTCCTCACTTTGCGGGCTCTGGTAATAAACGCTCTTACACTTAGAAGACCGATCAACTCAACGGTGGAAGTCATTTGATGGCTTTGCTGGTTCAGCTGGCTGTCATTCCAGGCAGAGTTTGGAGCGTCTAGGCCACACCCGTGTTCACACGCACACGGGCAGGGCTTGAGTTTCTCCACTTCCTGACACACTGGGCTAGTTTCACAGTCAAGCGGAAGTGCATTTTGGAAGGAGGATGAGTCTGATGAACTTTCAGAGCAAGGCACACGGGCTCATCTTCCTTAAGGTTCAATTGTATCATGAAAGAAAGTATTCACTTCATTCATAAAATGTATTTTCAGAGACTCAGGGGTAGCCTGAATTTTGAATACTCCTTCCAGCATGTGAGGACAAGGACAGAAGGCACAGTCCATGAACCAGATCTTGGGCCCTCACCAGGCACCCAATCTGCCATGGCCTTTATCTTGGACTTGCAGCCTCCGGAACTGGGAGTCATTAATTTCTGTTGTTTATGAGCCTCCAGTCTAGGGCCCTTTGGTGTAACTGCCCAAACGAACTAAGGAAGAGACCTTCTGTAAGGAAGATGTGTTCTGTCTCCCCATCAATTTATGCATCCAATTCTTGTATTGGATCAAATCAATGCCCCGTACTTGAGTCTGTATTGATACATTGGATCAATGGATAGCCCATTGACTTGACCATTTCTACACTGTATTCCTTTGTCAAGACAAACCAAGCCACTCCTTCAACACCATGCCTACAGATTGCCTCAGCCAAATATCAAATTTTATTGTTCACAAGTTCCACCTTCCACAAAACACTAGGACACAAACACAGTTCAGCCAAGTTCTTTGCCATCGTGTAACAAGGACAGCCGTCCTTCCACTGTCTGGTAATGTGTTTCTCACTCCCACTGGCACCTTGCCAGAGTGGTCTTTATGATCCCCATTTCTGCAGCCATTCTCCTCAGGGTTACTTAGATGCTCTCTAGGAAGGAGGGGGCTTCCTCCAAGCCCTCCTTTCTTCTTTCTGAGCCCTCATCAGGATGGCGTTTGAAAGTTCATTCAGGCCAACATAGGCTTTTTATTACATGCACTTCCAGACTCTTCCGCCTCTACCCGTCACCCAGTTCTAAAGCCACATCCACATTTTTAGGTACCTATTGGAGCAGCATCCCTCTCTCGATACCAATTTCTCTCTTGGTCTGTTTGGGTGACTGTGACAAAATACCATAGACCGAGTGGCTTATAAACAACAGATATTTATGTTTCACAGTTTTGAAGGTTGAGACATCCAAGACCCGGTTGCTGGCAGATTCATCATCTGGAGACAGCCTCCTTCTGGCTGTGTCCTCATGAGGTGAAAGGGGAAGGGGTCTCTCTGGTCTCTTTCATAATGGCAGTAATCCCACCAGTGAGGCTCCCTCTCATGACTAAATCACCTCCCAAAGGCCCCACCTCCTAATACCACCACCTTGGGATGAGTATTTCTAAGTAGAAATTTTGGGGAGACACAAAAACGTTCAGTCCACAGCAAATTTGAAATAATATATGGAGCTTCTCTCTGCTCCAGGAAATGAAGCTTAGCTTCTCTTCTCTATGTGTGAGCTGGACTTCCTGAGTTACTTCCAACAAATAGAGCATAATCCAACAAATAGAGAATCATTTAACAAATATAGCATAATCCAGGAAAAAATAACTACCGTGGAGATGCCTTCACCAGGGGCGAACGTCACGTCTCCTGTTTTGAGAGGCGGGGAGGCAGCAGGATGAGCCGGGCACTTTAACTCTGGTGTCTGTCCCCCCAAACACTCAACACCAGTACAGTTGCAGGAAAAACAGGCGCCCCAGCGGAGAGACATTTTGGAGCTACAGTATTCCTCACGATTGTTAACTTACTAAAAAAAAATTTTAGAAAGAAGCAATTACAGCCTGAAGAAGCTAAGGCGACAAATAAAAGTGATCCAGTCTCCCGCATGGGGTCCTGGAACAGGAAACCACGCATTCGTGCAAAAACTGCTGATATCACAGTAAGGCATGGGGTTTCTTTGACAGCAATTTACCAATGTAAATTTTTTCAATTATGACAAATGTACCCCATGATTATGTAAAGCATTAGCGTGGGATAGTGGGTAAAGGTATTCAGAAACTGTCTGTACTATCTTTACAACTTTTCTATACATCTGAAATTACTTTAAAGTCCATTTTATATTTTAAAAGGAATCCTGGAGATGTATGAAAAAGCGGTTGCTTTTCACAAGTATATCATGCTTAGCAGAAGCCATCAGACATAAAGAGGTCAAATATTGCATTTTTATTTAACTGGAATAAGTACATTTAGCATAAGGTGATAGAAATTGCATCAGTGCTTATGTGGAGTGGGGACAAGACTTGACTGGGAGGTAGCAAGAGGGAATTTCTAAGGGAGAAGGAAATGTTCTGTGTTTTAATTGGGTGGACATTACCTGGGGAACGAACTTTGACAAAACTCACTGAAGTGTACAGTTAAAATTGGTGCATTTCATTCCGTGTTAGTGAGACCTTGATAAGTTCAATTTAACAATGTAAAGCATATATTATATTATGACCAACTGGAGTTTATTCCAGGGAAGGAAGTGTGAGTTAACATTCAAAAAAAAATCAAAGTAATACATCATAGTAACAGAAGGTGTGAAGAAAAATCTCATGATTATCTTGATGGAAGCAGAAACAAATACTGATAAAATTCAACCCTTATTCATGACTTTACAAAATAAACACACTTGGAACAAAAAAGAAATTCTTTAATCTGGTAAAAAACATCTACAGAAAATTCCAAAACAAACATCATGAGTGGTGAAATATTGCAAAAATGTCCCTGGAGTCTGCACTAAAAGGACAGCCATGGTCACCACACCTCTACTGAATATTGTCCTGGAGGTCCCATCTCTGCAGCCCACAGCAAAGAGAAATTTAAAGTATAAGGATTGGAAAGGAAGAGATGAAAGTGCTATTACTCACAGATGACGTGAATGTGTATATAGAAAATCCAGAAAGTCTACAGACAAACTGTTAGATTTTGCAAGTGATTTTACCAAGGTCACTAGATTCAAGGCCAACATAAAAAATCAATCATATTTCTTTGGAACAGCAACAAATGGAACACATTTTTAAATGTCACTGACAATAGCATTAAAACATCAAATGCCTATGAATTAAAATGGAAGATGTGAATGACATCGATAGTAAAACTACAAAACATTGCTGAGAGAGCTTAAAGAAATCTGGCATAAATGAATGGAAATAACACATTGAGGGATGACAGCATTCGGTACTGTAAAGATACTAATTCTCCCTGAAATAATCAAAACATTCCAATGTAATATCAATTAAAATCTTGGCAGTCTTTTCCCCCGGTCTTTGACAAGTTGATTCTAAATTCCATGCAACAGCTCAAAGAGACAAGAAGATTGCAGTCTTGAGGAAGCACAAAGTTGAGGATGGACCTGGTCAGATATCACGTCCACCCCCATATGACTGCAAATCTACAGGATTAAAGAGAGCAAAGATAAGCATGCTGGCCACTGAAATAAGAAAAGTCCAGAGACAGACTCAGATGCCATCCACTCATTTATGACAGAGGTGGGGTGGTGCCACGGTAGGAAAGGGTGTTCTTTTCAGTAATGGGGGCTTGAGGAATCAAAGACCATATGGGAAAAAATTAACTTCAAGTTCTACATCATAGCGTATCGAACATCAGTTTAAGATAAATTTCAGGTTTAAATATGAAAGACAAGACAATAAAAATTGTGGAGGAAAATATTCTTCTTTTTTTCTTTTTTTTTTTGTAAGACAGGGACTTTCTCTGTTGTCCAGGCTGCAACGCAGTGGTGGCAGTGTGATCTTGGCTCACTGCAGCCTTGACTTCTTGGGCTCAAGTGATCCTCCTGTTTCAGCCTCCTGAGTAGCTGGGACCACAGGTATATGACACCATGCCTGGCTAAAGTTTTATATTTTTTTGTAAAGACAGAGTTTCATACTGTTGCCCAGGCTGGTCTCCAACTCCTGGATTCTATTCATCCTCCCACCTTGGCCTCCCAAAGTGCTGAGATCACAGGTATAAGCCACTGTGCCCAGCCAGGAAAGCACTTTTGTAACCTTGGAGTGAGCCAAGATGAATGTCTACTCATAACAAGATGCCATTAGGAGAAGGAAAAACCAGTCCATGGGGGAGAGGCCATATTCTCAGCACATATGCCCAGCAAAGGACCGAAATCCATAACACGCAAGATTCCCACAAATCACTGAGAAAAAGCAGATCATTCCGCAGAACCAGCAGAATATTTGAGTGGATCTTTCACAGACAAGGAGATGTGAATAAAGGTACTGCTAGTTGCTCAATTTTTATAGACACTGAGAAAGTGCAAATGAACTTGAAACCATGGTGTGCACCACTGATGACTCACCAGAGTGGCTAGAAATAGAAGGACATCCCGTGTTGGCCAAGTGTGCACCAAGTAAACCCTGAACACTACTCGGGGGAATGCGAAATGTGAAGGGTCGCTTAGACTTTGACAGCATCTAATAAAGCCAAGCCTACTCCAAGACCAGCAGTTTGATTCTCAGGTATGTACCCAAATGACAGCCAACATGTACACAGCAGCACCTCCTATCCCATAATAACCTCAAACTGGAAAGAGTCCGAATGCCCCTTGAACACATAAGCCAGGGCACATCATCTCACTGACGGCACTTCTACGGCCGTGAGGACGTGCGGTCTGCAGCTGCGGAGACCATGTGGGCAAATCTCATGGGCAAAATGGTGAGTGATATGGTTTGTCTGTGTCCCCACCCAAATCTCATCTTGAATTCCCACATATTGTGGGAGGGACCTGGTGGGAGGTAATTGAGTCATGAGGGTGGGTCTGTTCTTGTGATAGTGAATAAGTCTCACGAGATCTGATGGTTTTAAAAATGGGACCCTCCTTGCACAAGCTCTCTTCTCTTGTCTGCCACCGTGTGAGACCTGCCTTTCACCTTCTGCCATGATTGTGAGGCTTCCCCAGCCACGTGGAACTGTGAGTCTATTAAACCTCTTTCTTTTGTAAATTGCCCAGTCTTGGGTATGTCTTTATCAGCCACATGAGAACAGACTAATACAGTCAACTGGTACCGGTAGAGTGGGGCGTTGCTGAAAAGATACCCAAAAACATGGAAGTGACTTTGGAACTGGGAAACAGGCAGAGGTTGTAACAGTTTGGAAGGCTTTTGGAAATGTGGAGTTTTGAATTAATGCTGAGATGAGTTAAGACTTTGGGGGACTGTTGGGAAGGCATAATTGGTTTTGAAATGTGAGGACATGAGATTTGGGAGGGGCCAGGGGCTGAATGATATGGTTTGGCTTTGTCCCCACCCAAATCTCATCCTGAATTATCACATATTGTGGGAGGGACCTGGTGGGAGGTAATTGAATCGTGGGGCAGGTCTCTCCTGTGCTGTTCTCATGATAGCGAATGAGTCTCATGAGATCTGATGGTTTTAAAAGGGGAGTTTCCCTGCACAAGCTCTCTTCTCTTGTCTGCCACCATGTGAGACATGCCTTTCACCTTCCACCATGATTGTGAGGCCTCCCCAGCCACATGGAACCATAAGTCCAATAAACCTCTTTTTTTTTGTAAAGTGTCCAGTCATGGGGATGTCTTTATCAGCAGCGTGAGAACAGATTAATATAGTGAGTGAACGAGGCTAACTGTGGAGGCCTGCACACCTCATAGGATATGCAGAGGTGGATGGAACTCATCTAGGGGTTTAGAAGCCATTGTGATGTTGCCCCCAGGGGGCTGAGGTGACTGGAGCCAGCAGGACGGAGGTTCTGAGAGCTGGTGATTTTCCATTTGCTCCTGCAAGTGCTGCTGACTCAACTGTCTGCAGTTCGTGAAAATCCAGAGTTCCACGTTTGTGAGATGTGCATTCTCCTGAATGTGGACTATTCTTTAATAAGTTTTCTTTTATCCATGCGTTTTTTTGCTTAAATTTGATCCAAAATATCTCCTTGGCTTCTTGATGCAGGAGACGGGACTCAACTCCAGAGGCAGGGCTCCGACAAGGGACTGTATTGAGGATTAGCTAAAACAGGGCTGGGGTGGAAGCAGTTTTCCATAGCATACACCCACCAGCGTGCCCTGTCAATCTACCATTGCCATGGCAACAGCCAGGCGTTACTGCCCCTTTCTATGGCAATGACTCAATGACCCGAAATGTACTACCCCTTCCCTAGAAATTTCTGCCTAAACCACTCCTTAATCTGCATGTAATTAAAAGTGTGTAGAAATATGACTGGAGAACCACCCTGAGCCGCTCCTCTCAGCTCAGCACACTGCCTGTGGGGTGGCCCTGCTGGACAGGAGCAGCCATGGACCTGTGACACTGTGGCTTTCATAAAGCTCTTCTATTCTACCCAACCACCAGCTTGCCCTTGAATTCTTTCCTGGGCAAATACAAGAACCCTAGAGGGCTATCCCCCGTTTGGCAGCTCTCTGACTTACGGGCAAGCCAGAACTGACCACAGTATCCAGTGTCCTCGGTGGATGTGCTGTGTCTATGTCCTCAGTGGAGTAATCATGCAGGCCTCTCCCTCACTGACCCAGGCTCTGGCTGTAGCATGGGCTTTGCCTGCAGGATGTTAGCACAAGTGGGTCAGGCAGAGGTTTGGATCATGCACCCCAACTCCTTTACTGCCCTACACAGTGGGGTTTGCTCACTGCACCCATCTGTCTCATTATGAGAACACGCCGGGGCTGGCCCAATGGAGGGATACACATGGGAGACACAAGGAGGCGATCAAGGCCATCCTAAGGCAGTAGTGACCAGCTCACCCCAAACATATAAGAGAACCCAGTCAAGGTGAGCAGAGCTGTCTACAGACTCAGGAATCAACCCATTTGAGACCAGAACTGCTTAGCTGAGTTTTAGACTTGAGAGCAGTAATAGACAGGTTACTGACCAGCCACTGAGATTGGGGATGGTTGCTACATAGCATCATCCTGGCAATATCTTACTGATATGCAATTGTAATGTCCTTATTGCTTCTGCAGATGTGAAGTGCTGGCTGTCCCTGAGATGAGAGTGCAGGCTACAGTGCTCCTCCTGGCTCCCACTCGTGTGGCTGGGGGCTGAGGGTTGCCTTCCTGTGCAGGTGAAAGAGCTGTGACATTTTCCTCTAAGCTTGTTCGGAAAGCATCATACAGAGGGAGGAAGCCAGCCTGCAAAGCCACAGCTCATCTCAGGCCTGACAGAGCCACTCTTGGTAGTGGATCCCTGTCTCCGGGGGTCACAGATATGCCTGCAGAGGCACCCGGAGTGGAGACGGATTTTCTTAGCATGGACATGAGAAACTCTGGGCAGGCAACAAGTCCTAGTGGCGCTGGGAATCCTTGATTGCAAAGCCTCGTGGCCGGGGCCAGCCTGGTGCAGGATGGATGGGCAGTGAGTAAGGTCACCCCTCAGACGACCTTATGCGTGCAGAGGACCGCACTCCTGTGATATTTCTTAGACAAGACAAGCCCTCGGGGGCCAGATCACCCTGGCAGCTGGCCCTCTGGTGTGGCCAAGTACTCTTGATTTAAAACTCACCCATCCCTGGGCCTGGAGACAGGATCCAGCCCTCCCATTGAAGATTGGCCTCTGCCCATTTCTCACCACCCTCCCTTCTTCCAAGGATCCACTGTGCTCAAGAAGAAGCGAGCTCCACCGCCCAGCGGCCTCTGGTTCTGCTTTCCCCAAGGTGAAAGGTGTGCTAATGTGAGTCAGAGCCTGGGATACAGGCTGGGCCACGTGGGTGGAGGGTATTCCTGTGCCGCCTTAGTCTGCACTGGCTGACATGACAAAATACCACAGACTGGATGGATTAAACAGCACTGATTTACTTTTTCACCGTCTAGGAGGCTAGAAGTACAGGATGGCGGCATGGGTTCGGTTGGTCCCTGGCGAGGCCTCTCCCTGCCTAGCAGACGGCCACCTCCTTGCTGTGTTTTCATGGATCCTTTCTCTGTGCACCTGCACCCCAGAGCCTCTTCTTCTTCTAAGGACACCAGTCCAATTGGCTTAGGGCCCCATCCTAAAGACCTCATTAATCTTAATTATGGCCCTATCTCCAAATACTGTCTCATTGGGGTTGGGCTTTAACATATGAATTCGGTCCACAGTGATGCTTTTAAAGGAAACCCTGTGCTGTTTTATTTTCTGTGATTATTCTTGACAATTCACTTCCACATCTGTTTACTCTGTTTCCTTAGGATCAACACTTAAAGGTGACTCTTTGTGGCAAGGCAGGAATTCGGGATGGGGCTGGCGGTGAGTGGACTCGGAGCCCTTGGACACCGGCTGTTCTTGCCTCCACGCCCGTGGTTCAGAGTACACGGGTGGATCTCCATGCCATGGTTCAGAGACACGGGTGGATCTCCATGCCGTGGTTCAGAGCATGCGGGTGGATCTCCACGCCATGGTTCAGAGACACGGGTGGATCTCCACGCCATGGTTCAGAGTACACGGGCGGATCTCCATGCTGTGGTTCAGAGACATGGGTGGATCTCCACGCTGCGGTTCAGAGACACGGGTGGATCTCCACGCTGCGGTTCAGAGACAGGGGTGGATCTCCACGCTGCGGTTCAGAGACGGGTGGATCTCCACGCTGCGGTTCAGAGACGGGTGGATCTCCACGCTGCGGTTCAGAGACACGGGTGGATCTCCACGCCGTGGTTCAGAGCACGCAGGCGGATCTCCACGCAGTGGTTCAGAGACACAGGTGGATCTCCACGCCATGGTTCAGAGACACGGGCGGATCTCCATGCCGTGGTTCAGAGCACGCGGGCAGATCCCACACCTGCTTCGTGTAGCTCGGTTTGTCTTCTCCAGTCCATCTTCTGCTCACTGGGGTAGCAGTGGGATTTCTCAGCCCACTTGGCTCTTGCTCCTTAGCAGGGCAGTGAGGGGTGGTGTGTGGGAAGAGGCAGGCCCAACACAGGTGGCACCCAGGTTCTCGCCTGGAGCATGATCACACCCTTCATTCCATTCCAGAGCCCGAGTCCCACACCCAGACATACAGGTGCCCAGCCCCAAGAAGATATTCAGAATGTGTAGGGCTGTGTGTTAGTCTGTTCTGGCACTGCTATAAGGAAACACCTGAGGCTGGGTAATTTATAAAGAAAAGAGGTTTAATTAGCTCATGGTTCTGCAGGCTGTACAGGAAGCATGGATGGCCATGATTGCCTTGGCCAAGGCCTTCCTGCCCCCATTACCTCTCCACACCCCGTCCCTGCCCCCATTACCCCTCCACACCCCCTCTGCACTCCCGTTACCCCTCCACACCCCCTCCCCGCCCCCGTTACCTCGCCAAGCTCCTGTCTCTGCACCTGGATGGTGCCTTCACGGTCTTTGTACAGATAGACCCCACCTGCAGTGCACTCTCCATGCAGTTCTGAAAAGTGTCCGAGACACAGGAGTCCAGGCAGCACCTGCTGAAAGGCCCAGAGGGTGTGAAAGGTGGGAGGGGGTCTAGGGCCAGAGGAACCAGCCTGGGCTAGGCCCAGCTGTGCTGAGATGCACCAAGCTTGGAGGCTCATGGAAGGCATCAGTGGTGCTGCTGTTGTCACCCTGGGACACAAACCTAGGAGAGTAGAGGGATGTCGTTTTGTTCATTGACCTATGTCCAGGGCCCAGATGCCCACACACAGCCAGTGATTAATAGGCCTTTGGGGGAAGAGGAAGGAAAGAGGAGGGAAGGAAGGAAGGAAGAAAGGAAAGAAGGAAGGAAGGAAGGAAGGGAGGAAGGGAGGGAGGGAGGGAGGGAGGAAGAAAGGGGTGGAGGGAGGGAAGAAGGAAGAGAGGGAGGAAGGAAGGGAAGGAGGGAAGGAGGGAGGGAGGGAGGGAGGGAGGCTGTCCTCTAAGGGGCTCCCCACAAACACAAGCATGGCCCTCCCACATCGAAGGCCATGTGAGGGCTGCACCGTTGCTGGAGTCAGCCCAGTATCGTCACCCTCACCTCTTTCCGGCACGCACGGGGAGTTTTGGTGGCGAACAGCAAAGCAGCAGGTCGTGGGGGGAGCAGGAAGGGGCTCCCCTCGGCTGAGGTTGGCTGGGATTCTTAGGCCAAGCGCATGCTCACCCATCCTGAGGGTCACCAGCAGCTTGGAAGGATGAGCTTCAATTTTCTCATGGAGATGTGCAGCACGATGGAGCTAGAGGCACTGCCTTCATGCCTTCCTATCAACTAATTTTGCAGGTTTCTGAAATGTTCCAAGAAGACAACATTCAGATGGTTTTAAACTGTGCACAGTATCGATGCTGTGACCGGCTGTGCTCCACTGTAAGATGTGGAAAGGGCTGCCAAGTGAGCAGATATAACTTCCCAGATAAGCCACCCAAAGTGTTTCTGAGAACTGCTCGCTGTGTTGAAAAACAACTTCGGGAAAGAAACTTCATCTGCCGAAGTCGACGTGCCTCGTCCTTGGACAATTTGTGAAGTTCAGTGATTCTCAGGGCTGATTTTGTAGGGACTGTCCATCCTGGAACCGTGGAGGATCTTCTGTGGAGGCTCGGTGGGCGGTGCTGGCTCGGCTCACCTGCGGCACGTCCTGTGTACTTTCACCCTGACAGGTGTCCTGTGATCAGCCTGAGGCTGGGAGGGACGCAGGGCTGTGCTGTCTCATCATTTGCTCCTGGACAACTCTTTTTGTTCTTTTAATCCAAAGCAAACTTTGAAAGACTTAGCAATGAGAAGTACAAATATTTACTCATAGTCCCCACATATTTATTATATATATATACGATTTATATATATTCATGTACATATATATATATATATATACATATATATATATATACACACATATATATATATATACACATATATATATATATACATATATATATATATATATATACACATATATATATATAGAGAGAGAGGTGTGTATCCATCATCTGTCTACCATCGAGGTATCTGTGTATCTCAGCCTGGATCTATCATCATCTCTATACAGAGAGAGGCACCTATCCATCATCTGTCTATCATCGAGGTGTCTGTCTATCTGTGCCTAGATCTATCATCTCTATACAGAGAGAGGCACCTATCCATCGTGTCTATCATCCAGGTATCTGTGTATCTGTGCCTAGATCTATCATCATCTCTCTTCGTATCCATCCTCCCATCAACAGCACAGGGCACTTTACCATGGCTGGTAGGCTCAGAAGGACATCCTGGCCTAACACTTCAGGGAGGACGCAGGGGCCTGGACATCATAGCCAGGGCGTGAGGATGGACACTGCAACACGGAGGGTCTGGCTGTGAAGTTTGGACTTTCTTCCCAAGGGGTCAGCAGCTGCCATGGAAGTTTCTTGAGCAGATGAAGGTTTTAAGAATGACCAGTGCGATGCCGACTGCAAAGGTTTTGCTGCGGTGGGGAAGAGCCGCTCACAGGAGCTCCTGCCTGCCGGCCAGCGGAGCTACAGGTAGGGCCTTCCTTGGGCTCCCCTTCGCAGGCACAGGGGCGCTCGCCAGGGGCCTTTTCCTGGGTTGACCAGAAATCCCTGTGTGTTCCCTGCCCGCTGAAGAATGATGTCCCATTCTCCCCTCTCTGCATCACTCTCCCTGGCCCCTGAACTACTGGATTGACAAGGAAAGTGCCCTGCAGTCTCCTCCCAGGAGCACCGGCTTCCATCCCAGGCTGTGTGGCGGTGGGGATGGGAGTAGGGGAGGCACAGTCTCTGTCCTGGGACAGCAGCCACCCTCACTGCGGTTGTTGGCCTGATCACTGCAAGCCCAAGACGGTGACTGGCACACACCTGGCTGCAGGTGGCCCTGGAAACAAATTGCAGACGGGTTCAGCCTGGTCCTGGGTGGGCTCCCAAAGCCTGGGCAGTGAGGGCAGAGCCGGGGGCCGAGCTGGAGTCCGTCTGGTGGGGTGTAGGGGTGGCAGGCAGGGGATTTGGCTGGCGGGGTTGGGAGGGGGATCCAGACAGAGAGGAAATGGAATTTGCAAAGTCCCGAGGGCATTTCTCAGGTGCAATAGTTGACGTTGGAGTGAGGTCCGAGCAGAGCCTGCAGCTGGGGCATCTGGGGAGAGGGGTCGGGTCTTGGACTGGGGGAGGGCTGTGGGTGGGGGCTGTGGGTGGGGCTGTGGGTGGGGCTGTAGGTGGGGGCCGTGGGTGGGGCTGTGGGTGGGGGCTGTGGGTGGGGCTGTAAGTGGGGCTGTGGGTGGGGCTGTGGGTGGGGCTGTAGGTGGGGGCCGTGGGTGGGGCTGTGGGTGGGGGCTGTGGGTGGGGCTGTAAGTGGGGCTGTGGGGTGGACAGAGGAGCAGGAGTTTGGGATTTTTGAGAATAGAACACAAACCTAC
Organism: Homo sapiens; assembly: GCF_000001405.40. Classification (NCBI taxonomy): domain Eukaryota; kingdom Metazoa; phylum Chordata; class Mammalia; order Primates; family Hominidae; genus Homo; species Homo sapiens. The sequence continues at coordinate 49,164,630 of NC_000022.11, read as the reverse complement.
AGGACTTGCTGATTAGGGAGGAAAGGGGAGCTGTTGAGGTGGAAATGACCAAGCCGTTAGCTGAAAGCCACAGTGCAGTGGGCACCCTGGCCGGCACCCCGTCCACCTGTTGGGGGCTGAAGCCTCCACCACACAGGAGACAGACAGGAGGTGTCGGAAACGGAGCCAGACAACTGTGTGGGGACTGGGGTGCCTCAGCCTGCACGTCCCCAGGGCTCCCAGCGGCCCGGGGTGCCTCAGCCTGCACGTCTCCAGGGCTCCCAGCGGCCTGGGGTGCCTCAGCCTGCACGTCTCCAGGGCTCCCAGCAGCCTGGGAGCCTCGTAGCCACGTTCTTCGCCTCCACTGTGCCTTTCTCTGCTACACCCTGACCAGGTCTTCCACTTCGGCTTCCCCTCACTGTCTTCCGGAAGCTTCCAAGCTTCTGATCACAAGTCTCTGGTGCCATCTTTCCTGCCCGAGGGGAGATGGCAGGTGGTACTTACTGGGGTCCCACAGCCGCCCGGTCACTCGGCCCATTGCGTCAAAGCAAGAAGGTCCCAAGTATCCTCGCTGGTCACAGAGTGGACCCCGTGGCCAAGAGGCAAGAGGGGTGTGCACCACGGGACACAGGGGTCTGGTGATCACACGTGGCCCTGGACATGCACCTGCCCTTCCTGCCCTTCCCCTGGGCTGTCCTGGGCTCTGAACCCATCAGGACAGCCTGGACTCAGATGCCCCCTTGTAATATCTGCATTCGAAATCCACATGACCATGCTGTGGACCTGAAGTGCGCTCCACGGGGCGTCACAGGGAGGCAACGGCCCCCGTGCTGGGGGCTTTATGCATCACCGGGATCCCTCAAGCCCATCTCCTGGTACAGCGACCTTGTGGACAAACCCACCTGCTGCCAGCAGCCCCCAGACAAGAACCCAAGAACTCCAGTGCCCAGGTGTGAGGAGGCCTTTGTCCAGCCACAGGCCTGGGAAACATGAAGCTCCTTCCTGCCTCCTCTCCCCATGATCTTCCCCTTGGCGGGTGCTAGGATGGGGTGGTTTTCATGATGAAGCTTCAGGCCCCAGATCCAGGTTTTGGGGGGAGCTCAGTGAGGCAACAGAGGCCAGTCGGCATTTCGTCTCCTAAATGATGCCCGCCTTGAATGATGGCGGCTCCCAGCCAGCCGTCTGCCCCGATCCCGCCTGCTGCTCATTGGGGCTCATTTCCGGTGTAGGCAGCAGCTCCAAGCCTGCATCCAGCAGCAGAGGGAGCGTCCAGCAGGCAGAGGGGAGCGCGGGGCAATTACTGTAACTACTGTAGCATGTTATCCTATTAACAGGGAGCACAAAAGTTTCTGAGCTTTTGCTTCCAAAATGTCATGTCAGACAAGACCTGGATTTACTCCCAAAATTTTTAATCTTCCGAGCAGAGAAGGCTGGTGCCTGCTAATAGGATGGGTGCAGCAGTAGCCCATTGGTGGCCATGGCGTGGCTCCGCTGCCTTCTCCTAGCACCAGCTCCAAAGAGCCGGCAGCTCCTGGGATGGTGTCAAAACCGAACCTCATCTCAGGGCCTGGATGTTCACACTCAGCTCGGAAGCTCAGATTTTGCAAGGCCACTGCTTATTTAGCAAAATTAGGCCAATGGATTTACAGCCCTGGATGGCGTGCAACTGAATGCGGACTCCCCGTAGCTCTGCTCTAGGATGGTACGCCCGCCCCATGCTCCTGCCACCACGAGCCTCCGCCGGGGAAGCCCGCCTGCAGTCGCCCTTCCTGCTGCCTGCCCTGGGCTGCACCTGCCCAGGTGTGCACTCATCTCTCAGCCAACTAATTAACACTTGCTCAGAAGCCCTGGGAAATAGCACAGGGCACATGCCAGTGCGTTTCTTTCCATCCGTTTTCCCAGACGTCGCATATTTATAGAGTTGTGATGATCTCCTTACAGAATCTACAGATTGTATCTTCCAGCCAAAGTGTAATGTAATTTGGATGCAGGTGAACTGCTGGGAGTTCGAGGGTCACGCAGTCCCTTGCTGCACAAGGCCTCGCATGACACGAGGCCATCCCCTTTGCTCATAAGTGACGTTTCAATAAACACGTCTGTGCATACACCTTTTAAATGAAAGTCTTATTTTAGGATGGTTTGGGATGCATAGGCGTGGTTGTGAAGGTAGTATAGAGTTTCCATCTCCCCACACCCAGTTTTCCCTGTTATTAACATCTTGCATTAGTGGTACACATTGGATATAGTTAATTAACCAATATTCATACGAAAGTTCAACTATATTGATCAAGAGAAATTCATACTATTTTCGGGGCTTTTTTTTTTTTTTTTTTTTTTGACAGAGTCTTGCTCTGTTACCCAGGCTGGAGTGCAGTGGTGTGATCTCAGCTCACTGCAACCTCTGCCTCCTGGATTCAAGCAATTCTCCTGCCTCAGCCTCCCGAGTAGCTGGGACTATAGGTGCCCGCCACCTCGCCCAGCTAATTTTTGTATTTTTGGTAAAGACAGGTTTTCACCATGTTGGCCAGGCTGGTCTGGAATTCCTGGCCTCAATTGATCCACCTGCCTCCGTCTCCCAAAGTGTTGGTATTACAGGCGGGAGCCACCGTGCCCGGCCTTTTTGGCACCTTCAGTGCCTCCCAGATGTCATTTTCTTTCCTGCCCCAGGATCCCGCCAAGGTTCCCACATGGCATTTGGCTGGGACAGTTTCTCAGGGTTTCCTTGTTTTTGATGACCTGGACGCTGGGCAGTGTAGCGGCGTGCTGGCCAGGGGTTGAGTAGGTTGTCCCTATATTAAAACTAGTGCGATGGTTTTCTCATGAGTAGCCTGGGGTTAGGTATTCTCAGCAGCAGGACATCAGAGGTGAGGCTGTTCTCACCACACTGTGCGAGGGCCCAGACCATCCGCAGGGCCCAGCACAATGGGCTTGACCCTCGTCGCCTGGCTCAGGTGTGTCCCTCAGGTGTCTCCTCTGCAGAGTCACTTTCCCTCCCCCTCCCACACGGTGCTCTTTGGAAAGGTTGGGGACCATCCCCAGCTCCCGAGGAGGCCATACGCTTACCCTGCACCTGGAATTGTGCACCGATGCTCCCTGATTCTCGGAACACCCCCTTGGGCTGCATCACAAGCCTTGGCATGACCCGGCCAGAGGATGCGCTTCGAGTTCAGGGCTCCAAGGTCCATGGCGCTCCCCTGAAGGAAAACTGGGGGGTACAAGGAACGCATGAGAGGGGGCCTCTGCCTCAGGGGAGGTGGGAGGTAGAAATAGGCAGGGAGCAAAACACAGCATGCAAAACCGTGTTCAACACCGGAAAGATCTGAAAGTGAAGAAGGACAGAAGGTGGGTGAGTCCGTCAGTGACTGGGGGCCACAGGTGTTGCAGGGGGTGGTGCAGGAAGACCCCTCCGAAGAGGGGAGGCCATGCAGGGAGAGGGCAGGATCCATCAGGAGCAGCCCATGGTCGGGGCAGAGGGAGCCGGAGGGGCCGGGGCTCTGAGCTGGGATGTCAGGGCCAGCAGGGAAGGTCTCTGGGCCGACAAGAGCTGGGCCCTGGGCTTTGGAAGCTCAAGTGTGGGTTCCCGAGGTTTTATTCTATGCCCTGTGCACGATCCCAGGTCCCTGTTTCTACAATTTGGGGGACTTGAGGGCAGATCACAGTGTCCTTATCACCTTATCATGCTTCCTGGAGGGTCCAAGTCTCAGAGAATGCAAGCCTGGACACATTGGTGGTCTGGGGAATGTCTTGGGGCCCGGTGGGGATGCAATATCCTGTCCATGGGCACCGTCCTGTGGCCCTCAGTCCTGTAAGTCAGCTGGGCTGGACCTGGCAAGGCAGCCCCTCCACCCGCAGCCTTTGGGCGTTCCAAGCCACACAAGCAGAAAAAGGCGGAGGCTCAGGTCACCTGCCACAGGGTCACACCTGGAGCGGGGGGGCAGGTCACCTGCCACAGGGTCAAGCCTGGAGAGAGGGGGGCTCAGGTCACCTGCCACAGGGTCATGTCTGGAGAGAGGGGGCGCTCAGGTCGCCTGCCACAGAGCCACGCCTGGCGGGGGGAGGCAGGTCACCTGCCACAGGGTCACACCTGGAGCGGGGGGGCAGGTCACCTGCCACAGGGTCACACCTGGAGAGAGGGGGGCTCAGGTCACCTGCTACAGGGTCACGCCTGGAGTTGGGGGTGCTCAGGTCACCTGCCACACGGCCACGCCTGGAGAGACGGGGTGTGTGGGTGGCTGCCTTGATGGGTGTCAGGGGAGGGGTGGGTCTGTGGTGCCACACACTTGGCCCCTGGCCCATTCTCTGGCCCCTGGCACCTGGTGCAGCCTCTGCCTGCGGGGAGCTACTCCAAGGTCCTCGTGCCCAGAGAGCGAGCGTAAAGCCAGAAAGTGATGGAAAGATTACATCATGGCTAAAATAAAACCAGCGGGGAAAGAAACAAGGTTTCTTTTTTTCATTTTTTTTTTAAATAAAAAGGTCAAAGAATATAGATGAAACAAGCTAATTGAATTAGGCTGCAGACTGAACTAATACAGAGAAATTATTCAACGTACATATCTGATGAGACCTCTGCTCTGGCATGTCAGGGGCCCTGGCAGCCCCACCCTCCAGCCCTTTCCCCCACGTGGCCCATGAATTACACACAGAACACGGGGCTGTGCTCTATTATTCAGAAGCCTTTTCGTCTCTTGGAGAAATACAGCCTCATGCCTCTGAACCCTGGCATGGCCGACCCGCCCTGGCTCAGATCGCATTTGAAATTCCTGACAAGCCCAAAGGTCCACCTGTGAAAGGGACGCAGGGGTCATCCCCATGGTCTCCACAAACAGGGGCAGGTGTCCTTTGATGGTGAAGCAGGAAGGATGGGGAGGTGGATCCTAAGTTGAGAGGTGAAACGTCTGAGCTGCAGTCACACCTGCGCACCTGCCAGCCACAGAGCCCCAGGTGAATGCAGGTGAGGGCATGGTTAGTGAGTGTTCTGCAGGGGCAGAAGAAGGACCTTTCTCAGACTGCTCCGGGATGCCCACCTTCCCAGGACACTGTTGAGGTGGAAGTCCCTGCCTAAGGGAATGCTGGCGAGCCCTGGACCTTCCTAGATAAGCCTGGGCTCAGGGGTCCCACAGTCCTGGCTTCGGCTCCCAGTTCCATCCCGCCCTGATGGACAATCTGGTGAGAACACACAGGCAGTGTGACCCCAGGCTCCTCGTCTGTGGAGGGGGCAACCTCTTCAGCCAGATGACTAAGGCACTTTATTGAGACAGTGACCAAATGGAGCAACGAGGGGAGCAGGTGCCAGCTCCATTTCCCCAGTTGCTAACCAGCCACACAGCCCGCCCCATGCCTTGGCCCCCTAGAGCCTCTGCTCCCCCACATGGTGATTGTGGAAAGACTGACATACATCTGCTGGGCCCCAGGCTGGGGCAGACCCACAGGCACCCCTGAGATCCTGAGCTGCTCCCCGTCTGGGCCCCGGGCCGGGGCAGACCCACAGATGCCCCCGAGATCCTGAGCTGGTCCCCGTCTGTCAGGAAGCCACAATCACCAGCCTTGCATGCTGGAGCTGCTGCCCTGGTGAACAAGTCTGTTGCCAGCACCTCCTCCTGGGCCTTCCGGCCTGGGAGCCTCATGCAGGAGACTCAGGCGTCAGGGGAGGAAGGAAGGGCAGCACGAGGTCTCTGCTGCCTCAGGCTGGGGTTGCAGTGGGGAGGTTCCATGAGACCCATTTCCCAATGACAATGACGGCTCCAGCGCTCCAAGTCCCGGCTCAGCCACACCACAGGGTGCCAGCAGATGACAAGGTGCCAGCAGGTGACAGGCACCAGCCTTGCAGTGACCTTTCAGGACAGCCGATTCTTCCCGAGCCTCAGATACAGAAACTGAGGCTCTGTAGACCTTGGCAGCCAACCCCGTCTCATGGCACTAGGTGAGGAGTCCAGGGTGGGAGCCGAGATGCCCCTTGACTTATGAGGGGGCATGCCTGAAGGAGCCCTTGTGAGTGGAAAATGTCATAAACTGAAAATGCTGTGGGCACACAGAACCCGCCAGGTGTCATAGCTTAGCCATCCCTGCCTTAAACATGCTCCAAACACTTACGTCAGCCTACGGTTGGGCAAAATCATCTAATACAAAGCCCGTTTTATACTGAAGTGTGGACTATCTCATGTAATTCATGGAATACTGTACAGAAAGCAAAAGTTAGAATTTCTGTCCTCAAAGCACAGTTTCAACTGAATGTGTATCATGTCCACACCATGGAAAAGTTGGAAAGTTCCATGTGAAGCCATCGTCAATCAGGGACCGTCTGTATTATGTGGCCCCAGAGCCTGCGCCTTCTACCACCCGATGGCTTGGTGGAACCCCCTCATAGGTGGAGAGGATGGATTTTGATTCTGGGGTATTCCAAAGAAAAGGGACACATCTCTCTCAGAAACCGGCAGGTGATTGACCTCCCGAAAGGTGCCAGGCATTTGCTGTGGCCCCTGCCACGCAGCACCAGCTCCTCACAGAGCGGCCGCAGATGGGAGCCATGGCCACACACAGACACGGCAGCTGGGAGCTTCTCAGGCCCCAGACTCAGCACAAGCACAGCAGCATTCCCTATTTTCCATTTCATCTCTTGCCATTCATGCCAGCATCAGAATACACGGGAAACAAGGTGGACGTGGCCTTTGCCCTCAAGAACTCACAGTCCAGTGAAAACCAACCACCTTCCATGTTAAACCGGCTGCTCTCTGTTAAACCGGCTGCTCTCTCTCCACCATCCAGACAAGAGGCACCGACACTCACCGTTCTCCCACACCTGGTGCCCACACGTCACCTTGGCTCTGTTCCTTCTGCCCTTCCTGCATCCTGCATCTGCAAGCTCCCTATGTCCATCCCTCCTCCGTGCCCAGGGCCACCGTCCTGGCCCAAGCTGCCATCTCCTCTGCTGTGGGCTTCTGCTGTTGCCTCTTCAGGGCTCACCTCAGCTTCCAGAGTCGTGAGGTCTGGGAGAAGCTGGAGACCCACAACACACCCGGCCACAGCCCTGGGGTGGCTGTCCACAGCCTGCAGAAGCCTGGCCCTCGGAAGGCAGCAGGTGAATGAGTGAATAAATGGATGGGCAGATTTACTAATGACAAAATTAACAAAGGCTAATTAAGGGGAAATTAATGAAGGCTAATTAAAGAGACATTAATGAAGGCCCACCTTTCCCATATGGACTTTTTAGTATCCTGTTATATCTTCCCCATAACCAAAGTTAAATGTGTTTTTCAAAACATTCTCTCCAATGTTCTTGTCTAAAAAAATAATACTCAATGAAAATCTCTCAATGAGCAGAGTCTTTTTCATTGCTTTCCCTGGACTTTTTGATTCTGCAAAGAATCACGTGCCTTAGGCGGTGCACGTAGCCTGCTGAGCCTCTAACACTGAAGGGCTAGGACCGGGACACCCGACCGTCTCCACAGCTGGAAGAAGGATTCCAAGCCAGTGCCCACTTCCAAGTGCGCCTGGGCGGATGCTGTGGAGCTGCCAAGGTTTGGGCTACTGAAGCTCTAAAGGCAGGTTGTAGGACAAGAAGCACTTGAGGGCAGGGCACAGTGCAGGAGAGAAGGGGGGCTGCCCCCACTGCCTGATAGAGGGGTGGGGCTGGCCCTCATCTATCCGTCCATCTGTCCTGCACTCCGCTCTTCCTCGGAGCAGGGAGGCAGACTCAGCTCACTATCTTCCGCTCCTTTATTTGAAAGCCACCAATAATACACACGGGAGTATTAGGTTGGAGCCAAAACAGGTACCCAGGCTTGGACGAGAGCCAGACTGCTTATGAGCAACAGCTGGGAGCCAAGCGCTTGTATTTACACAGCTAAGGCCACAGTCCCTGCAACGGATGAGGAGGGAGCCGTGTGTTGAATCACAGAGAAAATTAGTTGTTTATGGTCATTTACGTTGGGAATTATTCTTATAAAATCTGCCCTTGTTTCATTTGGCTCTGATTACATGTTGATGAGATTGTGGACAACTTCGTCAAGGTGCACCAACATGAAGCCCTTTGTTGGAAAGGGCTCAGAAGAGAGATGGAAATGATTAATGGTTGGCGAACACAAGAATCTTAGGGTAAGGACTGGGGCCTGCTTACCATGGAGCCGACAGGATGGAGAGATAAATTAATGTCCTCAATTATAAAGGGGCTTGAGATATGGAAAACTGCTGTCGACAGGCCTCCCTCTGGAGGAGGAGGACGAGGGGTCGGAGCTGCACAAAGTCATCGACTGCCCCAAGGGCCTCCTGGAGAGAGGAGAGGAGGGGAGCTGTCTCGGATCTGGGGCAGGGGCATTGGAATGAACGCCCACCCCTCTGAGTTGAGGCTGCTGAGGGTTCAGGAGGCACAGCCACCCATCAGAAAGGGGTGTCAGCATCCTCTGGTCTCTCCCTGGTGGAGCTGCTGTTGGATCCTCTGGCAGAACACTAGGGCCTAAGCAGTTTGGACAGAATGCCCCAGGAAGTGGGGAGGGGCTAAGAAAATCATGTGTGCAGAGTGGGAGGGGCTGTGGATATCACGTATGCAGAGGAAATTGTGTGTGCACTGTGGGAGGGGTTGTATAAATTGTGTGTGCAGAGCGGGAGGGGCTCTGGAAATCGCGTGTGCAGAGCGGGAGGGGCTGTGGAAATTGCGTGTGCAGAGCGGGAGGGGTTGTATAAATCGTGTGTGCAGAGCGGGAGGGGTTGTATAAATTGTGTGTGCAGAGCGGGAGGGGTTGTATAAATCGTGTGTGCAGAACGGGAGGGGCTGCGGAAATTGTGTGTGCAGAGCGGGAGGGGTTGTATAAATCGTGTGTGCAGAGCGGGAGGGGCTGTGGAAATCTTGCATGCAGAGCTGTGAGGAACTCTGGAAATCTTGTATGCAGAGCCCCACTTCAGTGTCTGGGGTTAGAAGGGGAGCCGGTGGGTGCTGGAAGGAACAGCGCCTGGACTGCCTGAGAACGTCTGGGCCTTGTCCGGGCACCTTGGTGATTTTCCATTACCTCCCTCATTCCCTTTCATCTTCACTTGGGGTTTGAGGAACCGCAATTAGCAGATGGTTTGAGGTCTATTAGCCAGTGCCTCCCCTCACCCCCTCCAATGCCACTGGAATCAGAGATTGGATTTCTTAATGAGAGAAGAATTAAGTAATAGGCTTGAGCAGGGCCGCAGGCAGCCGTGTGAAGCCATGTGCAAAATTGATATTTCAACAAGCCTGATAACGTATTAGGGCAATGGCCCTGCTGTGTCGCAGAGCCACATGATGAATCTTCCTCCAGGTGCCTGCAGGTGCCTGTCACGGGGTCGGCGGGCACTCACGAGGCCCCTGGCCACCCAGGAACCTGTCAGTCCCTTCTCAAAGTGTGCGGGAAACAGCAGGTCCCCAAACTGTGCGGAGGAGGGTGGGAGGCGCTGAGTGGACCCACAGGGGCTAGTGGCAGGGACAAGGCATTTGCCTGTCCCCGAGGGGACTTGGGGGTGGGGGCTCCAGGGTTTGTGGGCTTGGGTTCCACCCTGTCCCAGGAGCTCTGCAGACGGTGGCCTCAGAATTCCAGGCCTGCGACGCGTCCGCTATGGGCTCCGGACCACGAGGTCGTCCGTAGCCGTCTCCCACTTTGATTTGTAACATCAAACTGAAGTTCAGGGGCCCCAGACAAGATGCTGGGTGACAATTTTATGAAGATCAATGTTATTAAGGACTGAATTCTTGTCCGAAATAATTTGTATAAAATATAGTCACATTAGATGAGAGACTGTGCTGAATTATCAGCTAATGGGGTGTGGAATTGTGAAAACCCCTGGCTTTTGTCGCAGAATAATTGAACACGACGTCTTCTATATTGGACTGTGAGGCTCCTGAGCACAGGAAGGGGCTCCGGCTGGGACGGTGCCTCCGGGGCAGTTCTCTTTGCCCCCCACCATGGTCAACGTGTCCTCAAAGGAGCAGGGAGAACCCCTGAAGCCTGGGCCGCCCCCCACCGCTGCCAAGACCCCTCCCCGCCAGGCCTGCACGCCCCAACCCATCCCGGTGAGCTGCCCATGGCGTGTGGGGCCCCGCATGCTCTCCCCTGGAAGTCCTTGTCCTGCGTTTCGTACCCCATGTGTTCTTCCCGGGATGTCCTTCTTGTCCTGGAAAACCAGCAGGTACCATGAGTCTCTTCAGTCCTGAACCGCCACCAGCTCCTCTCCTGCACCTGAGACCCCGCCTCCCCCCAGAGCAAAGTCTCCTGAGGACGTGAGACCACCCAAGAAGGGGGTGTCCTGGCCCCACTGCCCTAAAGCAGGTTCTGAAAGGAAAAAAGAGAAGGGAACGTGTGGATGCAGCATGTCTCCTCTCCCCTTGGCGCTTTCCCGGGGAGCCCCCACCCAGGAAGGACCCCACCCTCTTCACCCTCCCCAGGCCCCCTGGGGAGCCCCCACCCAGGAAGGACCCCCACCCTCCCCAGGCCCTGGCCTTACTGGGTCTCCGGGGCCCTGAGGTCTCCCCTGCAGCGGGGAGGAGGCTGGCCAAGAAGGACCCCCGCAAGGCTGATACTCAGGGGCACCCACCTCCCTGCCCCTTGCTTAGGGTCCCCGCAGTGACTGCTAAGTCGGGGAAGGAAGCCCCCACTGGTGTCTCCAGCTCTGGGAGTCTGTGTCCTCATGACATACTTTGGCCGTGCACAGGGCGCCGAGCCCTGGGGATGGCACTGACTAAAGACCTGCGGGTAGCCCCTCCTCCCACCTTACCCACACCCTGCAAAGCTTTTCCTAGAGTCTCATTGAGCCCCAAAATGAAAAGCAAAACAAACCAGAACCCTTGCCCAGGGTTCTTTTATTACTTGCACTTCAGAGGTGAGGATGGGAGACGGTGAAGGGTTTGAGCCCACAATTGTTCGTGTGTTCCGTGGGCAGGAGCATTGTGAGCAGGTGGTCCCAGCAAGCACCTGTGGGCCCCAGACCATTGCAATTGATCCCTTGGCCTGCACCAGTGGAAGGAGGTTGCCGGGAGGGTCCAGTGAGGGGGTCTCCGCTGCTCCCCACCACTAAGTCACCACTGTCTTCTCTCTTGGGCACTGGACAGCCTCATGGCTCGCTGTCCCTGCAGCCCTGGCCTGGGGTTCTTGGCAGGGACCCCGCTAAGCATCGCATCAGTGCAGGTGTGTGCGGGGAACCTGATGGGAGCAGCCCGCAGGTCTTCTGGGCACCGGGAGCTTCCTGGTCTTACAGGTCCCGGGGCAGCTCTGTGATGACGATGGCAGGGGCTCAGGAGGGGACACCAAAGTCCACACCTGTGCCAGGCTGCAAGCGTCACATCTGCTCCACTCCCAGACCCAACTCCTGTACTCAGCCCTTAGCCCAGCCCAGGGGGAGCCTGGAATGGGAGGAGAGGCTTCCCCGGGCCCACTGGCTGGTAAGACTGTCACTCCTCGGCCCCCAACAAGTTAGAGAACTGCAGCAGAGGTAAAGTGTCCACACCGCCTGCCGGCTCTTATGCGGTGCAGCCCACCCACACATAGGGTTCTGCTCCCCGTCCAGCCTGAACCCCACCTGGAGCTCCAGGTGCTGGGAAAAGCACCCGCTCAGGGAGTGGTGGGGAGTGGCCAAGACAGGGGTGGGGGCACCAGCTTCTGGGAGGTATGAGCACAAGGCGGGGTCCTGGGGCCCTGAGGCAGCCTGCAGCTTGATCTTTGACACTGTCCTCTCCTGGTCCTTGGAACCCTAGGGGCCCCCATCCCCCCAGCCAGTGGGCCTCGGGGAGGAAAACTCACTTAGCACAGCTACTGGGTGGCAGGTGCATCTTTGCACCCTAAGATACAGAAGCAAAGCCATAGTGAGGCAAGGCCCTGGGAGGGGGTGACAGGGAGGGGAGAGGTCTCCTAAAGGGGAGAATTGGGAGGAGTTCCTCTGGGAGCTGCAGCCAGATGGCAAGATCCACATACATAAAGAGGAGATAACCCCTCTGAAGCCCTGAGAGGGCCTGTGGGGGAGGGAGGAGGGGGTGGCAGGCACACAGAGCCCTCCTCCCTGCGGGCACAGCGGCGGGGGTGCACACCTGGAGACTGGTGGAGTGCCGGGCCATGCGCAGGGGCTGGCTTTCCCCTTAGAGGACCGGCAGGGGGTTTGGGGGGCTTTCTGGGCTGAGTCCACTCCACTCCCAACCACCAGCCTCGGCCCGGTCAGGGGGTCTTCCTGCCTCCCCCCTGGCAGAGACCTCTCTTCAGGGAGCAGAAGATGTCCCAGTGCAGCAGGCCTGCTGCTGAGAGGGGCTGGCCTGGGGGCTGCAGAGACCCCGCCCCCAAGACAGGCTTCTTCTTCTTTCTTCCTGGGGCAGATCAAAGGTCAGCCTGGGGCAGAGCAGCCACCACAGAGAGCCTTCAGGAAGCAGCACAGGCCAGGTGGCTGAAAACAGATCCCTCCTCTCACAGTTCACAGGGAGAAACCTGAGATCAAGGCAAGGACCGGCTGTGCCCCCGGGGACTGCAGGGCCCTTCCCAATGCTGGTGGCTCCTGGTGCTCCGTGGCCTGTGGCTGCCTCCCTCCAAGCTATCTCTGTCTTCCAACAGCGGACATCTCCCCTCAGTGTGCTCATGTCCCTGCTGAGTGCCTGTCTCCCCACTGTGTGCCCGTGTCCCCGCTGTGTGCCCGTGTCCCCGCTGTGGCTGTCCCAGGCCACCCCAATCCGACACCCTCCCCTCCCCTGTCAGAGCAGCTCCACCCTCACAGCAGGTTGCAGGACGGGGAGCCCCAGTGACTGAGAACTTCAGGCCCCTCCGCAGGCCCTGGGGTGGGTGGCCCTGGCACAGCTTGCCAATGGTACCCAGACCCAGCAGGCAGGAGGAGCTGGCCATGTGGCCTGTCCAGAGAGGGGCACAGCACAGAGGCAACTGTCACCCTCTGGTCACCCTCCAGGCACCGGGGAAGCCACCTCAGCAGGGGCCCTGTGGGTGAGGATCTCTCAGTACTCAGGGGCTGCCCACGCCAGGTCAGAATCAGCAGTCTGGCCGGGACACAGGGGCCCAGCGTGGGGACAAGTCCTGCCTCCAGTGGGACACACAGGCCCAGCATGGGGACAAGTCTTGCCTCTGGGAGGCTTGGAGAGGCCCCTCCCTCGAGGCTGACCCCCGGGAGGAGGCACAGGAGGACGCGAGGGCTCCCTGTCACTTCCTGCCCTTGCCACATTCTGTCTCTTCTCCCCGCTCCTGTCACTGTCCTTCCTCAGGCTTAGATTCCCCTGGCACTGCGCTCTGAGGCCCTCAGGGCCGGGCTGCACCGGCTTCCCCCGGACACGCTGAGTCTTGTCCTGTCCTCCCAGCGTTGCCACAGATGGTGGTTTAAGCCCCTATCACCCAGCAGAGATCCCAACCTCCCCGTCAAATGGCCCACCTGCCCCTTTCATGGGGGTTCCTGGAATGGAGTCAGGTCTGAGGAGGGAGACCGGCTTCGGGCAGAGGAGCAGGGTAGAGAACAAACACCCATACCCGGGAGTGTCCCGGAGACGGACCGGCTGGAGCTGGGAACTGGAGCTGGGAGCCCACCACATTAGGGTTTCTCGGGGCAGCTGGCAGTGAGGCAGATGTCTGGCCTGGAATGGGCCGGCCAGAGCTGGGAGCCCACCAGACCCGGGTTTATGAGGGCAGATGGCGGCGAGGTGGGGCCCAGGTGTCTGGCACCCCACGGCGGCTGCAGCCCCTCCTTCCTCTGGTGACCTCGCCGGCCTCCTGGTTCCCAGCGCTGTCTCCCCTGATTAACGAAGCCATAGCTCATTCTCCATGCGTGACGCTGCCTTGGCTTCTGCGGCTAATTCTGCCACATAATGGAACTTGAACACTGCCTAATTTCCAAATTAAACCCAGATGGATGGCCTGGTCTCTCCTGGTGGCACAGGCTGTGGGGGCAGACGCGCTGCCCCTGGTGGTTTGAAAGCAGTGACGGTCACAGGAGACCACCCTGGAAGGTCCCACCTTTGATCCTCCTGGGACCCTGGCCCTCGGCTACAATTCCCTGTGCCTGAGACCGGATGCTTTGGGGAGGTGAGGGTGGCAGAGGCTGCACCCGTCCTGGTATCTGCCACCTGGGGCCCTCCTCAGGGCTCCAGACAGTGTTGGCCTCAGCGTTGGGAAACTGATCCTTCTTGGAAGCGATGTACTCCTGCTGCCCAGACGCTCTGAGCACCCCAGGGCCTCCCTACCATGACCCAACCCTCCCTGAGTGGGGCAGGGAGGCAGAGACAGAGCCGGCCTTGTGTGGACAGCAGCACCCAGAGGGCCCTGATCAGAGCTCTTGGAGGTGAGTGGACTCAGCTGGATGGAAGGTCCAACCCCGGCCTCCTGCAGCTGGCCTGGGGTCTCCTGGGAAAACCGGCAGGAACCAGACACTCAAGGGGACCCAGGAGTGAACAGAGCAGGAGGAGCCTTGAGCCCTGACTCGCTTCCGCCCCCAGACTCCAGCCAGAGTGGCTGACCTGCCCAGGCCCAGCTGTGTGGAGGGAGCAGGGTGGGTTCTGGAGCCCAGTGGGGTCCCGTTCGCCTCCCCTGGTCTCTCTGGCCAGGCTCCTCTGCTCCGTGGCCGCACAGCCAGGTCCCAGCCAAAGGCACCTGGCCGGGCCCTGGACGGGAAGCTGATGTTGGTCACTCATAGCCCTGCAGGCCTGTCTGGCCCTGTATATAGGCCTGGGACTCAGCCTGCCAGACACAGTCAGGATGTGAGGAGCTCTCCTCCTCCAGGATGTGGGTGGTGGCAGGTGCCCAGGTAACCCGTGGGGCCCTCCAGGCAGCCGAAGGACGTCCTCCTTCCCAACCCAGCTGCCCCTGCCCTGTGTTCCCTCATGGTGCTACCCCTCACTGCTGGCTAGTGAACCTCCCTCCAGGGTCCTCCCTCCCCTCCCCAGCCTCCTTCCCTTCCCTCCTCTGCCTTCCTCCCTCCCCTGCTTCTCTCTGTCCCCTCCCCGCCCCCATCTCCCTCCCTCCCTTTCCCTGCTCCTTTTCTCCCCTCCCCTCCCTCCCTCCCTCACCTCCCCACTCCTTTCCCCTGCGGACAGGAGGACCTGAGCAAACTCAATTTCCCTTTGAGCCCTGAAGCCACAAGATCTTATTCACCTTCCCATTCCCTCCCTCCCTCCCTCACTCCCTCCCTTCCTTCCTTCCTTCCTTTCCTCCTTCCTCCCTCTTTCTTTCTTTCTTTGGGGTCTCCGTATGTTGCCACTCTGGCCTTGAACTGCAAGTGATCCTTCCTCCTGGCCCTGCAAAAGTGCTGGAATTATAGGTGTGAGCCACCGTGCCTGGCCTTCAATTACCCTTTTTGAAACCTCATTTTGAGTATACATTTGAGGTGGTTCTGTTTTTTGGCAATAGGCAGGCTACTGTGAACATTCTTGTGTCTGTTTTTGGTGGGCATTTCTTTGGGCACGACCCTAAGACTAGGTCCTCTGAGGAAACCATATGCGTATGTTTAAAGAAAGCAGGTAACACCAAAAACCCTCTAAGGTGCGGGCACCGCCACCTGCTGATCAGCAGAGCTCAGAGTCAGAGCTCGACTCACTACCTTTCCTGTAGCATCCAGGTGGCTGTGCCAAGGGGTCTTGCTGCCGCTTTATGAAGGGGTTCCTGGTGACTGATGTGCAGGCCCCTCTCTGCCGGGTTCTCTCTCTGCCTGCACTGGTCTCTCTGGTGATGCGGGGATGCTCTGTGGGGAAGGTCTCCACTGGGCTCTCGCTCCATCTGCACTGGTCTCTTAGGTGGTGAGGGGTTCTCTGTGGGGAAGGTCTCTGCTGGGCTCTCATTCTGCCTGCATTGATCTCTCTCGTGGTGAGGGGTTCTCTGTGGGGAAGGTCTCCGCTGGGCTCTCGATCCATCTGCACTTGTCTCTTAGGTGGTGAGGGGTTCGTTGTGGGGAAGGTCTCTGCTGGGTCTCATTCTGCCTGCATTGATCTCTCTGGTGGTGAGGGGTTCTCTGCGGGGAAGGTCTCTGCCAGGTTCTCCCTCCATCTGCACTGGTCTGTCTGGTGATGTGTGGTTCTCTGTGGGGAAGTTCTCCACTGGATCTCATTCTGCCTGCATTAGTCTCTTAGGTGGTGAGGGGTTCTCTGCGGGGAAGGTCTCTGCCAGGTTCTCCCTCCATCTGCACTGGTCTCTCTGGTGATGTGTGGTTCTCTGTGGGGAAGTTCTCCACTGGATCTCATTCTGCCTGCATTAGTCTCTTAGGTGGTGTGGGGTTCTCTGTGGGGAAGGTCTCTCTACTGGGTCTCCCTCCATCTGCACTGGTCTCTCTGGTGGTGTGGGGTTCTCTGTGGGGAAGGCTCTTCCTGGTTGGTCCCTGGCTGACTCTGTTCTACCTTTCAGGATTCACAGCTTCCCTGCCAGCCTTCCCGGGACTGCTGGGCTGTGGCCGTGTGCACCCTCCACCTCAGCTCACAACTCCTTATCTGATCGCCCATGTCCTCATCACTGAATTGAAAACAACTCCCTTCCTCCTGGCCTGGGGTCCTTCCTCATGGTCTGGGGTCCCTGAAGCCCTGACACGCAGCCTCTTTCTCTCTGATTTCACCTCCTCTGTCCCCCAACTGGACACAGCACTGTGCCTTCAGGACCCACTGACCCCATCTCCTCACAGAGACCCTGGTGTCTGGCTCTCATGGGCCCAGCCCCCAGGAAACGTAGGCCACTGTCCTCACAGCAGGGGAGGAGGAGCAAGGACCGGCAGCCGGCGTTCTGAGGAGTGAGATCTCTGAATGGAGAAGGAGGCAAGCCTGCAGGCCCAGCGTGCTCCTGCATGATGGGCCACAACAGAAAGCTCATATGTGATATGGCTTTAAGCAGAAAACCAGGGCGGCAGGACAGCAAAGGAAGGGTCTTGGGGAAGGCCCCGAGCTGGGCAGGGACTTTGGAGTTGCTTTGTTGGGGGGCTGGCTTGTGGGAGGCTGCTTTGTGGTGGGCACGGAGCATGGAGGTCGGGCTCAAAACCATATTTTACAAGCCAGCCTCCTCCCCACTGCCAGGTTGGGAATTTGGGAGAAAGCGGCCGCAGAAGGCATCTGGGGTCTCGGGAGATGAGGCCGCGGACGATTGCACTGGTCCTCCAGGCTCTTCCCCCAGCTCATCCTTCCAACCGTCTTAGTTACTATGGTAGCAAGAATTTGTCATGTTCTCTTGCTTGTTGAGGGCTTTTTTTTTCTTTTTTTTCTTTTTGATTTCTAAATAAAGTCTCAATCTCACCATGAGCTCCTGTCCACACGGATTTGCTTCTGGCCGAGGGCTGCTCAGGACCTGGAAGGTCTGTGCGGGGTCAGCACGGTGGCCGCAGAGCCCCGGGCCGGGGGAGCCTGTGTCTCAGCCCCTCCCCACTCACACTGAAAGGTCCTCTCCTCGACCCAGAAGCAGGGGAAGGGAGAGGTGGGGTCAGGAACATAGGCCCCTCTCTCCCACACTGGAGTTCAGACCTCACACATCACCTTCCCCTGGAGGACAGGTCTGTCCTGGCTTCTGTCTGCCTGGCCCCTGCGCCCGTCTGTTCCATGGGTCAGTCATGAACCCAGAGTGCACAGCTGGCCCCTCAGCCTGCCTTTCCTTTAATGGAGCCCCCGTGAGTCCCGACCCAACACCTGCGGAAGCTGGAAGAGCTCTTATTCCTCCTCCCACGTGGGTGGTCAGCACTGTGGGGGCTTCCTTTCTGCCCGGGTCCTCTTGGCTCCAAGCCCACCACTCCAGGACTTGCCCCTCTGCACCCCCGCAACACAGATGTTAGCACTGTGGGCCCCCTCTGGCCACTCCCCTCCACCGTTATCCATCACTGGCCCTCTCCACCCAGACAGGCTGGAGCAGAGACCCTTGGTGGGCACAGCATTCCTCCAGTGAAGTGAATAAGGAAAGGGGAGAAAGCTCAACCTCTCCTGCTCAAAACACCAGGCAGCTCCCTCCACGGGTCCCAAGGTGGACGCTCACATCCTGGAGGCCGTCCCAGCACCTCTGGCCCCCAGGCCAGCTCACAACAGCCCAGTCCTGAGTGGACCTGGCTTACCCCACACACCTGCAGATGAGCGAGGGGTCCTGAATTCTGAGCTCCACTCCTGCAAGAAACACAGCAGGCCACTGTCTATTGCAATTACTCCACGCTCATTAGTTTTAACTTCAGGTATTTAGCAGAAGCTTTCACACTCAATAGACATATATTTGAGAAATCAGCATGTTTTGGACACAATGTCTGTGCTAGACAGAATTCTAAGGTGACCTCCAAGATTCCTGCACCAGAGTACACCCTCTGAATAAGCGCCTCCCCACCAGTGTGTGTGGGAAGCCGGGGCTGGGAATATGATGAGAAACCACTCCAGTGATTAGCTACTAATCCATTTGCTTTGAGTTAATCAAAAGGGATTGTCTAGGTAAGCCTGGCCTAATCAGGTGAGCCCCTTGAAAGAAGGTGAGGGTCAGAGAGATGTGGTCTTGCTGTCCTATTTTGTTTTTCTCTAAATGCTTTTTATTTTTGCTTTTACATTTAGGACAATGATCACTTCAAATCAATGGCATGAGGTAGAAATGAAGATTCCTTTTTCCATGGGGATTGACTAAGGCAATTTACTGAGGCACCCTTCCTTTCTCCGGTGAATCTTTGGCATATGTGTAGGTCTATTTCAGGCCTTCACATTATGTTCCATTGATTCATTTATCTAACTTCATGCTAATACCATGGTGTCTACATTGCTTTGGCTTTACGGAGAGTCTTGGAGTTTGGTGGTTGGTCTTCCAATGAGTTATTTCTTCCAGTGGTTGTCTTGTCTCTTCTGTGTCACTTGACTTTCCTTATTCACTTTAAAATCACCTTAGGTGTTTCTACAAAAGAAATATGATGGAGTTTTAAATGAAATTATATGAATCTGTAGCTCAGTGTGGGAGGAACTGACATGTTGATACGGTGTCTTCCAATCCATGAAGATGGTACATCTCTACATTTATTTAGACCCTCTTAGTTTCTCTCAGCAATATTTATTTTTCTTTAATATAGATTTCTTGCACATATGTCAGTAGATATTTAATTTTCAATGCTATTGTAGGTAGTACTTTTTAAAGTAACTGTTTAATTGTTTGTTACAAGCATATGGAAATAATATTTAGTTTTTATATTGGCCTTGATAAATTCACTAATTAAATCTAACGACTTGCTTGTAGATTACCTTGAATTTTCTTCACACATAATCATGTCATCTACAAAGATATTACTTCTTTTTCTCTTTCTATTTTTTTATCTCTTTTCATTTTTCTCAACATAGCACTGCCAAGGACCTCCAGTATGATGTTGAATGTGAGTGGCTCATTCCTGATTTTAGGAATGAATGCACTCACTTTAACAGAAAACAGCCCTGTGAGGCTGGGAGGTCAACTTGCAGTTGTAATTCAGCCACACACAGAATGAGACTCTGGGTTTGGGTTTCACTCTCAGCCCTGCAGCTACAGGAGGGAAGGGTTTCTTTCAGGGCAGACAGAGAAGCTTTCAGGTTATTCGTGTAGTGATTGAGTTGGGAATTCTAGTCCCTGAGCTCATCCTTTTCTTTCCCCACTTTGTCCATCAACATTAGGCGAAACCAGTAAATCTCAATATACTCATTATTTGGACAATAATGCTCAAAAGTATAGTATACACAGTCCCCCAGAACCTCGACTCTTACGAGTATTGGATTAGGAGCATCCCATGGTGATATTCTGCATTTCTCTCTTGCCACTTCATGCATAGACAAGGACTCCCTCCTCGACCAAACTTCAGTCAGGCTCCTGAGAGTCCTCTTCCCAATGAGGCCTTGGCCTGAGCCTGCTCCCCTTCCCAGCTCAGTTTTAGCAAAGAATCCCTCAAAGATAATTTAACAAGAATCCCCCCTCCATTACCAAATTCTGGCCCCACCCCTCGCTCTTGATGTCTGAGGACCTCTCCCTGCCTTACGAAGCGTCCTGTTGAGTCAGTTTAGCAAGAATCCTCCCATACTTGCTACCTCATCAACTTCCTCTTGCTACTTTTCCATCCGATGATCTCCTCACCATGCCTGCTGGTTCAAGTCTCCAGCTGTCTTTTCTGTAGTCAGAGTTGATTCAATTTCTCTCCTCCATTGCAGCCATGTTTAATACATTCATTCGTGCCATGTTTAAACAAATGTCTGGTATAATTTTTTTACTCAACACCACAGACTATTAGTGGTCTCCTCACTATTGGAAATAGAATCATTCATTCATGGTTTAAACCTAATCAGTTTAGAGAACTAAATTCCAGAAACCTTAGAACAAATTCAGAAAACTCCGTCTTAAGATTTGGTTTCTCTAGAACCAGTCTCTGTCCCCAAGTCTGTGTTGGAGTTCTCCAGAAAAACAGAGCTAATGGTCCAGATGGAGACAGATAGATGATAGATGATAGATGGATAGATAGGTGGATAGATAGATAGATGATAGATAGCTAGACAGACAGACAGACAGACAGATAGATAGATAGATAGATAGATAGACATATTAAGGAAACCGGCTCACACAATTCCACAGGCTTGCAAGTCTGAAATTTGTAGGGTAGGCTGGCAGGCTGGAAACTCTGGCAGAGTTTCCATGTTGCCATCTGGGGTTACAATTCCTTCTTCATCAGGAAACAGTCTTGATTCTTAAGCTTTCAACTGATTAGACAAGGCCCACCGGCATTGTGGAGGGTCAACTGCTTTACTCAAAGTCTACTAATTTAAATGTTAATCACACCAAAAAATACCTTCATGGTAACACCTTGACTGCTGTTTGACCAAATGATTGAGCACTGTAACCTAGCCGAATAGACACAGGAAGTTAACCATCACAGGTGGAGAGCTGCAGTACTTTGACATTAACTGTAATGCTTGCAGTAGGTTTTATTCATAGATGCCCCTTACAGAATTAAGGACATTTTTTCTATTCAAGTTTACTATGAGTTATCTTAAATTGATTTTGAATTTTATTGACATTTTTTCCTGAAATATGATAGCTCCCCCCTTTATTCTAATAAGGTAGTAGATTTCATCCATTGATATTTTTTCTTAATCTTGAACCAATTTTATATTTTTTGGGTAAATTCTACTTGGCCAAGACATATTACCCCTTTTTACATATCTCTGGTTGTGATTTGCTCATATAGATTGTAGAATTTTTGTGCTATGTTTTTCAGTCAATTTTAGTTTTGTTTACTATTATAATTTATTGATTAGCTGTTTAGTACTAATTTTTACTAAGCACTATATCATAAGAATTTCCCCATAAACTTTGAGAGGCCAAACCAGAATACTCAGACGGCCTTCTCACGTGCAAGCGACAGAAAGCAAGTCCAGTCCAGCCATTTGAGCAAAAAGAAAAAGAAAAAGGAAAAGAAATATATTCCTCTTGCATCGCTTGCAGCCCTTCTGGAAGGGCTGAGAAACCAGGCGTGGTGGCCACGAACTCAGGGCTGCTGCCCAGGATCAGAACCCCTGAGACAGACAGAACCACAGAAAGACAGAACCCCTGTGCCGCCGGACTCATCCCGGAGCTTGCCTTCCTGTGCTGGCACCATGGATGCTGGGCGCTGCTGCTGCTCTGGGCAAAGCCAGCCTCCCAGGGTCTTTGCCAGCCCCTGGTTGCTCGGCCCTGCTGGGAGCATTGACTGGCAGGACCTGGGCCACGGCCCATTTTCTCTCTGCAAGGAGGGCTGGAAAACTGGGGCTCTGACCTCTACATAAGAGAGTTCCTCCCAAGACTTATGCAAAGAGGCCAGAGTCCCCTAACCCATTTAGGGTTACAGATCCTAGGGCGGGGACCACATTTAAAAAAATATATGTATGCATACCCATTCATATACATGCACATATACATATACACGTATAGGTGTACCCAGTAGCTCAGAAATACTGATCAAATGGCTACATCACAGTTTATATCATCTTTCCATATTTTTGGACATTTAGATTATTTCACTTGTTGAGCTGTTCATAGAGCTTTGGATAAAAGTTTTATTTTACTTAGAATTATAACCTCAATATTTGTCATTAGAATGCCAATACCAAGGCAAAATGAATAAGTATTTTAGAAATTCACTCCCATCCTCCCCACAAGCGGCACAGAAAGAGCTGTCTAGAATGGACAGAAGGAGCTGTCTAGAATTGGAGGTATCCAAGCGTATGACATTCCTGCACTCACAGACCCGGAGACAAGCCCGGAGACCACCGCAAACCCTCCTGTGCTTCGCCGTCTTTGGTTTCCATCCGCCTGGCTGTCCCATGTGGTTCCACGCGCTGCCTTTGCGCCTTCGTGCTGTGCGTAATCTGGCCATAGCCACCATTGGTGTGTGTCGTTCTCATCCATGGTGATTGTCGACCTTTTGCCAGGTTTGCCATGCATGCAACTTTAGCTTTTTTTTTTTTTTTTTTGCCTTCTAGGATTGGTTATCTGCATGTTACGTATACACTGAGTTTTACATTTTTGTGCATTCTGACCACATTTTTACGTACTATTTCCTTGATCATGTGTAATCTTAGTGGCAGGAACAAAACAGATAATTTTAATGTCACGTGGAGATGTTCAGCAATTCTAGGTGAGGAAGCTCAGCTCAAGGATGTTTTCCTGCAGGCAGGGACGTTGCCGCCAAGTCTAGAGGGTCGAGCGCAAGGGAGAAAGGCTTCCAGAGAAGGAGAGCTGAGCAGTGCAGGTGGAGGCAGCAGCTAGAGCCGCAGTGCAGAGGCCAGGAGCCTGCCGTGTACCGGCTGTCTGCGACCAGCGTGGCACTGGTGAGAGATGCATCCAGTCGGAGCAGGGCAGGTCTCCCAAGGAGAGTGCAACACATACTTGGATGTCAGAGAGTCATCCAGGCCAGACTGCAGGTAAGGAGACCCTCTGGAAGCTGAGCACAGGGGAAGCCCTTGGGAATTACAAATGTTAGGAATGAGGGGTGCATTTGAGAAGTACTTGGGAAGTAAAATTAGCAGCACTTGGGGACAGAGGAAGTTGGCCTGATGCCCAGGCTTCTGGTGGGATCATCGCAGAGACAGGGGTTTAGGGTTTTATCCACCAAAGTGGCACTACAAGGGGACAGGCTTAGGGGAACCTATTTCCATGCAAGATGGACTTAAAGGGCAGAGGAAGGTAGACGTGACGTGAAGGTAGCATTGTGACAGAGACCAGGGAAGGCCTCAGGGGTGGGCAGGGGGCACGGGTCTGATGGATGGAGCTTTCCACCTGCCCGGGCTCCAGACACTAGTGGCTTGGGCCAGTGCCAGTGGTCCAGATGGAGAGAAATTAGTGCCTTTCGGAGACATCCAGGATGTGAAATAGACAAGACTTACGGATGTTTGGGATATCAGGGGACAGGAATAAAGGCGACCCGAGTTGGAAGCACTGCCAGGTTGCTGGGCTGAGTTACGGAGGAGGAGGACAGCCACAGACCTACCCCTGTGTCCTCCCTCACCTCACAGCAGGCAGGGAGCCACCTCAGGGAGGGTTTCGCAGCTGGGGGCGGGTCCTGAGCTTCGCCAAGACTGTGATGGAGGGACCGTCCACCCCTCAGCCCTGACCCCCTAGGGCTGACCAGAGGCCCATTTCTGCCGCAGACACCATCCAGGCCTCTGACGCCTCCTGAGCTCATTCCCGGAGGCACTCAGGTATCCGCTGAAACCACCGCTCTGCAAGTCCCCACCCGTCCTCTGCATTTGCTGTCTGGGATTCCAAAGGAAATGCCGCCGGCCTCCTAGGACAGCTCTCAAGCCGCCGAGTGGCTTCCTATTGATTGCAAAGCACGCCCATGCTCCTCCATCAGCCACAGAGTTGCACTTCTTCTTCCCCGAGGTATTTCTTCAAACAATGTTTTCAAGAGGGCAGAAGGACCTGGAGCAGGCATGGGAAGCCCTCAGCTTTACTCAGGGAGAGGCTGCCCCCTCCGTTACAGCCCTTGCAGAGTGGACCAGCACTGCGATGAACAATGCCTGGCCCATCCTTGCCCCAGCTGCCCCCAGCCGGGCTGCATTTGCTGCAGTGGGGACTTTGAGGGTGGGGCGCTTGCGTCAAGAAAACAATTCAATATAATTTAAGATGCAACAGAGACACAAATAACATCTCTTTCTCTGTCAAGACTTCGTCTAGGTACTATTTTTGAATGAAGCTGAGGAATTGAAGAAAAACCTGAGAGAAAATTCTGAAATATAATAAAATTGAACTAACATCAAACTACCTTGGAGGCCAGAGAAGTTAATTACATCAACCTAGAGCTGTGCAGTCTGCAGAGACTCGGAGCTAACGTCTATTTTTCCTTCTAGAGCAGATTTCAGGCAGCAAATTCAGCTGGGAATTCTAGTGCAGGATAATAGTTCTTTTTTTTATTGACCAAATTGGGCAAATTAAACAAAAAATGTATTGAGTCACTGCTTTCTGCAGACATTGTGCTTGGTGTTGGGACTGAGATGAATTGAATGTGGCCTCTGTCTTCAGGGATCCCGAGTCCCTGTGGGTGGGACATGAAAGCTGAGGGCCACTGTCAGGGGTGGATCGACACATGTCCAGAGTGAGGGGCCCCAAGGGAGGGAAACTCACTCGCCCTGGGCAAGGGCATCCAGGGGGACTTCCTGGGGGAGGCAGCCGGGCAACTGAGTGAGGAAATCGGACACCCCAGGAGGTGCCCATATGGGAGGGACGGCCACAGCACCATTATGCGCCCAGCACACCTGTCTGCACTTTCCCTTCTTAGCAGATGGCTATTGATTGGTGTCGGAATGGGGAGACACAGGCCAGTGTGAGGGCTGCAGGGTGCAGCTTCGGGGTGCGGCAGCCTCTGTGGGCTGAGCCCCGTGTGGAGGGTGGAGGTCCCTGTGTCAGGACTCCCCGGTGCTGGGGCCGTCACCACTCCCACCCCAACCTCGATGTCTCCCTTGTGAGGGGGGATCAGTTGGACAGAACTGCAAAGCCTCAGGGCCAGCACGGCCTCTGCTTGTAGGACCAGGCTGCTGTGCAGCCTCCTGCAGGCCTGTGCTCCCCAGATGCAGCCTACACAGTGTCTCCTGGGCCCTGTCCTGAGAAGCCCCAAATCCCACCACTCATGTGAGGTTCAGAATTCTGCACGTTCTACACCAATTCTGAGAAATCTTGCCGGAGACTCCTTCCCTGGCAGACCCCTCTAGGGATTCTAGGAAAACCAGTTGATGCCCCTTAGACATTCAAGCAGCAAATGCTCATTGAAAATCTGCCATGTGTCTGGCACAAGTGCCCACACGCACACACACACACACAGATGCAATGTTGTGTCTGAATTGTAGGTATAAAAGTTTGCATATCCACCTGTCTAACCCTTTATCATTCATCCATCTATCATCTTTTTATCATCTATATTTATCTCTTATCTATCTGTTACTCACTGATCTCTGTATCTATCTGTCTATTATCTGTGGATCCATCTACCTCCATCTTTATGTCAGTCTGTATCTGGCTGTGTATCTGTCTATCCGGTGTGTGCAGCTTAATCTGCTATAACTGAAAATGAGAGTGGCCAGAGCTGGTGTGACAAGTGGGGGTCCCCTGAGCTTTCTAGGTTTTAGTTTCTCACTCCACCCTCGATCCCCTAACCATGCTTGCCTTCTTTCCTCTGCCCCCTTACCTTTATGATCACATGATACAGGACAAGACTGCTGAGCTGTAGAGGCAGGGCCTCAGGTACACAACAGAGCAATCAGGAAGCAGGAGCTCCATAAATCCCCCTTGGATGGATGGATGAATAGATCAATGGATGGATGGATGAAAAGATGAATGGGTAGGTGGATGACAGACAGGTGTGTGTGTGGATAATGAATGGATGGATGAAAAGATGGATAGGTGGGTGGATGACAGATGGGTGGGTGGGTAGAGGACAAATGGATGGATGGATGGATGGATGGGTATAGGGATGGAGGGATGGATGGGTAGGTGAAGGGATGAATAGATAGATGGATTGGTGGATGCGTGAATGATGGATGGGTGAAGGGATGGAGGGATGGGCAGGTGGGCAAATGGTGAAGGGATGGATGGAAGAGGATGGCTTCATGGATGGACTGATAAATGGATTGATGGATGGGTAGATGATGGATGAATGGATAGGTGGATGAATAGATGGATGGAGGGATGCATGGATGGATGGATGGATGGAGGGATGGGTGAAAGGGTGGATGATGAATTGATGGATGAGGGAGAGATGGATTGATGGATGGGTGAATGGATGGATTGATTGATGAGTGAATGATGGATGGATGAGTGGAAGATAGATATATGGAGTGGGGATGATGGATTAATGGTTGACTGGATGATGGATGGATGGATGGATTGATGGATGGGTGGATGATGAATGGATTGATAGATGGGTGGATTATGCATGGCTAGCTGCATGGATTGATGGATGAGTAGATGATGGATGGATGAATGGATGGGTGGATGGTGGATGAATGGGTGGATGGATGGGTTGATGGATGGGTGGATAATAGATGAGTTGATGGATGGGTGGACGATGGATGGGAACAGGTATTATGGAGTTTGCCATTGTTGCCCCCCTTTGTTGAGAGGGTTTGAGTGAGAACCAACAGAGCTGCCTGTGCTCTGCGCCCACCAGAATTTTGTCCTGGCTTCCTCAAGGGGCCCCTGCTCCTCCTTGTCCTGAGGAATCTGAGCTGCTTGAATTAGACACTGAGAAAGACACACCAGCATTTTCAGTGTAAAGATTTGGACAATAGGAAGAAAACAAGTGAGTTACAGTTGCCTTTAAAATAAAATTTACTCTGGGAAACAATTTGCTAAAATGACCTCAACATAAACATATTTTTTCTCCAGAAATAAAGCTTAGAATCAAAGGCCCTCAGAGCAATTGGAATAATTGCTTCAATCTTTTCATTTTACAGATGAGAGACAGGTCCAGCAAGGCCAGGAGTGAGCTGAGCAGGGTGGCCATCGGCCATTGGTGTGTGTCCGGGGCTCACATGCCTCCCACACATGCCTGGGCCCTCAGCATCTCACCACTGCTATGAGGAGGACTGGACATCCACCGCAGAGGATGTGCTGGCTCAAATGCATCACCATCAATCCCAATGTGGAGACCCACAGTGGAGGCCCATGGAGGCCTGGCCAGTCCCCTTGGCAACAGAGGAAGTGATGAGAGCCAGTGGGGGCATCCCATGTACCCCTGTTAGAGGAGGGGTATTCCCGAGGCTGATGTTCCTCCTCCAGAGTGATGCCTGCAAAGGCCGCCCTCCTTCTGACACCCACTGCACCGCCTGCACAGGGGAGAACAGCTGGTCTGGCCAGAGCAGGAGAGCAGGTGCACAACCAAGCATGTGGCCTGCCCCTTCCTTTCTCCCTCTGGGCTCAGCCACTGCAGGGCCCCCACAGCTTTTCCAGGGACAGGCTCTTTACCACCACGTGGGACTGCAGGCCCCAGGCAGTTTCATTCCCAGGGAGCCTGCTGAGGGCTGGGACTCACTGTTCCCTGGGTGCAGGGCCTAGGCTGTTTCAGTCCTGGGGAGACTGCTGAGGGCTGGGACTCACTCTTCCCTGGGCTGCTTGTCAAACACATCCGCGCCTTTTCTTCCAGCCCAGCCTCTCTCAGTAACCAAGTCAACGGCTTGTCCCCTAATCGTCTTCTGAACTGAAGGAGGCCACAGGTTAGAAGGGGGCTGGCAGCGGGGGCCATGGGGTGGCCGTCAGGGCTACACAAATGTGCTGTGTCTAAACGCAAGCAAAGGATGCAGCTCCCTCTTGGACCTGGGTGCCACAGTAGCTCCCACTTTCAGTCACAACCGCAGAGATGCTCTGTCTCTACTCCCTCTGCTCTCTCTAGAGGAGACCATGCAGGCATCCTCCTCGGTCCTTCACCCTCAAACTCAGCAGGTTTCCATCCTCCCAACAGGCATCCTCCTCGGTCCTTCACCCTCAAACTCAGCAGGTTTCCATCCTCCCAACAGGCCTCCCTCCTGTGGCTTCTGTGAGGTGCCCCCGCTCTCCTCTCCTTCACCTCAGGCTTCAGGGCAGGTCCCCGCCTCTTCCCAAGGACCCTCTTGGCAGGGACCCTCCTCTGCTCTCCTGCCCACTCCTCTGGAGCATCCCCCAGAAACCCTGGCAGCTGGCACGGGCTGACTGTCCATTGCCCACGTACAGCCCACACGCCCCCCTGGATTCTGGGACGGTCTACCAGGCCGTCAACTCAACACTTCCTCTTGGCTTCCTGTAAGCCTCGCACATCTCACTCTGTAATCCCAGCCTCCTACGGATCCAGGACAAACTGGAAACACATGCAAGACCCAGGAAGTCCACGTCCATGTCTTGGTTTTAAAATTTACAGTCACCGGCAAGAGAAGACGGAATGCATGCGTGGCGGTTGAGAACCTGCATGAAGTGTTGGACTGAAGCACTGGACTGTGACTGCAGTTTTTCCCTCAGCTCGGGGTGCACTGGGCTCCCCTCCCTCTGTCACCCCTGCGTGGCCACCCCCATGAGCCACAGCTGGGCCCATGTTACTCCTAGACACGCAGCCTGCTCCCTAAACCCTGCCCAGCGTCTCGTCCCAGGGAGTCCGAGCAGCCATAGGCAGCCGTGATGTTTCCTCCTGGACGGTGACATTACACTTCGTTTATCTGTAGTTTTTTTCCATTTATCTATAGTTTCCAAGTCCGTTTCTTTCCATGTATCTATAGTTTCTAAGTCAGTTTCTTTCCATTTATCTATAGTTTCTAAGTCAGTTTCCACAATGAGGTTGTAATGTTTAGCAATAATTTTAAGTCACTTTACATTTTTCTAAGGCCAAAACTCAGTGAGAAAGGAAAGAGGCCACCTCATTTGCATCTCTTGGATAGAGAAGAAGCCACAAGAAAAATAAAGGCACCTCAAGAACCTCAGTGACTGGGGGTGTGGGGCCTGGAGTTTCTGTTTAGGAAAATGCAAATGCTAAAAACAAAGCAAAACAAAAACAAAACAGACAGGCATATTAACACCCTTCTAGAATTTTAGAATTTTAGGTGAAAAGTAGTAAACTGGCACGAACATATAACATTGCATGATTATAAGAAGCACGGCTTCCAAAGAAATTTTAACAGTCACAAAACTTCGTGCATGCACCAAAATATACAGCAGCTGAATGAATAAAGCCAAGAGGATCACAAATACAAGATCTGGATCAAAGGAGCGTCAGCGAGAAATTCTGTCTGTTTCGGAATCAAATATATGTCTGAGATAAAAACTAAAACAGACAAAAGAATTGAATTGTGAAATAAATACACTCAATTCAGCAATTAACACAGATTGAACCTTAATCAGAGGCTATCTGGTTGTTTTATTTCATGTTTGGGGATTGTCTTCAAAACCAATCATGTATTTGACAACGAATACCGTAAGTATAAAACTCGGTTGTGATTTTTACAGGCCTTTTT
The DNA here is from genome assembly GCF_000001405.40 of Homo sapiens. Classification (NCBI taxonomy): domain Eukaryota; kingdom Metazoa; phylum Chordata; class Mammalia; order Primates; family Hominidae; genus Homo; species Homo sapiens. The sequence continues at coordinate 49,135,289 of NC_000022.11, read as the reverse complement.
CTCCAATTCTAACCCCCGATACAATTAAAAATAGATAATAAAATGGTGAGCAAAATTGTCAGCCCCATAGAAAAGAAGAATTGATTTGTGGACATCACTTGGCCCAGAACCCAAGACATGCCAGAAGTTTCAAACTCACCACAAAGTGAGGAAGCAAAGCGCTTACTCGCCCGACAGCTCAGAGGAGAACGTCACAGGTGCTGGAGGAAGATGGAGTGTCGCCCTGGTTAAAGTGGAAAACCATACACTTAGGTATTTAATAATAAAGAAAGGCAGTAAAACACCAAATAAAAGACAAAAGGGAGATTCACAAGATGAAAGTTAATTAATTTCAAGACAAAAACAGTCTTAGAAAACATGCATAAACCCAATAATTGTTTCTTTGAACAGATGCATGAATACAGGAATCCTGCTGAACCTGATGAAGGACAAAAAGAAAAAGAAAATCAGGCGTGCAGATGAGAACGTAACTAAAATGACAGACACACGCAATTAAATGGTGAAGCCGGAGTTTCATGCAATCTGCAACTGGCCTGTCCCTGACAGTGTTTCTCATAATTACTGTCACCCTAAGGAGTGTTTTAGGCTCTTTTTCCTAATCGTGATCTCCTTTACTAATTAAGTTTTGAAACCACAAATATGCAGTATCTGATTCATGCATGAGGGTCTCCGCAGTGCCCCAGGCCCCTGTGATGTGTACGATCTGTTGCCCTGGCTTGAAATGCATGATGTAAGTGAAGGCCCACGTATTATATGGTGAAGTATCTTACAGGGGTAAATCAAGCTCACTAACCATGAAAAGACATTTGTATCCTCACGCCTCAACCAGAGCCCCCTCCCTCACAACCCAGAGGAACAGGGTCGAAGCTGGATTGTTGGGGCTCTCAGCGCCCTGTGCCAAGTGTGTTTAGGGGGCCCTGGAGCAGCCCCTCTTCCCGGGCAATGGCCGCCCTCTGCCCTTGCAGTGTTAATGCCCAGTGGGTTCACCTTGCCCGCTGCCTACACCCAGGAATAAACAAAGACAGTTTAAAAGTTAAAAGGAGGCCGGACGTGGTGGCTCACGCTTGTAATCCTAGCACTTTGAGAGGCCGAGGTGGACAGATATCGAGACCATCCTGGCCAACATGGTTAAACCTCGTTTCTACTAAAAATACAAAACTTAGCTGGGCGTGGTGGCAGGCACCTGTAATCCCAGCTACTGGGGAGGCTGAGGCAGGAGAATCACTTGAACCAGGGAGTCGGAGGTTGCAGTAGCTGGGATTGCACCACTGCACTCCAGCCTGGGTGACAGAGCAAGACTCTGTCTCAAAAAAGAAAAAAAAAAAAAGTTAAAAGGAAAATGAAGTCAGTTAGGTCTAATCTATTTCACTAACATAATTTTCTCAATTATAGTTTTTGCAAAGGCGTTTTCAGCAGCTTTCCCAGGCTGTGCACACAGCATCCTAGTCCAGCCTGCAGAGAGGGGACCCATGAGACCATGGAGGCCACAGAAGCAGGAGACTTGCTGGAGGACCCCTGGGGCCCTGGAGAGCAGGCTGGAGGGAAGGAGGAGCTACAGCCACCCAGGTCACATTCCTTGACCTGAGACCACTTTGCCTCACACGGGAGGCTGGAGGAAGGCAGAGCCTGTGAATTGAGGCACTACGCGATGAGAACGGCATGTTTATGGAAATAAAATTTGGACCACAGAGGAAGCAACTGCCCAGCCAACTATAAATCACCAGCATCAGCCCAAGGGGAAGCAGGGGGATGACAAAGTTGGTCCGAGAACATCACTTTCAATAAGGCATCATGACAAACGGTTTCACAGATGAGTTACACTTGACTTCAGAGGCAAGGACATTACAGTGCCGGTGAACAAACACTGTGTCACAGGAAAAGGTAAACGGTGCCTGATCTCACTTTTGGAAGCAAGCGTAACTGGACAAAGCAAGTGTAACTGTAACATCGTACAAAAGAGTAAATTACATTGTAGCCCCAGTGTTGACATGAATGTCAGGAATTCTACGTATCGGGATGGCAAATAGAATATGGAAGTATAACAGAGGAATAGAACAATTGAACAACGTAGTATTTTTTCCAGAAACATAAATGGGATTTAATATCAGGATATTCAACAATCTAATTCATTCCATGGATAAATCAGAGGAAAAATAAAATGATATGAACAGATCCCCAAAAGACATTTTGCTAATTCAGAAAGCAGTCTAATACACACTATACAATATAAGAATACAAAGAGCTGGCTCATGCCTGTAATCCCAGAACTTTGGGAGGCTGAGGTGGGAGGATCATCTGAGGTCAGGAGTTTGAGACCAGCCTGGCCAACATGGTGAAACCCCATCTCTACTAAAAATACAAAAATTAGCCAGGTGTGGTGGCAGGCTCCTGTAGTCCCAGCTATTTGGGAGGCTGAGGCAGGAGAATCCCTTGAGCCCAGGAGGCGGAGGTTGCAGTGAACTGAGGTGGCACCATTGCACTTCAGCCTGGGTGACAGTGCGAGATTCCATCAAAAAAAAAAAAAAAAAAAAAAAAAAAGGAAAGTCCAGGAAAAGAATGGAAAAGAGAAAAAGAGGAAAGGAAAACAGTTGGAACAAACAAAAACGAAAAAGAAATAGTAAGATGGTGGACCTAAAACTAAACACATCAATAGTTATGTTAAATGCAAACGGCTTAAACACACCAATTAAATGATGGACAGTGTCAGAATAGATAAAGAAGCTTGGCCCAGCTGGTCATCATCTATAAGAAACTCACTGTAAATCAAAAGACAGCTAGAGTGGTTATATCAACATCAAACAAGGGAGACCTCAGCGTAAACAACAGTTCTGGGCATGAAGAGGGACATTGCACAGTGATAAGGGGGTTAGTTCACCAGGAAGACATAACGATGCTCAGTGAGTATGTGCCTGATAACATCGCTTCAAAATAAACAGAACTAAAAGAGGAAACAGACAAATTCACAGATAGAATTGGACACATCAACATTTCCCTTCCAGAGACTGGTAGAGCCAGGAGACAGAACGTTGGAAAGACCAAAAGAGGCCCGATAACACCATCGGCTAAGTGGCCCTAACCAGCACTTACGGGACGTGCCGCCCAGCAAGAGCAAACACATGTGCTTTTCAGGTGCACCTGGTGCATTCCTGAGAGGCCATATCCTGGATTATAAAACAAACCTTAACAAACTTTAAAAAACAGAATTCATAAAAAGTGTGACTTTATACCGGTTGTAATGTAATTAAACTGACAATAACAGAAAGTTGACAGGAAAACATCCAAACATTTGGAAATTAAGGAACCCATCTTTCAGGAATCCATGAGTCACGGACACAGCCTCAATGGGAATTAACATATATTCTGACCTGGCTGGGCGAGGTGGCTCACACACGTAATCCCAGCACTTTGGGAGGCCGAGGCGGGAGGATTACTGGAGGTCAGGAGTTCAAGACCAGCCTGGACAACATAGCGAAACCCCATCTCTGCTAAAAATACAAAAAAAAATTAGCCAGGCGTGGTGGTGGGTGCCTGTAATCCCAGCTACTCAGGAGGCTGAGGCAGGAGAGTCGTTTGAGCCTGGGAGGTGGAGGTTGCAGAGAGCTGAGATTGCACCACTGCACTCCAGCCTGGGTGACAGAGCGAGACTCCATCTCAAAAAAACAAAACAAAACAAAATCCTGACCTAAAAAAAAATGAAAATTTGTGATATCCAAATGTATAGAACATAGCTAAAGTGGTGCCAGGAAGGAACATAGAGTATGTTTTCTCTATGTAAAGTGTTCTTCACTCACGGTAGGAAGGAAAAGGGTCTAAAATCAATGACACAAGCTTTAACTTTAAGAAATGAGAAACAGATGAGAGAAAACAAACCAAAATCAAGTGGAAGGAAAATAACAAGAATAAGAGTAAGTTATGTTTCTATATACCAGCAATGAACAACTGAAGTCTGAAATTAATGAAACAATGCCATTTACAATAGCTCAAAAGGAGATTCTTAGGAATCAATCTAATGAAACATACAGAATCTTTGTGGTAAGAATTAGAAAATACAGATAAAAATAATCAAAGAAGACCTCATAAATGAAGAGATATACTGTGTTAATAAGTTGAAAAATTCAGTATAAGAAAATGTCAGTTTCCCCTTAACTTATCCACAGATATAAATTAAGTCATTAAAATTCCAGCAAAAATTTTTTTTGTAGACATAGGGAAGCTGGTTCTAAAATTTACATAGGAAAAAAAAAACCCAAGTAGAATAGGCTAAACAATTTTGAACAAAAAAATGAATTAGGAGGAATGGTACGACCTTATTATTAAGACTTGCTTTGGGCTTCAGTCATGAAGATTGTGTCATATTGGTGAAGAGATAAACATGTAGATCAATGGAACAGAATAGAGAGCCCAGAAATAGATCGACAGAGATGTGACCAATCGATAACAATGGCACAAAGGCATTCGATGGAAAATAATAGTCTTTCAACAAAAGATGTTGGGACAATTGGATGTTCATTTACCAAAAAGTAAACTCTGATCTAAGCTTCACACCTTCTGCCTAAGTTAACCCCAAATACACCGTAGACCTAAATGTGAAAAGTAAAACTAACATTTTTAAAATAAAATATGGGAGAAAAGTTTTGTGACCAGGTTAAACAAAAAGTACTTAGACTCGGCACCAAAAGCGTGATTCCTAAAAGTCAATAAATGAACAATGGAGGCCAGGTGTTGTGGCTCACGCCTGTAATCCCAGGACTTTGGGAGGCTGAGACGGGCAGATCCCAAGGTCAAGAGATTGAGACCATCCTGGACAACATGGTGAAACCCCGTCTCTACTAAAAATACAAGAATTAGCCGGGCGTGGTGGCACTCAACTGTAATCCCAGCTACTCGTAAGGCTGAGGCAGGAGAATCACTTGAACCCGGGATGCAGAAGTTACAGTGAGCCAAGATCATGCCACTGCACTCCAACATGGTGACAGAGCGAGACTCTGTCTCAAATATATATGTATAATAAATACAAATAAAAATAAGAAAAAATGGAAAATTATCAATATTAATAGCTATTGCTTTTTCAAAGATGCAGTTAAGTGGGTGAAAAGACAAGTTACAGACCGGGAGAAGATATTTGCAAACCACATATCTGACAAATACTTGTGTCCAGAATACATAAAAAAAGCTGGAAGCTCAACAGTAAGAAAACAAACAACACAATTTAAAAATGGGCAAAACACTTGACCAGAAACTTCAGCAAAGCAGGTATGCAGGTGGCACAAAAGCACCTGACAAGACGTTCGACATAATTGGGCATTAGGTAAGTGCTAGTTAAGCCAGGTTGAGGTACCACAGCGCGTGGTGCGCACGGCTAACATGGAAACCACTGGTTCTCAGTGCTCAAGGATATGCCTAGAATCACCATGTGGGGCTGCTGAGAGGGCGACATGGGATAGCCATGTGGTTAGGCTGTGCAAAAGTAATTGCGGTTTTTGCCATTAAAGGTCCTTCCTTCCACAGGGTGCGGTGGCTCACACCTGTAATCTAGCACTTTGGGAGGCTGAGGTGGGCAGATCACAAGGTCAGGAGTTCAAGACCAGCCTGGCCAAGTTGGTGAAACCCCATCTCTACTAAAAATACAAAAACTAGCTAGGCATGGTGGTGGGCACCTGTAATCCCAGCTACTTGGGAGGCTGAGGCAGAGAATTGCTTGAACCCGGGAAGCGGAGGTTGCAGTGAGCCAAGATTGCGCCGTAGCACTCCAGCCTGGGCGACAGGGCGAGTCTCTGTCTCAAAAAAAAAAAAAAAAAAAAAAAAAAAAAAAAAAAAAAAAGCCTTCTTTCCTTCCTTCCTTCCTTCCTCCCTCCCTCTTTCTTTCTTTCTTTCTTTCTTTCTTTCTTTCTTTCTTTCTTTCTTTCTTTCTTTCTTTCTTTCTTTCTTTTTCTTCTTTCTTTCTTTCTTTCTTTCTTCCTTTCTTTTTGTTCAGATTATTTTTATTTTATAAAATGAAATGTTGCCATTAAAAGTACTTTTAATGCAAAAACCACAATTACTTTTTCACCAACCTAGTAAAAATCAGTTTGCAGTTTCTTAGAAAGTTAAACAGACATGTGCCCCTCGATACCTCTTTCGAGTGTTTATCCAAAAGAGATGAAATGCATATTCATATAAAAATGTGCATAATGCTTATGGAAGCTCTATCCATAGCCCGATACCGGCAACAATCCAAATGCCTGTCACCAAGGGAATTGATGAACTGTAATCCATACTCAGGGATACCCTGATGGAACGCGGTGGAACCCACACACTGGCATCATGCAATGCATGCCACTCAGCTGGAATGACAGGTGCGATATCGATACAGACAACGACTTGGAATAATTCAAAAGAATTATGCTGAGTGAAAGAAACCAGCCTTGAAAGCTTACATATCCTAAACTTCTCTTTGTATGACACTCTTGAGAAGGATGATGATGGTGGCGAGAATGGATTAGGGAGCGAGGAGGGCGTAACTATGAAGGGTGATGTCAGGGAGACGTTCGTGGCGACGGAAGGGCTTCCCTGCATCCTGATGGTCTGGTTGCTTAAGACTCATAACCGTACATACATGTTCTAAAATCCATTCTACTGCATTTTAATTCAAAAATACATAAAAGTACCAGCCAACAAACTTTATAAAATAACAATGGTCGGAATAAATGGAAAGAAAGAGCATGTTTTTCTACAGAATAATTTAATATCATATAATTAAATAAGTTGATATTTACTTAAAATATTAATAACCAAAAAAGTAGTGTATAAATAAAGAAATAGAATTGAATGAAAATCAAAGTAATATGAAGAAAATAAGATAGAAATCAATGAACTTGCAAATGAAGACCAACTGAGTTGCGTGGTGGCTCTTTGAGAAGAGCGATGGAATTACAAATTCCCATGAAGACTGGGCAAGGAAACAAGGCTAAACCACAGTACAGACTATTTTTTTTTTTGAGTCTCGCTCTGTTGCCCAGGCTGGTGTGCAGTGGTGCGATCTCAGATCACTGCAACCTCTGCCTCCCAGGTTCAAGCAATTCTGCTGCCTCAGCCTCTGGAGTAGCTGGGATTATTACAGACGCCCACCACCACGCCTGGCTAATTATTTTTTTTTGTATTTTTAATAGAGATGGGGTTTTGCCATGTTGGCAAGGCTGGTCTCGAACTCCTGTCCTCAGGTGATCCACCCGCTTCAGCCTCCCAAAGTGCTGGGATTATAGGTGTGAGCCACCACGCCCAGCCCACAGTACACATTTTTAGGAATGAAAAGGGTCATAGCTTTAGAAGCAGCCAAAATTAAAAAGATAACACAATAATGTGAATCATTTCACATGAATAACATTTAAAATTAGGTTGAATAGATAAATCACAGGAAAGACAACAGATCTGACTGAAGCAGAGGTGAAAAAAATAATAGTAATGGGTCAATTCTCCATTGATGAAATTGAATCAGAGATAAAAATTCTTTTCATAAAGAAAGCACAAGACTCAGCTTTTTAAAAGGCAAGTTTGACCAAACATTTATGGAACAAAAGACACACGTGTCATCCTATGCACAGTGACTGTTCCCAGCTCATTTTAAGGGACTAAGGCACCTAGAGAGTTGATCTGGTTTGGCTGTGTCCTCACCCACATCTCATGTTGAATTGTAGTCCCACAGTTTCCACGTGTTGTGGGAGGGACCTGGTGGGAGATAATTGAATCATAGGGGCCATTTCCCCCATGCTGTTCTCATTGAGTAAGTTTCATGAGGTCTGATGGTTTTATAAGGGGAAAGCCCTTTCACTTGCTTCTCATTCTGTCTTGCCTGCCACCATGTAAGATGTGCCTTTCACCTTCTGCATGATTGTGAGGCCTCCCTAGCCGCATGGAACTGCGAGTCCATTAAATCCCTTTTTCTTTTTGTTTTATTTTATTATTTTTTATGGTACTTTAAGTCCTGGGATACATGTGCAGAATGTGCAGGTTTGTTACATAGGCATACACGTGCCATGGTGGTTTGCTGTACCCATCAGCCCATCATCTAGGTTTTAAGCCCCACATGTATTACGTATTTCTCCTAATGCTCTCCCTCCCCTTGTCCCCCAACAGGCCCCAGTGTGTGATGTTCCCCCCTCCCTGTGTCCCTATGTTCTCACTGTTCAACTCCCACTTATGAGTGAGAACATGTGAAACCTCTTTTTGTTTATAAATTACCCAGTCTCGGGTATGTCTTTTTCAGCAGTGTGAAAACAGACTGATACAATAGTAGAATAGCATTAATGTCAAAGAAGACACTTCCATTATGAAAAAGGTATAAAAGGGACAATCTCATCCATAAATACAGACACACAGATCTCAGTAATAGCAAAAGGATTGCAACAACATGGAGAAAGAAATCTCTCTTGCCACCGAGTTGAGTTTACCCCAGGAATGAGAGGGCGGCTTAACAATAGAAATCAGTTTATGTATTTCTCCATAGTAAGAAATTAAAGGAGCAAAATCATATGATTTCCCGAATGGATTCACTTAAATTACCTGATAACATTCAACATTTGAATAATAAAAGATATAATATTTACAATAAGGTCAAAAAACGTAAAGTGCAAGTAATCAATCAAAGACAAAGTATAGAACACATTTTTGTGGAAAATCACAAAAGTCTCAGACAAAATTAAATAAGGCCTGACATTTTGTAGAGATGTAGTCTATGTGTGAACTGCACATTTATTTTTATTTTATTTTATTTTATTTTGAGACGGAGTCTTGCTCTGTTTCCCAGGCTGGAGTGCAATGGCATGATCTCAGCTCACTGCAACCTCTGCCTCCTGGCTTCAAGCAACTCTCCTGCCTCAGCTTCCCGAGTAGCTGGGATTACAGGTGCCCACCACCACGTCTGCCTGATTGTGTTTTTAGTAGAGATGGGGTTTCACTGTGTTGGCCAGGCTGGTCTCAAACCCCTGACCTCAGGTGATCTGACTGCCTCAGCCTCCCAAAATGCTGGGATTACAGGCGTGAGCCGCTGCGCCTGGCCATATATATATATATATATATATATATATATATATATATATATATAATTTTTTTAAAGACATTGACTCCCTTCAAGATAAATGAGAAAATCAGTAAAATTCTAATAGAGGGAAATTAATTCAATTCTAGTAAAAATCCCATCTTTTCTTTTTCTTTGTTTTTCTCTCCCTCTCTCCTTTCCTCCTTTCCTTTGGTCCTTTTTTTCTTCTTCCTTTATTTTTAATTTTTCTTTTTTGATAAGAAGCATTGAACTAACTACTGCATTTAAAATGGGACAGAAGTCAGGCGTGGTAGCTCACGCCTGTAATCCCAGCACTTTGGGAGGCCAAGGCAGCTGGATCACCTCAGGTCAGGAGTTCGAGACCAGCCTGGCCAACATGGAGAAACCCTGTCTCTACTAAAAATACAAAAATTAGCTGGGAGTGGTGGTGCATGCCTGTAATCCCAGCTACTCAGAAGGCTGAGGCAGGAGAATCGCTTGAACCTGGGAGGCAGAGGCTGCAGTGAGCCAAGATCGCACCACTGCACTCCAGCCTAGGTGACAGAGGGAGACTCTGTCTCAAAAATAAAATATAAAATAAAATAAAATAAAATAAAATAAAATAAAATAAAATAGGACAGATTGAGACTGGAAACAGAATTGTGTACCATAGCTTAATAAAAGAAAGAAGTAGAATTGTCACTTAGATGTTTGAATAAATGGTGCTGGTTATTCTCAGTGTAAAAAATGAAATTTGATCCCAATTTCCACCATATACAAAAATTAATTCAACTTGGATTAAAGGCTAAGATGTGAAAGATAAAGTCACAAGTTTTGTAAGTCAATACAGGAAAATATTTTAATGCCTGTGGGATGGGGAGAGATTTCTTAAACAAGACACAAGAAGTACAAACTAGGACACAATACACTGATGATTTTAACTACATTAAAATTGAGAAACACTGTTCTGCAACCGTGGGGAAACTGAAAAAAGTATGTTGCAAAGGGGGACAGAATAATTGCAAAACACATGATTGACAGTAGATTTGTACCAAGAAAGTGCAAACATTCCACATACCAGAAAGAAAAAGAAAAGAAAGTTCAGTACAAAAATGTCATTCGGGCATTAGCTGGTGCAACTGGACACATTCGTGTCCTATAATCCAGCATTTCCACCTGTTAGTCTATACTCTAGAAGATCTCGTATGTGCAACTAGAGACATGTACAAGAATGTACACAGCAGTGTGTTTCATGGGACCAAAAAAGCTGAAATCAATGTCCACACCCAGCAACAGCAGAAAGAATAAGTTGTTTCCCGGAAACACGGCGCTTGCTCTGACATGAAGCAGCCTCAAGGTCTCTCTGACTTTCCTCCCGACTCCCAGGATCTTCTGTCTCTCCTGAAGCACAGGATGAGGCTGTTGCCTGAAGTTCCCTTATCTACCTACAAACAGGACCTGCCAAAGGGAAACACAACAGCCTGAGTGTTCATGACCTTGACTCATGTTACAGAAAGACTGACTTTTGTCAACACACCTGATCTGGGGCCCAACAGACTTTGTTCAAGACCGGTGTATGCTCTCCAAGCCCATTGAATCTCCCTAAAAATCATCTATCTTCCCTCTCTCTTTCATCTATGGAGGAAGGTGCATCACCTTCTGAGTAATCATTCTCCTGCAATTCCCCTGTGCTATGGACATTACAATAAATTTCGTAGGTGTTTTTTCCTACTACTCTGCATTTTGCCAGTTGATTTTCAGGGTCCTTTCAGAGGACAAAGGATAAGTTTTCCCTTGGTCTCTACAGAGTCATGTATAGCACCTCCATAAAATATAATATTGAAGTAAAATTTAATGTATTTTAGCTACAAATATCAAACATTGATGATTCTCAAAAATGTGTTAGTGTTATTTGGGGGAAAAACAAGTCATAGAAAAATACACTCAGTATGATTTCATTTATATGAAGTTCAAAACAAGCCAAATGTAAATAATATATTATTTAGGGATAGGAGTTACAGGTGTCAAACAATTTTGTGTAAAAAAAAAAAAAGGAGATGATTAACCCAAAATTTAGGATTGTTTTTCTTTCAGGAAAAAAGCAGCAGCTTGTGACCATGGAGGGAAAAAGTGCTGGGAAAAGCCCTCATCTGTGGCCAGGGGAGGCACGGGGATGGAATGGATGGCACTGAAGGGTGGACAGGATGCCTGGTACTGTAGTATGGACGGGATGGATGGCACTGGGGTGTGTATGGGATGGATGGAACTGGGGTGTGGACGGGATGGATTGCACTGGGGTGTGGATGGGATGGATGGAACTGGAGTGTGGACGAGATGGATGGAACTGGAGTGTGGACGAGAAGGATGGAACTGGAATGTGGACGAAGGGATGGAACTGGAGTGTGGGCGGGATGGATTGCACTGGGGTGTGGACGGAATGGACAGAACTGGATTGTGGAAGGGATGGATTGCACTGGAGTGTGGACGGAATGGATGGAACTGGAGTGCAGATGGGATGGATGGAACTGGAATGTGGACGAATGGATGGAACTGGAGTGTGGACAGGATGGATTGCACTGGGGTGTGGATGGGATGGATGGAACTGGGGTGTGGACGGGATGGATGGAACTGGAGTGTGGACAGCATGGATGGCACTGGAGCCTTACCCTGGATGATGAGGAACCTGAGCAGATACAGAGGGTGAACGGATATTGAAGGTGGGGGATACACTCATTGAGCAGGGCTCTTGCTAAACCTGGATTTCGTAAAGAAATGCCCACATAGGCCTAGGAGAAGGTTCAGGAGCATGGCTAACAATGGGGGAAGCAAAGAATTTTCATCACTGCACCTGCTGGTGGATGTTGAGCCATGGTCACTGAAAGGAAGAAGGCACTGAAAATACCATGGGCAGCCAGATGGAGGCTGGTTTTTGGAGTGGAAGCTGGCAGGTGACACTTACCTTGACTGAGAGTGTCTGGAAGACAAAGCCTGGGTGTTACCGCCTCATCCCCTGTCCCTGTGCCAAGCTGAGCCTGACCACAGTTGCCTTTGGTGAATATTATTTAATAAACCCTCTTGAGAAAGTCCTCTCTGAACTCAGTCCACTTTCCTTCCATTTGCCCCCACAAATAGGCGATTCTGCCTGCTTACTTCACGGCCTCCATGTATCCATTCAGGATGTAGAGCTTAGTACTTCCAGAAAAGCAATTTCAGAATAGATCAGGATAAAGATGACAGCCTTGACACTTGGCCTGAGATGATAAAAGAGAAGACGACGAGAGAAAGCAAGAGTGGAAACCTCTAGAAATTGAATTAATGGTTCTGTTTGCAGCATTGGTCAGGTTTTTCAAAAAAAAAATGATGACATATTTCAAACATGTAAAAGAGTACCAAGAAAAAAATAACAAGTACTTCCATGTCCACCACTACATTCAACATGCCAACATTTAGTCATATTTGTATCCAAATCTTCCTAGGAAAGCTCTTTTTAAAGAGTGAGTAACTATGGCAAAGTTGGCTTGCATTCACCAACTCTTGAGTTTTATACTGTGCTACATGTCTATAACAATTTATAGTATATTATAGTGCTTTACATTTCAAAAATCAGTCATAACCTCCTCGGAACTTTGTTTTTTCATTCAACATTATAGGTGTTTATTTAATCATTTATTTTAATAGTGTATGAGTCTGTTCTTGCACTGCTATAAAGAAAGACCTGAGGCTAGGTAATTTATAAAGAAAAGAGGTTTAATGAACTCACAGTTCCACAGGCTGTACAGGGAGCATGGCTGGGGAGCCTCAGGAAACTTACAATCATGGCAGAAGGCAAAGGGGAAGCAAGCACATCTTCACATGGTGACAGGAGAGAGAGACAGAGAGAGAGAGAGAGAGAGAGACAAGGGGGAAGTGCTACACACTTTCAAACAACCAGACCTTGTGAGAACTCACTCGCTATCATAAGAACAGCAAGGGAGAAGTCAGCCCCTATGATCCAGTCAACTTCCACCCAGTCCCTCCTCCAACCCTGCGGATTACAATTCTAGATGAGATTTGGGTGGGGACACTGAGCCAAATCCTATGAAATAGTGATACACAGCATCCCATTATATCAGTATACAGTCTTTAATTTACCCATTCTCTTAGGTTTTCTTTCTCAGTTTTTAAATCACCATCATTTTTGTAAACAGGAATTTTTTTGTAAACAAGAATAAATATTCTTGCATGTGTGTCCTTAGGAGAGTGTTTTAGGTTAGTAGCCTTTAAGTATCTTGTTTTTCTTTTCCCAAAAGAGCTTTGGAAAGTGATGAAACCTCACAGTTTCCAAGGTGAAATCCAAACTTGTCATGTATTTCATAATTTCCTACAAGGAGTATCTAACAAAAATATGTAAGACGTTTACACTAAACAGTACAAAATACTGTGAAAGAAATTAAGAAAGATTTAAGTAAATGGAGAAGTATGACATGTTCATGGATTGGAAGATCAAATGTTGGGAAAACGCAACTTCTTCCCTTCATTAGTCCATGGCTCATAGTCAACTCATCCCTGTCAGAATTCAGGCAACATGTCTGTGTGGAAACTGAGCAAACTCATTCTAAAACTTATGTGGATATGCAAAAGCCAAGAGCAGCCAAAGCAACATAGAAGAGGCAGGTGTTTGAAGGCTCTGTGACCACCTCCTGGTCTGGTGATTTGCTGGAAGGACTAAGCCAGCTCAACATAAATCATGGTAAAGGTTGACTCCAGTAACAGGAGTCAGGAACTGGACAGGAGTCCAGTAACAGGAACTGCAGGAAAATGACAGGCTTGGGCGGAAGCTAGAGAGACCCTGGGCAGGTTTCTCAGCCCTCCCTCAGCCAGGGCCACGCTTTTCCCCGCAGCTGAGAACCACAGGCGCCCGTGTGAGATGCCTCCATCCCAGGAAACCCCTGCAGCAGTGGGACCCAGAGGTCTTCAAGGGCCCCATCATGAAACTTCAAGGCTGGCTGTGGTTCCAACCCCAGCCCAGGCCCTGTGCACAACATAAGTCTTAATGTTTATATTAGATAGTCTGACAGCCGAGTCCATCTTGACTGAGAACATTCCAGAATTTTAATTCTTGGAGTATGAATGAGAGTTATCAGTAAGGCTGTGAAGATTAACCCAGAACTAAGTAAAGCAGATTGGCTATTGTAAAAGGAAAATCTTGGGGCCCCAAAATTACTATGCTAAGGGAAAAGTCAAGCTGAGAACTTGACAATCCTGCCTCCCATTCTATTCCAAGCATCCTTCTGCTCACTGAGATAGATGCATATTCTGATTGCCTCCTCGGGAGAGGCTTAGTAGAAACTCAAAAGAATGCAGCCATCTGTCTGTCACCTACCTGTGACGTGGAAGCCCCCTCTCTGCGTGGAGTTGTCCCCACCTTTCTGGGTGGGACCAATGCACTTCTTGCATATATTGACTGATGTCTCATGTCTCCTTAAAATGTATAAAACCAAGCTGTGCCCTGACCACCTTGGGCATGTGTTGTCAGGACCTCCTGAGTCTGTGTCATGGGCACGCACCCTCCACCTTGGCAAAATAAACTTTCTAAATTAACTGAGACTTGTCTCAGATATTCTGAATCCACACTGTTCTAACCACCTTCTCTGATATCCAGGCCTACAAGGAAAGTGTGGTATGGAAGAAAGGGCGTGCTGAGGTAAGGCAGGAAGGACATGTTGATGCCCTAATAGGTGGAAAGCTTGGAGCAGGTCCACGTCTGTAGGATCAGACCCATGCCCAGGGTGACAATGCATTGCAACAGGGAATCTGGATGCAGAGGCAATTGACTATTCATACTGAAAGTAAGCTCTCTCACACCATGAACAAAAATCACTTCCAGAAGAAATGCAGAAGAAAAAACATGTCCATGAATTGAACTAGGTGACGATTCCTTACAGGGAATACAAAGGCTTGAGCCACATATGAGAAGATATTGAACTATGTAAAGACAAATAACGCCTGTGCATCACCTACAAATAAAAGGATACCCACAGAGCAAAGATGTCTGTGATACAAATATCCAACAAAGGCCTCCTAACCAGGATCTATATTTTTTAAATCAACATCTTACACATTGGTAAATGCCACGTAACCTGATAGACAAATGGGGCAAGGACTTGAACAGGTGCTTTCTGAAGGAGGGAACCCAAATGTCCGTAGACACATGGACAGGGGTTCATCAGTCACCAGGAAAGACAAAGGACACCCAATACGACACCCCTGCACAGGCATCAAAGTGACAAACACACAAAGTGGCTGTTGTGCCTCCTCGCCCTCCTTCCTGGAATGTTTCTCCAG
This sequence comes from Homo sapiens, assembly GCF_000001405.40. Taxonomy (NCBI): domain Eukaryota; kingdom Metazoa; phylum Chordata; class Mammalia; order Primates; family Hominidae; genus Homo; species Homo sapiens. Next base: position 49,119,952 of record NC_000022.11, on the reverse strand, counting down.
CAGCTCTACAGAGCCCAGGCAGTTCCTCTCACGCTGTGCACACCAGGGAGCTGCCTGGCACTGAAGCCAGTGTGATTCCTGGAAGAAACCCACGCCTTCTCTCCAGTGATTGCTCCAGGAATCTGCTCATGGGACAGATTAGGACACGCTCCCTGTCAGACCTAGATTCTCTGAGCAACACAGGACGGTGTGTCGCAACCCGCGGGGCTTGGTTCTCAGGACAGGCTCCTTCCCCTGGGAAAGCAGACGCAGTTCCTGAGCGTGGCCCCCGCAGGCAGATGCTCTCCAGGACTAAGGAATTCCAGGGCTGCAGCCCAGGCCTCCAGGGAGCAAAGAGACACACAGCAATTTCCAGTGCACCGCAGGCCGCTGAAAGCGGGCTTGGCTGAGTTTCTCATTTCATCTCTTGTTTAAAATTGTCAATGACAAAAGATAGACTGCTTTTCACTCTCCTTTCCTGCTGAGCACAATGAAAACCCCTGGGCATTTTAACAAAGCAAACTTGGGAAGACCCCAAAAGGTGGAAAGGGAAAGGCAGCCTGGCTGAGTGTCTCAGGAGCTGGACTGACTGGGTGGGAGCCCCCTGTGGCTTCTTCCTGTCTCAGGTAACCAGGCTGGGAGCCTAAGAAGCCAGCAGCCCAGAGAGCAGCCCACCGCACACCTAGGCCATAAGACACAGCCCACTGCACACCTAGGCCGTAAGACACAGCCCACCGCACACCTAGGCCGTAAGACACAGCCCACCGCACACCTAGGCCATAAGACACAGCCCACCGCACACCTAGGCTGTATGACACACCCCACTGTACACCTAGGCCGTATGACACAGCCCACCACACACCTAGGCCGTATGACACACCCCACCGCACACCTAGGCCATAAGACACGGCCCACCGCACACCTAGGCCGTAAGACACGGCCCACCCCACACCTAGGCCGTATGACACGGCCCACCGCACACCTAGGCCGTATGACATGGCCCACCGCACACCTAGGCCCTAAGACATGGCCCACTGCACACCTAGGCCCTAAGACATGGCCCACTGCATACCTAGGCAGATGTGCTTCTGTGAGCCCCAGGAAATGGTGGGGAGCGAGCATCTTTGGCTCCGTAGAAGAAGCCCTTCCCAATGTTCAGTGTGTGCACACCTGGGGCCGCAGCTGCAAAGGTGAGCACCTCCCACGGGACACACAGAAGCTCAGCAAAGCCTCCAGTTGGGGGCTCTGTGTGGGGAAAGGACTTGAGACTTCTGAGTCCGATTCAAACCGAAGGTGCCCGTCCTCTGTGCCAGGGATCAAGGGAATTCCAGCTCAAATCACCCACAAGAGATCATACCATAGGCCCACGAACGAGGCTGGTTTTGCTCAGATCCCTGCAGTAATTGTCCTTTGTTCTTCTGGGGCATCTCACGGGCTGTGCACAACTCCAGCGCCAGGGTCCCCCAGCTTAGGCAATATTTGAGAAACTAATTGAAAAACCTACGTACACGGCATCTCCGTGAATTTTCATTTTCACCCCTGCTTATCGGAGGTGAGGACTCGGGGCGCAGAGCCTCTCTGCATTTATTACGGAGTCTCGGCGAGGAGGACGGTTTCAAGGTCAGGGAGAGCCCGATCTCCAATGATTGCCGCTGCCAACCAATCTCCGGGCCCCACATTCCCAATCGGGAGCTCTCTCAAGCATGAACTATCAAATTATTGTCAATTCCGGCTGATTTTCTAACAGACAATGGAAAATCTTCGGTGGACTTCATATGTGATTTCTACCCGCTTTCTTACTTATTCAACAGTAACAGTGAAAGGTCACGGGCCTGGCATATGCAGTTAGCTCTTTGCTGTTTATTGAGTTTTTATGCTTGGTTTAAAACTGAATTACTGGGGCAGAAAGTGAAAATGCATTTATGCCCTTCAGGAAAATCTCTACATAAAAATTAAATTATATTATGAAACGCAGAGAGAGCCATGTGGGACGCTCAGAAGAATTGATTAGGAGATCAAAGCGCCTGGTGAGGCTGTGTGATAATTACTCGGCCTTGTCACCCTGTGTGTGTTTTTGTTATTTGGAGTCTTCACCGGGGGCCTCCTCTTTCCCATCTTCCCGGGGATGCATTCCCTGTGGGTGCCCAGAGGGGCTGGCGACCTGCTGGAGGGGTTGGCACACAGGGCATTGTTAATTATGGGATCAGACCAGGCGAGGCAGCCAAAGAGACTCCAGGGAGAGCCCCTGGCCCCATCAGGCAGCTGTTTTTCCATTTACCGACCAGAGCCCTGCCCAGGAGCTCAGAAAAATACAACACCTAGGCCCTGCCCCTGGAGACTCCAATTCCAAAGGTCTGGGGAGGGCGCTTGGGTCAGGCAGTGCCCAGAGGTAATGCTGGTGATGTCAGACGGACACTGAAGAACCCTGGGGACTGGGCAGGCTCTTAGGGACATGTGGCTGCAGTGCCAGGGCCCAGGTAGGCTGCACAACCCCCTGAGGCCAGCATCCAGGAACAGGTAAATAAGGTCAGAAGTCATTTTATCATAAGCTCATGTTTCAGAGTGGAATACAGACCTCACACGGCCTTGAAGGTAAGAGGAAGTGAGCTTTCTCCCTGAGGATGTCTGGGCAGGGATAAGGTGAAGGCCTCCAGCCCCAGCCCCTGCCTCAGCCCCGACCCCTGCCCCTGCCCCTGGCTTTTCCCCAGCCCCGACCCCTGCCCCTGCCCCAACACCTGCTCCAGCCCCAGCCCCTGCCCCTACCCCTGGCCCTGCCCCTGCCCCTGCCCCTGCCCCTGCCCCTGCCTGCACAAGGTCATTAGCTTCCAAAGGGCCTCTCAGATGCGAACACCCTACAGGCCTGCAGGCATTTTCAAAAAGCTTTTCTTAGGCTTCCCCACTTCAGCACATACTTGGGAACCCTCTGTCTGTAGGGACCCTGAGCATCTCCACCAACCCAGAAGGAAGGAGCTGCCTTCCTCTGTGGATGCCGGGGGCCGAATGCTCGGACCTGCCACCTCCACTTGTGGTTTCCGTGGCCCGAGCGCAGAGCCTGAATGATCCAGGGGACATGGGCCCATATTTCCACGCATCGTCACTGGCCTCCTGCTCCACAAGGCACGGAGCTGGCGGGCTCCTCCCCCTCCCAGCACATGGAGGGGCCCCTGGTCCCCTTCTCAAGTCCTCTTCCACAGTCCCATGAGCAAAGTGGGCAAGAGCCCCTGTCCGTAGCTGTGGGGGCAAGAAATAGCATCTGGAGGGCCTAGCCCCCGTGTGTCGGCCCCGGGGACCACAGGAAATAGCATCTCCAGGGCCTAGCCCCCCTGTGCCGGCCCCAGCGACCATGAGAGGAGTGGCTGACGCTCAGAACCTTCTTCTTCCCTGGGTTGTTTGGTCTTAAGTTTTGTGTCCCTATAACTTTAATCTGTGTTGCGTAAATCTAAATAGGACGCCAAACATCATGCCAGGGCCATGGGTGCTTAAGACACCTGAATTTAAAACGTGCATCGAGGTAAGGTCGTTTACAGAAACACATTAGCAAGGGGCAGTCCCGCGGCAGGCAGTGAGAGGAGCGAGAGGAGGCCGGTGACCCTCGCGTTCAGCAGCCATGCTTTGGGAAACAGGATTTGCCCAGCCTTCTCATTTTATGAATAAAACCAGGCCCGAGAGGAGCGGCCTGAGGCATTGGTCCTGTCCTCCTGCAGACAACAGTTTGGAGACACAGCTACTTCCCGTGTCCTGACCGGGCCGCCCGCAGCCTACACAGCAGGGCACGCACACGGGAGGGGAAATTTGCTGAGTCCACGCACATATGTGCCGTGCCGCCTCCAGTTGCTCTTCTGAAATGTGAATGACTGTCAGCGATCTAACACCACTGGCCAGGCCGCCCACTGAGACACCATCTATCGGGCTGGGCCTTGGCCTCCTTCCTTGGCCAGTGAGACCCAACACCAGAGAGAAACCAAATTGCAGGACTTTGCTTTTCCCTCTAAGAAAAGCTGCTGTTTCCCAGTAACAGGATGACTCTAAAGGTGAAGCTCTTTCTTAGCGGACAGAAGACGTTGCTCACTCCCTCGGGGACAGCTGTACAACAGGATTCCACCACCCACGAAGCACGTGAACTCCGTGAGGCTGGCTCGCTCCTGGGGCCTTCGATCGAGGGGGAATATCTCACCCCTTGCCTGGCATATTAACCGATCTCCGCCTGGCCTTTCCGAGGAGTTTATGACTTGGAAACGACTGTGGTGTACTGACTTTGCATTCATGAAATTAAAGCAGGGCTGTCTGGCTAGGGCTGAGAATTAGTTATGCAGAAGGGTTTATTCCAAGCTTCTTAGAGGTTTACAGGTGACTAACTCCTCACCTGTAACTGGCAGACTTGTTGCAGCAAAAGACAGGTATTAACACCTTGGACAGATTCGGATTTAAATCCTGGCATAGCAAGGATTCACCAGACATTCAAGACAACACCAGTACAGACGGGAAAACAGGTATTCACGTGTGCAGAGTTCTGGCTCATACGCTGCCCCAGAGCTAGGATGATCATCAGTGTTGACAACGATGACAGTGATGACAGTGATGGTGATGACATCATTTCTGCAGGTCCCGATGTCACTGGTTGGAAGATGTACGCATTTGCCCATGGCTTCTTGCCCATTAAAGCATTATTAAAGCTGGCCTTGCCTTTCTTGTTGAAACTCAGACACACTCAACTGTGATTTACACTCATGTATTTTGATTTTTTTTTTCCTGAGATGGAGTCTCTCACTGTCACCCAGACTTGAGTGCAATGGCGCGATCTCGGCTCACTGCAACCTCCACCTCCCAGGTTCAAGTGATTCTCCTGCCTCAGCCTCTGGAGTAGCTGGGATTACAGGGGCCCACCACCACGCCTGGCGAATTTTTTTTTTTTGTATTTTTATTAGAGACGGGGTTTCACTACGTTGGCCAGGCTGGTCTTGAACTCCTGACCTCGTGATCCACCCGCCTCAGCCTCCCAAAGTGTTGGGATTACAGGCATGAGCCACTGCGCCTGGCCTACACTCATTTATTTTAAGTAAAAATTAGCATGATTTGATAGCAAAGTCAGACCATGTCAGTGCATAAAAGGAAAGAACTGAGGGCTGATATCTCTCATGAACTTCGATGTGAAAATCTTCAACAAAACATTAGCAAATTGAATCCAACGACATATAGAATTACGCACCGAGGCTAAGCAAAATTTCTTCCAGGTGTGCAAGGGTGGTCCAATGTTCAAAAATAAATCAGTGGGGCCACCACATCAGCAAACTGAAGAGACATCCCGCAAGGACACCCACCGATGCAGAGAAAGCACCCGATAAGATGCAACAGCCGCGTTTATGATGAAAGCTTTTGTCAGGTTAGGAATACAGGGGAATTGACTTGACAAAGTGCACCTGTAAAAATCCTACAGCGAACACAGTGAGAAACATGGGAACTTCTCGCTTCCCCCCGAGACTGGGAAGGAGGCGAGCTGGTTTTTCCTCACCACGTTATCCTAGAAGCTGTGACAAGTGCAACAAGGTAAGAAAAATAAATAAAATTTAAAAACCGCGGAATTACAGGAAGAGTCTCAAATGAAATGCTGCTACCTGGCCTTTCCCTAATGCTCCCATCCATCGCTGGGTCCCCTGCTGTGAGTTCCAGGGGGCAGCTTGTGGGGCAGTGGCTCCTGACTGGAGAATGAGGAGGTTTAGGGATAAAGGGAGTCCTAAATGTGGCACACTCAATCTGCTGAAATCACCACTGAAGGCTAATTTTTCATCCTGGGGTTTGGCGTCAGCCTGCAGGTGTGAGCATCGAGCTGCAGCCTGTCCTAGAGTGGTCCCTGTCCCTGGAGTCCCGCCTGCATCTCAGGGTGTGTGCCAGGGCCTTGGGCATTTCCCTGGATGGAGCCTGGGGCGGGGTTGGCCAGACAAAGCTGGTGGGACAATCTGGTGTCTTTATCTAGTGGACAGCAGGCTACTGCCGCGCTGGCTTCACCTTGAAGGGGCCGTGGGACGCAGACACATGGAGAAGAATAGCATCTGGACAGACACGTGGGTCAGGAGCGGACAGAGAGTAAGGGCCGGTCACTGCCAGTTGTCAGGAAGAACAGAGTCAGCCCTGTCGCAAACTCTTCAGCAGGTGTGTGTGTGTGTGTGCACTGGTGTGTGTGTGAGCGTGAGTGTGTGGGCTGTAGCCTGTGTTTGCATGTGAGAGCATGTGTGGGTGTGATTGCGTGTGAATGTGCGTTAGCATATGTGAGCGCTGTGAGGTACATGTGTGTTCCCTGTGTGTGTGTGTGAGTGTGTGGAGCAAGCATGTGTAAAGTATACACACAGCAGCAGGAGGGTGGCCACCCAGCACCCTTCTCTGCTGAAGGGACCCCGTGCCAGGTGGCTGCTGAGACATCACCAGTGCCAGCCCTAGTGTGAGCCACTCGCCCCAGGCCTGGGTAGCTGAGGCCCCTGTGGTTCTGTGGAGGGCAGGGACAGGGCAAATGTGACCACAGAGGCAAATGTGACCAGTCCAGCCCAGGAGACCTACAGCTGGGGCCAGAGAGACACAGACCCCAACCACTGGGCCCAGTCCATTTGGGCAGAAGCCTGGTGACAGGCGGATTCCCCCAGCGCACGCACAAAGCACGGGGCTGGCTTGAAGGCCCATGTGGCCCAACACCATTTTGGACCAGTTCTGTCCCTCTTCTAGAACATTCTGCTGGTTCCCTGGACCCAGAAATTTCATACCCAAACATCTTCCCTGAGGATGTCCCACCTTCCCACTGCCACCTCCACCTAGATGTTCACCAGGAGGCGTAAGCAGGAGTGCCCAAACCAGCCCCTGACCCCACAGAACCACAACACCTGCAGCACTACGTCTAGAATAACACCTGTGTTCTTCCTCTCCAGGGACCAGAACCTTCCAGCCATCTCACCTCCTCTTCTGGCCACACCACACTCTCATCAGTGCTTGCAGACCTGCCTGTGAAATGCACCCAGGGTCTGACCCTTCTCCCCGCCCCACTGCCCTGCCCTGGCTCAAGCCCCCTCGGGGCTCCGGACTGTATGGCTGCAGTGGGTTCCACCCTGCTGCGGCCCCTTCAGAAACCAGCCACACCCTCCTCTGCTCAGCACCCTCCCAGGCCTCCGTTTCTCACTGCTCCCAGGGCGGAGCAGAAGCGCCAGCCCTCCCCTTGACCCTGCTCAGCCCTGCTTGCTGGAGCTCCCTCACCTTGGTCCTCTCAGTCCTCCTCCTCCTCCTTCCTTCCCAATCCCCCTCCCCAGCTGAGCAGCCTTCTCAGTGTCCCCGGCCCCACCCGGCACTCCCTCCTTCAAGGTTCGAGCTCCCTTCTCATCCTCTTCAGTTTTAGGCCAAATGCACCTTTTCAATCGCTCCCCCCAACCCCATCAAAGACTCCAGCTCAGCCTGCTCTGTTCTCCTGAGAACCTTATGACCATCAGCTGTTTGGTGTGTCACTTTATCAAATGCTTGTTGGACATATGTCCTGTCTGTTTCCACCAGAATCCAAGCTCCTTAAGGGCAGGGATTGTTGTGGGTTTGTTCACGACCGGATCCTCAGCGCCTGGAAAGGTGATGGGCGCGGAGCGCACACTCGTGACACGTGCCGGGTGAGCAAACATTTGCAAGCGCGACTCGCCATCCTCCTCCCGTGGCCGGGTATAGTCATGTGCCTTGACGTAAATAACTCAATCCCCAGCACCTGAAGAGCATTTTCTTCTCTTTAAAGATTTCAGTGTCTTCCATATTTCTAAAACAAAAACAAAAACAACCTCCATCTAAAAAGTTTGCTATGAAGCTGAGGGCAGCGGCGCATACCTGTAGTCCCAGCTACTCAGGAGCCTGGGGCGGGAGGGTCTCTGGAGTCCAGGATTTGGAGGCTGTAGCGCGCTGTGATCACACCTGGGAACAGCCACTGCACTCCAGCCTGGACAACAGTAAGCCTCTGTTTCTAGAAAGAGAAAAATGTTGTTGTTAGTGTCTTTTTTCTTTTTTTTTTTTGAGATGGAGTCTTGCGTCCCTGTGTCACCCAGGCCGGAGTGCGATGGTGCGATCTTGGCTCACTGCAACCTCTGCCTCCTGGGTTCAAGCAATTCTCCTGCCCCAGCCTTCTGAGTAGCTGGGATTACAGTCACCCACCATCACGCCTAGCAAATTTTTGTATTTTTGTAGAGATGGGGTTTCACCATGTTGGCCAGGATGGTCTCGAACTCCTGACCTCAGGTGATCTGCCCACCTTGGTTTCCCAAAGTGCTGGAATTACAGGTGTGAGCCACTGTGGCTGGCCTGTTGTTAGTCTCTTTTGAGAGCTACCTCGGACCAGGGTGACAAGAATGGCTCTGGACTGGATAATTTCTCTCTGGAGGTGTTTGGTGTTTATTCCCTTTGACTGTGGCAGCGGACTTTAATTATGCCAGCATTAACCCTCGTGTCAAGAAGGGAAGAATGAAGAAGCACTCAGGCACCATCCTCCCCAACCTTTCAAAAGGCAGTTAATCTCTGCGTGAGCCGACACTTCCAAACAAGCCTGAAATTAGTGGACATCAATTGTGCCGAAAACAAGGGGAGATTGTTTGCGACTCGGGCCTGTTTGCTTTAAAATTCACTTTGGTTCCCTGTCAAACACGCTGCGCGGGGTGTGAGCCAGGCCTGAGTCTTTGAAGGACTGGCTGTCGTGCCGGGTTCCAAACCATTGACTTTGTCAGCTAGTGACTTGCAGAGGACCTGAACGCACGGGGCCCCTGGTGTCTTTCTTACCCTCTCTGAGACATAACAGGATGCCAAAATCGCCAGGTTCAAAATGGTGCTTCCAATTATTTTCTCTTCTATAGTCTTCGATGTGCTATTGAAGTCTATCTGCTCATCGATCCCCTCTCTCCACTTTCAACATTTCCTAATTGCCTCATCAAAACTCCTCGACGATTCATTTTATGATTTATTTAGTCACCAGGCTCTGCTTGTGTAGGTCTGATGCATGAGGGATACCTGCGCGCCTGGGCACTGCGGAGGGGAGAGGGAGGAAGGAATAAGAGAGATAAATGCAGCCTGAACTGAGTCCAGAGACCAGTGAGGAAGGAGCAACACCCACGTGTAAAACTCAGAGTTGTAAAAGGTGAGTCACCCGGACCTGGGCTCGAACCAAGGCCTGTAGCGGACATGTGGGGGATCCTACAGTCTCCCTCCCCACTGGGAGCCCAACAAGCTGTGTAGGTGAAATTGGCCGTGTTCATCCAGGTATCACAGAGCCCTGGTTGGCCCAAATCTGTGTAACTGGGTTTGGGTGAAGAACTATTACATAGCCCTGGGAGTTTCTGGGAGAGAGAAAGATAGCAGACGAAACTTTATGAAAGTTGAGCTGCTGGATCAAACCAGTCCTGAAGTTGTTTATCCTGCCTGCATATTTTACTTATTGAAGATAATACATTCCCAGATTGTCAGGTTTTTTTCAAGATTTTAGTAAATTGAAATCAGGAGCCCTAACAGGTACACTGATAATCCTGGGAGAATTGAAGAGTCAGGAGCCCTAACAGGTACACTGATAATCCTGGGAGACTTGAGGAGTCAGGAGCGCTAACAGGTACACTGATAATCCCAGGAGACTTGAGGAGTCAGGAGCCCTAACAGGTACACTGATAATCCCAGGAGAGTCGTTTTCCCTCTTTGAACCACAGCAGTCCCATCTTAAACTTGGAAATGAAACCTGCTTTGCAGCTTTGGTACAACAGTTACGGAGGAGGTGGTGTGAATTTCTCAGTGACATCTGGTGCACTGCACTTGATGAATGGAACCAACTCTAGTGATTAAAGGTTCCCTTTACCCCAGTGATGAGTTCCTGAAATGTTTCACATGTCATGGTTTCTATGTAGTTTTTAAAAATTGGTCAGTCAAATTTTGTCTGCACCACCTCAAGGGAACTAATCTTTATTAAAATGTACTTAAAGGGAGGGTACTATACAGATTACACACAGGTGTGGGCACACAAGCATCTTGTTCCACACAGTCTGTTTTTATTTACTTACTTGTTCTGCATTGCCCTCCATCCTCGCCACCCAGTGTCAGGAAACCATGTTACTGTTTTAACACACATCTTTAGTTTATTTAAGGGCTCTTGCTAAAATATGTGTTGTTGTTTTCCGTATGTGTATTTTATATTTGTAATAATCAGCTTATCTAAAGCTCATGCTTGCAACACTGCCTTTGAGATCTGTGTGCTCCATTAAGTCCTGTAAGACCTTTCCCCTGCAAGATATCTGAGGAAGTGCCTGTCCGCTCTGCAGGGAGAGGTGGTCCAGGTGCTCCGGGGCTACAGGGGTGGGGAAGGGATGCCACAGCTCCCAGGACCACAGAGTCCATTCCTGCCAGCAGTCCAAGTGTCCTCCCACCTCTGTCCTCAGCACCACCCACATCACCTAGCTCTATGGCACCTGCCAGGTGAGTGGGACCCTGGAGAAGTCCCTGGAGACATCACTCCCATTTCTCCCGTAATGAACATGCATCTGGTGTTGGCTTCCTCTCCCTTACAAAGCCTTTTTACATCGCTTCCCCCCTTTCTCCATTTAAGCTCCTATTTTTATAAGTTTTCTTTTTCTTTCTCTAGCTATGGATTGTGTATTTATTCCAGATTTTGCAAATAACCTCCCCCAACTTGCCACCTGCCTGGCGGATTTGTCCACAGTGACCTTGGCTGAACCACCTCATCCTTCACTGTCCAGCAAACGGACTCAGAGCACAGCACAGGGCTCCGGGGCGCTCGGACGTGATGGGATGGGTCCCTCACCTAGCAGGTTCTAAAAGCCTGGGTGAATGGATCAAACAGGCCTTGGCTGAGCCCACCCACTGCAGCCGATCCCCATGGGGGACCCGCTCTGCCGCTGGAGCCCCGATGGCGCTGAAAGCCTGAAACGCTGGTGTTGCCCTGACTGGCTCTCCCGTCCAGCTCCTGGCCGGCCTCTGACGCTGACCTGAGTCTGGGAGCACAGTGTTCCCACCCAGGCATCCCGACAGCATGTCCAGCTTGAGTTCGCCCTGCCCAGGTGTCCTGTCTACCTCTGCTGCATTCCCTCCATCTCTGCCCAGTGGTAACAGCGCCACGCCTTGCCATGCCTGGGCAGTGCCTGAGGGCAAAGGAAAAATATGATCTCTGCCTGAAAATCCCAACAGATCCTCCAACAGACCCACATGGACAGCACAGAGGCACAGGGGCAGCTGCAGATAACCACTGTACAGACTCTCCAGAAGCAAAGGGAGGTCCTTTGGTGGGAGGCACAGGTGCAAGTGAGAGAAAGGAGGCCACGCCAGCACCACCTGCAATGCGGAAAGACAGAGGCTGGCAGTGGGTGCGAGAGAAGGACTGTGGGGGCCGGGTTGGGGTCCCAGCCAGCGTGAGGGTGACGTGGCCCTCGCCCCCCTCCATCTGCACACAGGTGATCTGCATGGAGAGGCGCTGAAGCTGAATGAGACAATTCGGTTCTTCATCCTCCTTAGGCCTGTGAGAGACTGGATCTGGGGAGTGAGGATGGTGAGTCTTGGCTGAGCCGGTGCTGACGCCTCGCCTGTCAGTCAAAGGAGGTTGCGCAGCCCCCAGCTCTGCTGAGGGAGGAGGAGCCATTGCCCATGGAGGCGACTGGCCTCGTTCCACGCCCCTCGTGTGAGCTCCAGGAATCAGGTGCGTCATACTTGCTTGTGGGTGAGGGTTGCAGGGCAGGACCCTCACACCCTGCAATTGAGGCAACAGCTCTCGTACACGGGCTCCGTGGGATGACTGGAAAGAGGCCCACAGGCAGAGGCACAAGGAACTGTGCAGGGCCCCGAGGTGGCTTCCACCAACACCTGCCAAGGCAGGGCTGGCACCACTTGGGTGCTGCATTGCACAGGGCATCCTAGGCTCTGGGCATAGGGGCTGCAGCAGGGACAGAGCAGCCAAGACCCTTACCAGGGGAGCTTCATCCCAATGGAGAAAGGATGTAAGATGCGCATCCCTGCAGCATGTGTCCAGTGGCGACCCCTGCATTGTGGAAAAGAATAGAGCCCAGGACAAGCCGAGTGAGGATGCAGGCAGCCTCCAGCATGAGCAGAGGCCTGGCAGGTGCGGGAGGAAGCTGTGTCAGAGGAAGACCGAGGCAGAAGGGCACAGAACCCAGAGAGGCCATGGATTTTATTCTGGGACCTATGAGGCACCCTCGGGGGTGGGGGACAGGGAGCTGGGACCTCACTTGTGTTTTAGAACAATCCCTCTCCCCTGTTGGGGAGGGAGGACTCCTCGAGGCAGGCAGGCTGGGGTGGGTGCACCTGGCCTGTCCAGGAGAGGGACATCGGGGGCTGCAATGAGGGGTAGAGGCTGAACTTGACAGGAATTACTGGAGGAGTGCGGGTGAGGTGGGAAAGAGAGAAAGTGGAGCAAAAATTCGGAGACTGAGCCTGGACAGGGGGCAGGGCTTGGAGGATGGAGGTGGCTTTAACCCACGGGGTTTAGGGCAGAATTCAGACCGGATAAACAGTGTTCCAGAGAGTCAAGCTGCATTTCTTTGTCTAAAAAATCAAGATTTGTTTGTTGAAGGATGCACGTGTGTCTACACAGTTAAGATACTTCAAGGCTGTTACGCTCAGGATCATTAGAAGCAGAAAGGGCATGTGTAATAACATTCTGAATTGAGAAAAAAAAACAGCTGGTGAGGTATCCAAGCAATGACAGTCACTCCAGGAAATGTTCTTGTTGGATCTAATTCTTGCACCTAGGAGTTCTCAGTGACCTGGTTTCTTGGGAAGATGGATGAATTTTCTTATCTTAAACCCTGGGCCAGCCCAGACAGACGTTCCCTAACATGCCCAGCACTAAACAGGGCCTCGCCACCCTGACTCCATGGAAAGGCTGCTTGAGAAAGAAGGCTCAGTGGCTGTTTCCAGGCTGAACAGGAGCCCAGTGTCTCCAGGAGGGTCCCAAGGGCTCCCTCGTTCTGTAGGGGATTCCCCTCTTCAGGGCCCAGGGCTGCCATCCTGGAACCTCTGCAGCTGCCTGACCCGTCCCAGAGGCATGTGAGGGAGAAAGGGTGGGAGGCAGGCCCAGGGCAAAGCTACACAGGCCACCTGCGGAGGGGAGAGGCCTGATCTACTGGGACCCCTGTAGCGCCAAGTTTGGAACTTGCCCCTTTAAGAAGAAAATGACTGTCACAGAAGACTTCAGGAGGATCCTGAAAATCTTCCAGGGGCTCGAGCTCTCCCAGCCCAGCAGGATCCCTCATGGGACCCATCAGCTCTAGCACCTCCTGCCCCAGCCCACCATCCTCCCACCAGGGACTGCAGCTGGCTCAAGGGCTTGGCCCTTTGGCCATGGACAAACCTGGCCAAATACCGTGGGTCTGCCGGGTTGCCTCCCAAGTCATGCCAAGCCCCAGGGTGAGGTGTGTTGACCTACTGATGTAGTTCAGCTCTCAGGCTTTAACCCCTTGGCATTTGGCAAACAAAGAGCCGGACAGAAAGCCTGGGCTTCCTCCAGAGGTCCATGGTAAGAGGAACACAGTTTGGTTCTGAGAATGTAGCCCCAGGGAGCTGGCCTGAAGAGCCCGGCCATGCAGGCCCTGGCAGAGTTAATGAGCATCCGCCACGGCTCCCTGCCTGTGCTGAAGGCTCCTCACTTCTCAGCAGTAGCAGCAGATGCCTGGGAAGGAATGTCAGGGTCCAGAGAGCTTGATGGCCTAGACTCAGGCTTACAGCGACTCAGGGCTCAGAGCTCGGCGCCTTCCAAGGTCCCTGTCCTGCACTCAGGACATTAAACAGAGGCCGCTCCTCTCTGGAAATCAGGGAAGAAGAGTGTCTGGGTAGGCTGACTGCTGGTGCTGGGAGGAAGGAGGGCAATCAGCAGCCCCTGCTCAGGACGGAAGCTCTACCAACCTGGTTCATTGCCCGACAGTAGATGCAAAAGCTCAGAAAGTGCCAGGTGCAGGTGTGTAAATATCAGGGACATTGTTCAGTGCAATTTAACAAGCCTTAATTAAGTGTCTCTCTGCAGACATCCCACTAATCACCGGGTTAAAAAGATGACCAAGGCCCTGCCCCACCATTAAGGTGAGCAGAATCTGTCATCAGCCTTCTCATCATGGTGAGAGTTAATATGTATTTACAATGAGCTTTCTCTAAACTTAAGAGATGCCTGACTGATGCTCCTAGGGGAGGCAGATGAGGGAAGCTTACTGGGGACCAAGTTTCCTGCCTCCCTTCCCCACTGTGCTCTTTGTACATGGGCATGGGAGGTGTCACCTGTACTTCCCTCTCCCACCCCAGGCTGCAAGGGCAGAGGAGGACGTGAGCTCAGTGGTCTCCTGAACTTGTGCCTTCAAGGTGAGCAATGCCTGATGACAGCTCCCCTCCCCTTCCTTCGACCATTCCCCTTTCCTGTGGTCCCAACAGTTCCTCCCAGGGTGCTGCACCGAGTCCTGTGCCCAGAAAGCCGAAGACCGGTGGCTTCGTGCAAAGGTTAAACTGTGAGACCACCATGTCCTGCTGTCAGGACCCCCACCCCTTGGGAGTTTACTTAGGACCCCAGAGCTTCTTAAGGAGATATTTATCCTCTTTGATATTTTAATAAAGAATGTCTTTTGTTACTCAGTGTTTCTTTAACATTATTTCCTCAACAATCTGCTGATTTTTCACTAGGGTCCCACACTTTCCCAACGACTTGCTGTATTGACTCCTCAGATTTTTCAATTGAGTAACTGATGAATTAATAATCCCAAATAATAGATGGCATTACGGAGCGTTAATGCACCTCTATGGCATAAATGAAAGGCAGTGTCTACTCAGGGAAGGGGAGAGGTCTCCAAGCTTATTAATTTAGCAGTCTAAATGCGAGTCAGAATTTCAGCCTGAATAAATATCAGGAGTTTGTTTAGGTCCCTGAGGTGTTTGAAAAAGTCCGCTCCCGAAAGGCTGGCTTCAAAGCTTTTAACCTCAGCTTAATTACCATCCGGCTCACTACCATTTGACTTCCATTAATCCAGATTTGTAGCAATTTTCCTGCTGTCATTCATCCAGGTTAAGTGAGTTGTATTTCTTAATAATTGTGTCCTAGTGATATCAATGCAGATAAAAGAGATATGATGTTAGCTGGGACCCATTCTGTTATAACCAGGCTTTCCCCAGACACTCCTTCTTCTGGGTCCCTGGACATCATTCCAACATTGTATCACTTTAAAAACAGAGCTTTGCGTAGAACTAAATAACCACACACACTCACACTCACATGCACACACCCACACTCAATCACACACATGAACACACACACATTCACACACATATACACACAGTCACGCACTCACACAGGCATACAGACATGCACACACACACACGCACACACACTCAGGCACATGCACGCACATCCATGCACACACACACACACATACACACACTCATCCACGCTTTCACAAGTGCAAGCGAATCTGGGGAAATCTGGTTAAGATCAGTGGATTTTGTCAATACTGACATCCTGGATGTGAGGCTGCTATATTACGACCACTGAGGGAAAGAGGGGGAGCCCCTGGGATCTATCTGCATTACTGATCACAAATACCTGTTGATCTACTATTACCTCAAAATGAAACATTTAATTAAAAAATGTTGGTCCTCACACCCAGAACCGTGATCCTGATGAACCCATTGCCTTATAAATTTCCCTTGGAATTCTTCCAAAAGTAATTTCAATAGGTCCTTTGAAGTATAAAGATACATATATATATATACACATATACATATATTTTATGTTTATATTTATATTTTACATAAAATATATATAGAAAGATTTGCATTGTAGCTTTTACTCATTTATTTCTGCATGACGTTGTACAAAAGTAACCAAACAAAAGTCTCTGTTCTTTGAGACATTCCAGGTGACTGGAAAATACTTATTGAAGTTTTTTTCTGAACAGTATGTATTCCATATGTAAAAGGAATTCCTGGATCTGTACTCAAATTCAAGTTGGCATTTCTGTTCATTTGCATTAGAAGAGGGGTTGGCAAACTCTAGCTCTCAGACCACATCCAGCCATGGCTGCCTTGTAAGGGCTGTTTTCCTGGGACACAGCCCCACACATCTGCTTCTGTATGGCTCTGGTTGCCTTGAGCGACAGAGGAGGAGGAGTTGCTATGGAAACCCTCATGGACTGAGCAGCAGAACGTATTTACCATCTGACTCTTCTTAGAAAAAGTCTGTGGATCCCTGCATTAGAACATCAACTCCTACCAGCCTTCTGAAAACGCCCTTTTATAGATTTCCTAATGTTCCGAATAGACGAGACTTTAGCACCTTAGGTTTACCCCCTACCAGTGCAATACAGGATGTGGGGAGGGGCTGAGCTCCCTCACTGCTCATCTGCTCAACATCTGCTGCCGATGCCACCTGGAGCAGGTGCAGAGCCCGGCGCTCACTGCCCCGAGCCTGCTCCATCTCGTCCTCTGAACCTCCGAGCGTCTGGGCTTCTACACCTGCCTTGGAGGCCTACGTCTCAATCAGGGACTTAGAGGGTGCATGACAGCACAGAAAGGAAGAAGGGAGCAAAACAAAACAACGCTTTCCACTCAAAATGTGGTTTTGTCTCCAAATTCTAAAATACACAAAGAAAACTAATTTTGAGAAAGACGATAAACAAAGAATAAAAAATCAACCCATTAATAGACTGTAGCTGAACGTTTTTGACAGATATTTCAAATAAGTGCATTGGCGATGTTTAAAGAGATGAATGAATGCATAACTTCCACTTAAAAATGACAAACGAAATAGGAATTTTATGAAAAAGTTTCAATTAGGAAATGTTAGAAAAGGAATATAGACAGGAATGTGAAGTTCCACAGGTCAGATAAGCATAGTCCCATATGGTCCCACAAGTAAAATAGTGAATCGAGAGATTCAATGGATGCTTTCCCCTAAGAGGGCATTGAAATAGTAAAGAAAATAGTGCTGAGAGAACTGGAGGAGAAGATCATGGGAGGGATGACGGAGAAGCGGTGGCAGAGCCAATGACTGAGAGCTGTGTAGTAGAGACAGGTTTTCTCCATGTTGGTCAGGCTGGTCTCACACTCTCGACCTCAGGTGATCTGCCTGCCTCGGCCTCCCAAAGTGCTGGGATTACAGGCATGAGCCACCGCGCCTGGCTGTGACCTCATTTTTACTTGGCCTCCTCGGTAAAGATTCTATCTTTGAATAAGGTCACGTTCTGCGGTGCTGGGGGTTATTACTCCAACATTTGAATTTGAGGGAACATAACTCAACCATGACGGTGACCAAGACCATAATCCCAGGTGGGAGGAGTCCCGGGTGGGAGGAGTCCCGGGTGGGAGGAGTCCGTGCCCACAGGCGCTGGCACTATTTGCCGACACGGACAGCATGCCAGCCCAGCGTCCTGGAGCACTAAGGTGCCGGTTAGCGGGCTTATCTCCCGGCCTTGGAGATCCAGACGCCTTCATCGAGGGCCTCACGCTCCTCTGAGTGCCCTTTCTATCCCAGACGCCTTCATCGAGGGCCTCACGCTCCTCTGAGTGCCCTTTCTATCCCAGACCCCTTCATCGAGGGCCTCATGCTCCTCTGAGTGCCCTTTCTATCCCAGATGCCTTCTGGTTGGTCCCATCACTCCAGAGGCAAACACAGTTAGCACCTGTGAAGGTGAGTGGTTCAGGACTAAAGAGTGAAAATGCCATCTGGGAAACTCGATTTTTGGTGGAATTGAGGTTTTTGGCTATGATCGTGGTTCCTGACTGCCCAAGTGATTGGATCAGCCGTGAGGATAATCAAATCCGGGAAGGTGTGTGTCAGCCAGGCCCTCCGCCTTGCTGCCAGGGCTGCGGGCTCCTCAAGGTCTCAGGAATAACAGGGCCCCTGTGCCTGTCTCCTCTGCAGGGTGAGGCCCTCAGCCCAGAGGGTGTGGACTGGCCTGGTGGGCGCAGGGCAGCAGGACACTGTGGTTCGGAACCTGCAGCATCTGCCTGGCCCCCTCAGGTGGGCAGAAATGGCTGCTGCTTCCCTTGGGTCAGGGAGGAAGCTAGCAGGACAGAAGCCATCCCCACTGCCTGAAAACCCTTTTCCTGACCTGCTGAAGGCAGAGACCTAGGCTTGATTTTAAATGATGCAATTAAAAATTCCACCTCTGAAACACGGTAATTGTAATCTGTCTCATCTCTAAGTGTAATTACATTAAACTCCAATTTTCCCTCAAATATGCATTCCAATTCAATTTTCCTTTTTTTCTCTTCTTAACTAAATCTATTATCATTCCCTCAGTTAAATTATGCTCATTTAATCTTTGATGAGGCCTTTTGCTGGCAATCAGTTGTTTTAAATTAATGCCCCCAAGTCTTGGGGAGTGTTGGGGCTCAGCTCCCCGAGCCTCTAGGGGAGTGAAGAGGGTGCGGAAGCTGTGATTCCTGGGTCTCTGCCTGGGGGGGCTTCCTCCTGCACCTCCTGCCTGTGGGGTCCCCACCAACCGCGTGTTCCCTGGGGAGGAGAAGACAGCCTGTGAACAAGACGGGGACTCCCCTGGGGTTAGACCTGCAGGGGGACGGAGCCCACCCCAGCCTTCCAGTTACCCCAGTGGAGAGGCCCAAAGCACATCACCTTCCCCGACCACCTGGAAAACGGTCAACCTCTACAGACCCCCTGCAGCCTGGGGTCCCTCAGAGGCAGACCTCCCTCAAAGGAAACATAATTCTTGCAGAATCCTAGTGTTGGCCTCAATAATTCTCATTAGAACACCATTTGTTAGGCTTAAATCCCTTCGGTTTATAGCTTTTCTGCAGCCACTAAGTCGAACTAATGTATGAATTAAATGCAAAAATAATCAGCTGAGTAAAACAAAAGCCGTCCCGTCCTAGTCACGCCCTTAGCTTAGAGACTGGCAGGGTTTGAGCGAAAGGAATTGTTTCCAGGGCGGGACGCGGTCTGGGGCTGCTCTTGGCTCCACTGCCCTGAGTAGGATGCCAACCCACTCCTTCCTTGCCGGGTGCTTCTGCTGAGAAGGTGTGTGCTGCAACTGGGGGTCCCTGGCTCCCGCACCTCCTCCTTCGTGCATTGGCGCCTCAGCTTGTGAGTTTCCTGCTGGTCCCAGCTTAACCACAGCCCCGGTACGCGGAGGCCTTCAGACACCGGGGCTCTCTGGGGGATGAAAAACGGTTTAACACAGACATATGAGGGCCTCCTGAGCCCCTCAGCACCTGCTCCCCTTCTGCAGGGGTGTCCAGAAAAGGAGGGGATACAGGTGCATTGGGGGCTGCTGCCTGTCTAGGCACCTCCCACAGGACATGGGGCAACTCCCATTCCAGCATTAAGTGGTTGGGTCCAATCTGCCCCCTTGTCCGGGAGGAGACTGGTCCCAGTTCTCGGGAACTTACCCAGTGCCCTCCCGTGTTACAGGCAGGCAGCCTGGAGTTCAGGCCGCCTGTTCCCAGTCACTCAGGCTTGCAGCTGGGTTCCGGCCTCCCTGGCCGTGGATTGTCTGCTCTCAGGGCAGTGTGAGGGCTCAGATGCCTGCAGTCCCATGGACGCAGCTCAGTGGGGACTTACTGGGTGACCCGCAAGAAACAGGGGGAACAGGGACGCAGAGGCAGACCCAGATGATTCCTCTAGCCTCAGCTTCCCTGACCACAGATAGGATCTCCTGAGAGTGACCATGCCCAGCACCATGCTCAGCACGGCAGACCCCTGATGAGTTCATTCATTCATTCAGTCATTCAGTCACTCATTTCTTCACTCCCAGCTCACTCAAGGGAGCCAAATACCACAACATTACTTCCAGGCTCTTTACCATCCAAGTGTTGCTAATGTAGATTCCATTGTGTCAGAATCTAAGGATTTATTTAAGATAGGCTAACGTTTCTTCTTGCTACTTCTATAAACACAGAAGAATCACAGCAGGGTCTGGAGAATCTGACACCCTTCCAGGGAGAATTCGGGTCTCTGCAGCCTCACTGGTGGCTCCTCACAACCTGCCTGGTGACCTGTGTGCCTCGCTCAGCAGCTCTGCCGTTTAGAGCTGTGGCCAAGGCACACCTCGAGGGCTTGCATGGGCCACCATGCTGTCCCTGCATCCCTCTGTTCCTGAACCTCCACACTCCCACAGCCTCCAGGAGGACTGGACTCACCCTAGCCTTGCAGATGACAAAGGATTAATGTGTTTTCCCCCCCATTAGCCACCACAGGCTAATATGGGGGAAATGCCAGAGAGCAAATATGCACCACCCAGTTGGACAGGGATGCTGGGAACAGCAGCGAGTGTGAGTCACCGCAGGGCACGCGAGAGTGGCCCAGCATGTCCGCTGCCTGAGTGTGAGTCACCGCAGGGTACGCGAGAGTGGCCCAGCATGTCCGCTGCCCGAGGAGCTGCAGGTGCTCAGCCTCACCCATGCCCCTTCCTGGAGGAGCCTCAGACATCCAGGAGGGAAGGCTCTGGGGCAGGCCAGAAACTCAAGGTTCAGGTGGATGTTCCTCTTCAGTTTTCCTCTTAAAGCCTTCATGATGTGATAAGGCTCACCCAACTGCTCAGGGGTGATCTCCTTTACGGAAAGGCAACTGATTGTGGGTGTTGAGCAATCTACAAAATACCTTCACAGCAGCGTCCCAGGATGCCGGACACCACAGCCCAGCGAGGTGGACGTGAGACTCGCCACCTGGGTCCACCGCCTGTCAGCCCGACACCATGCACCTCTATATACGTCTCCCTAAAACATACCTAATTCTGGCCGGGTGCGGTGGTTCACACCTGTAATCCCAGTACTTTGGGAGGCTGAGGTGGGTGGATCACAAGGTCAGGAAATGGAGATCATCCTGGCTAACACAGTGAAACCCCGTCTCTACTAAAAAAATACAAAAAAATTTGCCGGGCGTGTAGTTCCAGCTACTTGGGAGGCTGAGGCAGGAGAATGGTGTGAACCCGGTAGGCGGAGCTTGCAGTGAGCTGAGATAGCACCACTGTACTCCAGCCTGGGTGACAGAGCGAGACTCCATCTCAAAAAATAAATAAATAAAAAATAAAAAAAGTATCTAATTCCCAAACAAAGACGATCCCCTAACATCATAAAAGCATTCTGTGTGCTCCTGAAAACACACTAACCCTTTCCCAGAAGAGCTCTGGGTGGTGTTTCCTCTTCTCCATGACATCCTGCAGCACAAATGCTGTGATATAAAGTAACAATGCTTAGAAACTACGCTCTGAAGTCAATACATCTTATGTAACACCATAAGGGGAGAAGAGAGGGAAGAACAGATTTGCTTTGTGTGTGTGGTTATGTATTCATACACAAAAACACATTAATAATAAATAAGAATATTTATAATTTACCATGATGACAATTACAGTCCTTGCTTCTGTGATGGGCCCGGAGGGCACCCCTGGAGCTCACAGCCGCCTTCTTCTCTCCCATACAATGCTCCCTTTCCCCTCGGCAGTCACGTCAGTTGGTCCTGCTTCTTTATCTGGTGGGGAGACCCAAACCTTCATTCCTGAAGGGTCTGGGCCATTCGTAGTCCTGTCTGGATTGGGTTGTTGTAATTTCCCATGGCAGTATTAGGAGACACCCTGCGGGATCTCCTGTTTGTAGACACACTCTTTCTTACGTCCCCATGGAGCAGCGGTCAATTTCCCCTTGATAATCTGGACTGATACCCGCAGCCAGGATGGAAATTCCCTTCTTAGCCTGTTGACTCAGAGACATGAGGAGTCCAATGCGGCCAGGCAGCAGGCTGAACTTCCAGGACAATAATATCATTGTTGTGTCTCCTGGTGGAAGCACTTCTCCCTCTGGAGTAAGACTTCTAGGCCAGCAGAGTATAAAGTCATGGGAACAGAAAGCAAAAAAATTTGCTAGTAGGTCACTAGGGGTGATGGCGAGTGGCGCGCTTCCATTTCCACCCCTTGGTTCCTGGACCCGTGAGTCCTGGCTACGGGAGAGACAGCAGCACATGCTGGACACTGATTCAGAACATGCGCAGCCCAGGAGACCTCTCCCAGCCCCCGGAGGTACCATCACCATCAAAAGGCCATTCCCTGGCTCTATCCAGCCCACTGCTCCAGGCTGGAGCATGGTAAGAGCAGGGAATTCCATGAGCAGGGAGGGACCCATGGCTGCTCTTTGGCTGTGAAGTGAGTGCCTTGACCAGGAGCAATGTCCTGTGGAAAAGGCGTCCTCCAAGTCCAGAGACGGCGGCACTCCCAGTGAAGCTGCCCTGGACTTCAGCTCACGCTCCCACACACACAGCGTCCTCAGGCAGAGAGCTCTTTCTGCTCAGCTCCCAGGACCCATGGACATGACCTCACAGGCTTCTGTGATGGGCTGCATCCAGCCGGCAGGCTCCTGAACACAACGGGGCGCTCAGACCTGAACGCTCTCATGGAGGCCATTTCCTACCTGAAGGGAATAGCAGGGCCATGGCCTGGTTGGAGAAAGAAGAAATTAAGCGTGGCGGGAACCTCATGAACCCATTAACACGTTAGAAGACAACAGACGATTTAGGAAAAAGGACAAAATTCAGCAGCGGAGCCTGCCTGTTCCTGCTGTGGTGCGTTTTGTTCCTGGAACTTGGTGCTGAGTCCACGGCATGGAGAGGCAGACGGAGCAGCCGGCCCCCTTAAGTGCTCGTATCCGCATTCCTGCAACACTTACATGTAGATATTATTTTAATTGCAAAAACACACTAACCAGCACATAAAATAATTAAAAGTGCTTTGTAAATTGTGACATCCCAATACTGCCCAGTGAAAACTGATTATTTAAATATTGAGTCTAATTGTCACTGTAATTCCCATTCAATAGACGGCCAGACAGTTTTCAAATGAATGAAAACGTTTTATAAAATCAATTCATTATGTGAGAGCCACACATCACTAAGTTGCTGTTACACTATCATCATCTATCTGGAGAAAGCCCAGGCTGAGAAGTGCGTTCCTTCCACACCTCACGATAACATGTTTTCAATACGTGCACATTGCACTTGCCCAGAGGGACCTGGGGACTCTTTCCAACCTGGGAGCAGATGGCAGAATGGCCAAGGAAGGGCTGTGAATTTTCAAGTTTCTGTCAGATGAGCAAAAGGAAATGGAAATTTCCTATAAATATTTACCTTTCCACAGCAGCAGGAATAACAAGGCCTCAAATATTGTTTGAGGCCAGTGAAACTGAAAACGTGGGGACCCCTCGCTCGAAGGATGAAGCATTTCAGGTCAGTGACAGCAACGCATTAACCCAGGTGTGGGTCCTTCTAGTGCGGGGCCCTGTACACTGCAGGAGGAATCAGTTGACCAGCTACGAAGGCGGGCCCAGCAAAGCTGGAATGGCCCCACAGGGCTGCTGAGAATCTGCCCGAGGGTACCACAGATGCCCTCATTCCATCAGGGCCCAAGGTACTGGGTTTTGGCGTGTTGGACTAAACACCAATGAAACTGTACAATCTTGTGCTTATGCCTGTGTGTGTGTGTGTGTGTGTGTGTAGATTTGTGTGTGCAGGCCAGTGTGTATGTGACTATATGTGAGTGTGTTCATATGTGTGTGTGTGTGCACCTGCATGTGTGTGTGAACGTATGCATGTATGCATGCATGCCTGTGTGTGCTTTTGTGTGTGTTCATGTGTGTGTGTGTGTGCACCTGCGTGTGTGTGTGTGTGAATGTACGTATGTATGTGTGCATGCCTATGTGTGCCTTTGTGTATGTGGGTGTGTTCACATGTCTGTGTGAGTGTGCACCTGCATGTGTGTGAATGTATGCACTTATGCGTGCATGCCTGTGTGTGCTTTTGTGTATGTGAGTGCGTTCACGTGTCTGTGTGAGTGTGCACCTGCGTGTGTGTGGCTGTGTGTGTTTGCATACCTGTGTGTGTGCCTTTGTGTATGTGAGTGTGTTCATGTGTGTGTGAGTGTGCACCTGCGTGTGTGTGAATGTATGCATGTATGCGTGCATGCCTGTGTGTGCTTTTGTGTATGTGAGTGCGTTCACGCGTCTGTGTGAGTGTGCACCTGCGTGTGTGTGGCTGTGTGTGTGCATACCTGTGTGTGCGCCTTTGTGTATGTGCGTGTATGTAAGTGCATTCATGTGTGTGTGAGTGTGCACATGCTTGTGTGTGTGTCTTTCTGGATGCCTGAGTGTGCCGTGTGTGCATGTGTGTTGGGGAGCACTTGGGATGAGGGTGTGCACTTCTGGAATGACTTGTCAGTGGCCCTGCTGGGTCCCGTCTTGACCCCACCTCACCCGGCCTTGCTTCCAGGTGGGGCCCTGCTGCTTGCTGAGCTCCTTCAGCCCCGGCCAGTCCTTCACAGGTGGAGGAAGCACCCGCTCTCCAGGCCTGGTTCCACGGCTTCCATCCCTGTGACACCTGAGGCAGACCCTCGCCCCAGCCAGGCCGACCTCAGCGGGGGCTCCAGCCTGCACCCAGGCTGGGAAGGCCTGTGAGCTGCTGGGCTGTGCTGGTGGCGTAAGGGACCCAGCCGTTCCTCCCGAGGTGCCTGCCCTGCCCTTCCCCGGGGAGAAGCGTCCCTCCTGCTGGAGGAGCCCCGGGGCTGTATGGCTGTTCCGAATGCTCGCGGACGGGGTCTGTCTCCTTTCTGTGGCCTCCCACCGACCCTGCTGTGCCTCCCTGTTCTGGGAAAGCCGGTACCTTGTTTGAAAAAACGGATTTTAACAACATATTTCTCACAGCCTGCTTCCCAGAGATCTCGCCAGGATTTCTGGTCACTCCTCGGGTTCAGAGAGCCTCACAACAACGCCGGGAGTGGGTTTGGGAGCAGATTTGGGAGTGGATTTGGGAGCCCCTCTGCCCGCTGGGGAGGAATGCCTCACCTCGGGGCTGGGTGCCCACCACCACAGGCCGGCTGAATTCGCCCACATGCGCCCCTCTGGTCCCGTGGTGACACGGAGCTTCGGGGAAAAGTCAGCAGACAGGAACAGGAAGCAAGGATCCTGCCCCATCTGGGACACACAGCGTGGGGACCTGGGAAGCGTCACCCACCTGGCTGAGCCTGGGTTTCTCCGTCTATGTGAAGGTGTCAACGAGGGCTCTCACCCAGGCCCCTCCTGAGAACGCAGCCAGAGACTCCTCTCATCCCATCATCGTGAACCCGAGACCACACCTGTGAAGGGGGCCCCAGCCCAACACCGAAGGACTCCAGAACCCCCAGAGAGCAGAGACTTCACCAGAAGCTCCTTTCTTTAAAAAAAAAAAAAAAATCCCTTTTAAAACATTTTCAGCCACGTGATCAAAAGTAAAATTTGCCCATCTAATTTATTAAACTTCCACCCAAACTTAGACATCAAATGTTTTATTAATATTTTCTATCATCCCTACAAGTTAAACCAGCCATGAAAATTACCTTCAACAGAAAAAAAAAAAATGTCGAAAATGTATTCATTTATAGGAGCCACACAGCGGCCCTCCTTTGGCAATTTAATCAGAAATGACTGAGGTGTGCCCGAATACGTTTTCTCTGATACAAATATTAAAATATTTAATTAATGTCAATCAGGCCCAGAAGAAAGAACTGTTCACAGCAGCCATTTACCCAGAGCAGCTGCCAGGCCGAGCCTCAGGCCCAGGCTCAGTGCCCCCTCCCCGGAGCCCCCAGGCAGAAAAGGAGGAACCACCCTGAGGCCACCTGCAGGTCCCTGGCAGCCCAGAGCGTGCCCGGATGTGATGTGTCCTCTGTGGGTGACAGAGCTAAGGAGGTACCTGGGCACACCGTCCATACCCCCTCCCTTCCATCCTTCCTCTCTCTATTTCCCTCTCTCCCTTCCTAATTCCTTCCTTCCTAATTCCCTCCCTCTCTCCCTCCCTCCCTCCCTCCCTCCTTCCCTCCCTCCCTCCCTCCCTCCCTCCCTCCCTCCCTTCCTTCCTTCCTTCCTTCCTTCCTTCCTTCCTTCCTTCCTTCCTCTTTTTAAATTCTTGTTGACTTTTCTTCCAGGAGACCTCATGTTGTAGACTCTGGGAACCCAAATACTAAGGGTGTGGATATTTTCAACAAAAATAAAAATGCTCTCCCGGGGCTGAATTGAGCTTCGTGGGTTGCTATGACCCAAACACCCCTGCGTCTGTGAGCTCATGCTGTGGGAGCCGCTGCCTGCGGGCTCCAAGTGACAGGTGTGTGTGCCCAGGAGGGCCTCTGACTGGCTCACAGGTGTCTCCAGGCAGGGTGCTGGGGGTGGGGGGTGGGGGTGCCCAACACGAAGTGCATGTGGGTGCCACAGCCCATCTGGTCCTCAGAGCGAGGCCGGCGCCGGGATGTGTGCAGTCGTCTGCGTGAAAAAGGCAAGACACAAGCAGGGGCTTCTGGAAACTGTGACACCCCTGCCCGGGCCTGTGGGCGGCCCTGCACGGATGCTGTTAGTGTGAAGTTGTCCTTGGTGTGCAGTGAGGCCGGGGGCTGTCCACAGAGTCAGCTCTCCAGGCCTCTGCTCCTCCATCCAGGACACCAGGGCCAGGCCTGCAGCCACAGCGGGTCTGGGAGGTTCTGAGGAGGCCGCTGAAGGGGGGCCTCTGACGCCCTGGGCTGAGTTTAATGTGCATGGAATTTGGCACGGTCTCCAGGCGTGGGGACCGGTGGGGGCCTGTCTACTTCTCCTGCAAAGCTGGGCCCTCGAGGACCCTGGATCTCCGTCTCCAGAAGCACCCAGAAGCTTCTCCCACAGGGCACCTGGGTGACAAGGCAGGTGGGAGGGACACGACATTTGTACAGGACTTTGAGGGAGGAATTATTTTCTTCTGGAGTAATTCCCGTTATGTTCCCGTCTCTCAGCCTTCTGCTTGGTATATGACCTGATGTCTTCTCCGCCTGAAATGCAATAAAAAGGCAGTTTCCCACAAGTCCTGTCATTTCGTGATTGCCGTCATGGAGGAATGGCAGCCTCCGTGCCGGGGCTAATCCTCAGTGGAAATAAAGCATGGGCTCCTTGGCACCCTTCAGCCGTTGGAGTAGCCCCTGGGAACTGAGGAACAGGCAGATCGGCACCTGCCTCGCCCCTCCCCAAGCAGCCGATACCCCCACCCAGGCGTCACCCCAGAGACCAGGCTCGGACAGACTCCTCATGCAGCTGATATCTCCACCCCGGGCGTCACCCTAGAGAGCAGGCTCAGACAGACTTGGAATTATCTCTCGCTCACATTAACAAATGCCCAGAGGTGGAGCACGTGGGTGACAGTACACGCTCCTCCACTTCCCATGAAGCCTCCTAGAAATTAAACTCACAGAGGTGGGGAGGAAGCTCTCGCTGATGGCTGTGGGCGGGAAGAGGGGAAGGTCAGAGGATGCTGAAACCCAGCCTACGTTGGGGTCGCAGCTACCCACAACCCAGAGTGGGCTGGATCCACACAAAACTCCCAACAGCCTGGGGGCTCCTGGGTGCCAGGTGTGGTGCCCACTGCCTTTAACACAGGTGGCCTCCACCCCTTTTACAGGCCAGAAAACTAAGGCTCAGTGAGGTCACGTGCCTCACCAGGTCCCACCGAGATCTAGCTTTAAACCTGACTCAGACTCAGCCTTGTCCAGCCCCAGTAACCTATGAGTTCACCACCACTCAACATATTCGTCACTGGACTCAGGGCCCCCGTGGCCTGGCCAACCTCCTGGCCTTCCTGGCACACCACAGAGCCTCAGGAGCCTAGCCTCGCTGGGCCTTCTGCCCACCCCTCCACCCCCACGTCACCAGGTCCCCAGCTTCCCAAGCGCCTCCTCACTCACTGCCTGTGCGAGCCTCCAGGACTCCAGGAAATTCCACAAACTGGGGACCTAAAGCAACAGAGATGCCTGCTGCCACAGTTCCAAAGGCCAGGAGCCTGACACGGAGGTGTCCCAGGGCCACGCCCCATCCCCAGGTCTGGGGGAGGACCCTTCCTGCCTCTTCCAGCCTCTGGTGGCCCCAGGAGTCTCTGGGCTGCCCAACTCCACCCTCTGCTCTGGTGTGGCAATTTCCGTTTTTTTTTTTTTTTTTTTGAGACAGAATCTCGCTGCTGCTCTGGGCACATTGCTTATGGGGGGCCCTGCTCTTCAAGGAACACATCTCTGCAGCCGCTTGAATAAAGTTGTCTAACACCACCAGCTTGCTCTGGAATTCTTTTCTGGGTGAAGCCAAGAACCCTCCCTGACTAAACCCCAATTTGGGGGCTCATCTGCCCTGCATCAAGGTAGTCAACGAACGCACACATGCGCTGATATGGCTCAGCATTGATCTGCACCAGTGAGTGTGAGTCCTGGGGACCACCTCACCAGGCCAGCATCCGGGTGGCGGGGGCTGCGGCCCTGCGAGGCATCGTCCGAGTGGACAGAGGGAAGCAGCACTCCCTGCGTGGTCCCTCTAGGTGCGTGTGAATCTGCAGTTACCTCAATAAAGCCCCCAGTTCGGAAACACCAGAAACACGCCCCTGGCGTCGCTTTTGGGGCCCAGCATGACACGCCAGGTGCTCAGGCCACGCCCCACGAGGTGGCGGCCAGCATTAGGCATGGGGGCCCTGGGACCTGCTGCACTCAGGCAGCCACTGCCTTTGCCTCCTGGGCTACGGTCATCAGGGTTAACAAATATGAACAGAGGGTCCCCAGGTGAATGTGGGCTTCAGATGAACAAGGGACAGGTTTCTAGACAAGTATAGCCCAGCCAATAATTGCAATGCCTGGGACATACTTACGCCGACAACGATGGGTTGTTTATCTGAAATTCCAGGGTTCTATATTTTATTTGGGGATCCTTCTCTTGTTTCCTGGGGCACATGTTCCAGTTGGAGATCTGGACAATAGCAAATCAATGAGCAAATAAACACAATTGCAAGCAGTGGGGATTCTGCAGGAAGGACTTCACCTGGGCAATGAGAGAGAGAGAGAGAGAGAGAGACAGAGAGAGAGAGACAGAGAGAGAGAGAGCGAATGTGTGCATGCATCCGAGCTTGTGTGTGTGGTGTGTATATGAGTGGAGGGGGGAGCGCAGGCCGCCTGCACCTGTCTGCTGGGCAGCACCAGGGCAGACCGCTTTCCTCCGTTCCCAGTGTCACCTGCAGATGCTGGACAGGCCCGGCTCAGCAGATGTTCCGTGAATGAATAAAGTGGTGATTAAAGAGCCTTTTGGACCGGCCGTGGTTCCAGCAGAAGCCACCCTGATGAGCTGGGCTCTGCCAGGCTGGAGGACGCCAAGGTGACAACCACATCAGGGGAGACAGCTACAGCAGTGGGAGCTGCAAAGAGAGGGGCTGGTGACCGCCGGGTGCCCTGAGCCCCAGCACCCCAGGCTGGTCTGCTCTCGGGCACCCCAGCCTCACTCTGCAGCACCTCATGCAGCCAGCCTCATTCTGCAGCACCTTCATCCCCAGCCTCACTCTGCAGCACCTTCATGCAGAGATGCCCAGTGCCCAGTGGACTTGGCCACCTTAGTAAAGACGGCAGCTCTGCTGCGTCCAGGTCCAGCCCAGGGTCCTGATAGGGGCTTCCAAGGGAAATGCTAATGGCCCCATCCCACCAAATAGCACTTTCCACGCTGCACTCCACACTGAAAATCGCACTGCTGGAGATGGACCTGGGAGCAGCCTGCTCTGTCCTGGGGCTACGGCCGTGTCCTGCGCAGCAGCCCACACTGGATGCAGGAGCTGGAGCGGTTGTGCCAGTGTGGACACTTTCACGATGGCTGCAGAGAAGACCAGGGTAGGACACTGGCTGCTGCTCCATCCTCATGGTGGGACAGGGGCTGGGCTTCCAGGGAGCACAGCTGCTGGCTGGGGTCCTGTGAGCGCTGTCTCCCTGCGGCATGTACAGAATTAAGGCTGGCCACCCTGGGGGCTTCGGCCCGGCATTTGGACTCCGACCCCTTCCCGGCTCAGCTCCTGCCCCCCGGATCTGCCTGAGTTCCAACCCCAGCAGTCTCTCATGTTCCCTCTCTTCAAGTTCTACATAGAACTTGAAAGTTGAAAGTTGCACATCAACTTTCCCATGTGAAACCTGCCCCTCCAAGCCCCTGCTCTCTGCTGAGTTTTAGGCCAGTCTTGGGCACCAAATGATTTGCTCTGTGGGTACAGCCGGGGACTTCTGAATTGTCCTTATTCTCGTCAGCACCTCCTGCGTGCCAGCCGCCTCCACATTTGTATCGGATTCTCTCGGCCACCTGGTAGGGTTGCTGTCACCCCATCCCCAATTTTCAGAGGGCGAAACTGAGGAGCAGTCACTGTAAGTGGCTTACCAGGGTCTCAGCTGACAAGCAAGAAAAGCAAAACTCTATATGCAGTGCTCTCTTCCCGCCCTCCAGACGGCAGATGGGGCCCGAAGCCTCACACCGGCAGCAATTCTGCCCCCGACTGAAAACGCACCCCAGGGGAGGGGCGGGCCAGCCCTCCTGACAACCGGCTGACAGGAGGGGAAGACCTGTGGTTAGCACCCTGGGGGTGCCGCGCAGGGAGGCTCCGAGCAAGCCCACGTCCCAGGCTGCACCTTATCCAGGCCAGACGTGATGCAGCCCAAGGAGGCCCCTTCACAGCAGCATGGTGGTCACAGAGGGCTGTGCTGGGCCCACCCTGGGGGAGTCCGGGGCCTGGGCAGAGGCACAGGGGCTCTCTTTGCACAGACAGGTGGGGTCGAGGGTGTGGAGGCCTTGGTGCCAGACCCAGGAGTGTGACATCATAGGAGCCTCTGCTGGGGCAGACCCTGGAGTGGACGGAGTGATGATGGGGATGGCAGCGTGTGATGGTCACTGAGGGGCAGCACTGATGGTCACCGAGGGTCAGCCTGGCCGTGGGGACAGCAGTGTGTGGTGGTCACCGAGGGGCAGCCTGGCCGTGGGGACAGCAGTGTGTGATGGTTACCGAGGGGCAGCCTGGCCGTGGGGACAGCAGTGCGTGATGGTCACCGAGGGGCAGCACTGATGGTCACCAAGGGTCAGCCTGGCCGTGGGGACAGCAGTGTGTGATGGTCATCAAGGGGCACCAGTGATGGTCACCAAGGGCCAGCCTGGCCGTGAGGACCAGGAGGGGAGAGTTCACTGCCACTGTTCGTGCAGGTGCCCAGCACCTCTGCCCTCAGGGTGGAGAGGAAAAGCGAGAAGTCTATGGCACAGGTGCCACGGGGCAGAGGGGATTTGAGATGGGAACCAGACGTGACCTGGCCACGCCGCCCCTGCCACAGGCTCACGTGCTCACTTTCCAAAATGACACGTTCCTTAACCTGCTGGGCCTGGCTCTCTTCGCCTCTCCTCCTGCTCTGCTGAGCAAATTCCAACCTCTCATATGGGTGTGACCCCCTGTTGAAACACTGCTGTGTCCATGGAGCACATGATTATTTTAATTAAGAACACGTCGTGGAATGAGGCCGCTGAGGCCCACACACTGTGCCTCCCAGCACTCACCTCCCCTGCCCCCAAGCAGGTGGGTCTCCCAGTGGCACTGCCCAACCCCCTGCCCTGTCACACACAGAGCACATGAGGGAGGGCATGCCTCACGCCCTGCCAGGAGCCCGCCTCAGTTTCCCCCCTCTCATTTGCAGGGCTGCCCGTGTGCAGCCAGCCTGAGCCCCAGCACTCAGCTCCAGATTGGAGCCTGCAGCAGCTGCCATCCATCATGCTTGGACTGCGGCCCGTGGGCTGGTGATGGCCGTCCACTCTCGGGGCCCAGCCCGGCTGGAGACCCAGGGAGAGCAGTGATTGATTAACAAGCACACGCCGAATTACTCTCTGTAATGGTGATGAATATGGCTTGGACCTCGCTGGCATTCACGGTTGTTT
The DNA here is from genome assembly GCF_000001405.40 of Homo sapiens. Classification (NCBI taxonomy): domain Eukaryota; kingdom Metazoa; phylum Chordata; class Mammalia; order Primates; family Hominidae; genus Homo; species Homo sapiens. The sequence goes on along the minus strand of NC_000022.11, from coordinate 49,088,251 downwards.
ATCCATTTTTAGATCCAGGGAACAGCAATCAAGCTCTTCTGCTGGCTGCTGGCCCCTGCGCCAGCCCTAGGGTTGGGGGCGATGCCGGCTCCCTTTCCAGGGCTCCCATCTGTCTTTGGGAAGCAGAGGAGGGCAGGGCAGTGCTCTGTTTCTTCCTGGAAAGAAATCCTTCCAGCGCAAGCTGCCCAATGTCAAATGGGTCCATGTGGAGGATTCTGCGGTCACACACACAAGCCTGCTGCAGGGAGAACCAGCCGCCCCGGGCCCCGCGTGAGGGTGAGCTCGCTGTGCCCACCGACCTGGCCCTCCTGGGATGGGCGCTGCAAGGCCCCTTTGCACTGTCCTGGCGGTCCTCCAGGATGAGATGATGTCCCCATGCTGGCCTGGGCCATCCCCTCTGAACCTTCAGGCTTCCCAGGCTCATAGCAACAGGCTCCTCGTGGCATCATGGATAGAGCATAAGCAGATATGACCACACTGAGGCAGAGCCTGGGGCTCCTTACCCAGGGTGAGTCTGGCTCTAAGGTCCAGGAGGGTCTCCCCGGCTAGGTAGGTGTGTGACCTGAGATTCAGGGGACTTTGCCTCTGCCCCCCTCACCTCAGTGTATGTGGATTCTTGCACCTACTCAGAAATGAGTCCCCAGCCCTGAAGCTCTGTGCTGGAAACTAGTGTAATCCAGGTCATGGAACAGAGCGAAGTAAATGCTTCATGGGGGCCTGGAATACGGCCAGGGGTTGTGGAAGTAAATAGGATTTTCAGACACTAGGAACAAGATACGCAGGCCTGGAGTGGAAATGATTAGTGAAGGGGAAGCAATGAGAGGGCCGTGTCCTCATAAGACAAGCACGCAGGCAGCCAGCCCTGATCCAAGACTGAGGGCCAGGCGTGTGTGTGTGCATGTGCGTGTGTGTGCATGTGTGTGGACGCCTGCCTGTGTGTGTGTGCATCTGTGAGCGTTTGGTCACATGTGTGCATGTGTGCATTGTGTGCATGTGTGAGCGTGTGCTCTTGTGTGTATGTGCATGTGCTGGTGTGTGTGTGTGTGCCTGTGTGGTTTGTGGGGTGGGGGGACAATGGTGTCTGGCCTGAGAGTAGACTCACCATTGCTGAGGACCTAGGGATGGCAAAAAACATCACAAACCGTAGCAAAGACACTCATCTTCAGTCACCATTGAGGAGAAATCTTCCCCTCTCCCCAGACTGACGAAGGCATCAGGCTTACCAGGCAGCCCTCGAGTGGGGTGCGTCAGGCTTACCACAAAGCCCTGGAGTGGGGTGGGAAGCCGGTCCTCCCAGTGTGAGGACAGTGCACTGTGTTGGCCTTTCCTGACTGACACAGCAGTCTCCTGACTGGCTCACACATGTGTGGTTCCACACAGCACCGGCCTCTCCCCGACGGCCTCCTGGGGCTGGAGCATCCTCACGGGAACAGCCACAAACATCTCCAGCTCCCATTTCTGCCCCGGAACTGCCCTGGACAGGCCCAAGTCCACTTCCCGGTGTGAGCCCTTTCTGTGGTCAGCAGCCCAGAGATCAGGCCCCACATCCCGCCCCCACTTCCTCACCCAGACTCTCTGGTCCAGGGGTGCAGGGGTGCACAGCTCCTAGAACCTCTGCCTAATATCTAAGCTTGCTCTGTCCTGGACGCCTCAGGGAGGTCCTGTGGTATCCAGGGAATCAGCACTCTCTAGAGGTGTGATCGTAAAAGAACGTTAAAACCACAGGACTCCCGAGATGAGAAAACATCCGAGAGGGCACCTGGACGCTCTGGTTTCAAAGGTGGCCAGGGTCCTGGGCGGGGCCTTTGAAAGGACAGGTGGCCCTTCTCCGTATTAGTCCCTTCTCACATTGCTATAAAGAACTGCCTTTCTTTAGTTGAGACTGCGTAGTTTATAAAGAAAAGAGGTTTAATTGGCTCAAAGGTTCACAGGCTTTGCAGGAGGCGTGGCTGGGGAGGCCTCAGGAAACTTACAATCATGACGCAGGTGAAGGGGGAGTGGGCAAGGCCCTCACACGGTCGAGCGGGAGAGAGACAGAGAAAGGAGGGGAAGCACTACACAATTTTAAACCACCAGATCTCACGAGAACGCACTCCCTATCATGAGAACAGCGAGGGGAAAATCCTTCCCCATGATCCCATCACTTCCCACCAGGTCCCTCCCTTCACGCTGGGAATTACAATTTGTCATGAGATTCGGCTGGGGACACAGACCAGACCCTGTCTCCCTCGAACCCAGCACAGTCACACTTTCTGTGCACAGTGTTAGAGTTCTGCTTAAGATCCCATTTACAGAAAGTGGCTGGCTTTTACTTCCTATGGAATTGTGACAGGCAGGATATAGCTCAGGTATAGAAGACGAGCATCCATGAATCTGTGAATGTACCACACGCCATGAAAGTGTTCACTTTAAAGTGGTTCACTTTGTGTTATGTGGATTTCACCCCTTTTAAAAAAAAAGAAAGAAAGAAAGAACAGCATTCAAGCTGGAGCCCAGCTCCCTGCGTTACAGCCCCAGGCCTTGTGCTGGAGGCATGAGCTCGATGCCTGGGGAGGTGTTTAGGGTATTTCTTCACCTAGGTCCTCCAGGGGACCATGGGGTTCATTCAGAGGTGAGCAGAGTGAAGACAGGATGCAGAAACGAGGGCTTGGGACGCAGAAGCGGCTCGTGGGCCCCTGTGGACTGTTATGCTCAGGACTATCGTTCATCTCGTTGAAGCTCTGTTTTACAGGTAGGGAAACTGAGTCACAGGACCAGACACACTCACCCACTCTCAGGGTTTAACCTGGACCTTGGACATTGCAGGGTGGGTTCAACCACCTCCTCCTATGTCTCTTTGCTGCCAGCTGCACCTGAGACCTGTATAGCCTCAAGATGCTCCCCTGAGCAGAGGGATGCCCAGCAGAAGCAGGGAGGCTGAGGGTCTGGTCTCCAGCAAGTGGCAGTTGGGGGACATTGTGGGGCCTCTCCATGTGTCTGTTGAATGAGGTGACAGGTTGAATGAGGTGACAAGTGTTTTGCTTGGCAGGGTTACCTATGAGGCATAGCCTTTAAAAAATAAAGGAGATGTGAATAATTATTGTGCTTGCTGTTGAATGTCCCTTGCTCTCCAGAGCAGGGATCCCCACCGAGGCACACTGTGTCCTCAGTAAGACCCTCTTTCTCAGCCCATGTCTAGGTCATAAAAGGATGAGGCACTGAAGTCCTCGTCCAACTGGTTGTAAATTATTCCACTTCTTCCAAAGATGTATTTCCTTCTGAGAACATTATCTTCAAGGAGGAATAAGGAACACTACTTATCTTAAAGCCATACAGGAAAACATGATATATGAAAATCTGGATCAACAAAGCAGATACATGTAGGGGACATTATTCAACTTGTAAAGAAGCAAGAAAATCTGTATCTTCAAGAGGGCACTCATAGATTTCCTTCAAAGGCAGCTGTCCTGTGGGTGCAAATATTTATTTAAAATTTATATATTCCTTGAAGATGAAGCTGTGGTGGGGGAGTGCGGGGTGTGGTGGTGATACTGGATACTGATCCAGTATCAGAAAATAATGGACCTATCAATAGAAGGATAGAAATTGCTTTGCATAAAACTTTTCAATGTGTCTCTAGCACTTGAAGAAAGGCAGAGCTGGCATGACTGAAGCCATGCCGTTGGTGCAGACAGGCACCACCAAGGAGGACCCAGTAGGAGCAGAGAGCCACTACCAAGGATGACTCCGCAGGTGCAGAGCGCCACCATGAAGGATGACTCAGCAGGTGCAGAGAGCCACCGCCAAGGATGACTCAGCAGGTGCAGAGAGCCACCACCAAGGAGGGCCCAGCAGGTGTGAGCAGCACGGAACCAGCTGTCTATACTGCGGAGAGGAGGCAAGCCCGATAGCCCCAGGACAGGCCTGGAGGGAAGAATTCGGCTAGGGAGAGCCTGGCTCTGGAATTCTCATTTGGTTTCCATGTCCATACAAAGCTCTTTGTAAATGGTCTTCCAGGAGAGCTGGGCTCTGCATACTGAGTCCAGAAAGAGACCCTGCCTGGGGGATGGAGAAGAGGCTGCCCCTGTGGGGGGCCGCCTTTGCCCCCGCTCAGTTCAGAGGTTCCTGGGCCGCCCAGCTGCCTGCTCTCTGAGCTGCTAAGGGGTATGCTAAGGATGGGTCGAGGCCTTCCAGCAAATCAGAGAGGGAGAGGTCTTGGTCTTTGTAACCCTCAGGGTCTGAGATGTCATCAGGTGATAAAGGGCAGGAAGTCCTCCCAGAGTGTGGAGGAAATCCAGTGACAGGCATTGTTCCTTCCTTCATTCATTCGCTCAGCTATTTATTAAACAACCCAACAGCAATGTCAGGAGAGGGGAGAGCACAAAGTGAGATGGCACGTGCAGCTGCTGGTCCTTCCCTCAGAGCCCCCAGCACCTCCTGCATCCAGGGAAGGCGGTGTGATGCCTGGGATCCCCGGTCCATCTGAAGGATTACCTGCTTCTCTCTCCATCGGCACCTATGGCATCTTTATCACGACACCCCCAAATCCACACCGAGGGTCCTCTCCCGATCATCCAGGGGACTCCTCACAGTCCTGGAGCACTGCCACTGACTCCTCTTCTCCACACTCTCTCCTCTGTCTTGGGATCTGCTCATTGGAACCTTGGCCTTTTCCAAAGCCGGTCTCAGGTCATCCTTCACATTCCCACACTGCACGAGACTTGCTTGATAGGATCTTTCATCTTCACACACACACAACACACACACACACACAGGCCGATGCACACTCCCTTCCTCTTCAATTAACTGATCAGGACAACTCTCTGCTGGGCTCTGCCATAGGCTCTTTAGGACTCAGGAATGTCATTAGGGTTATCCTTCCATCACAAGAAATCTCTCCCTCTCTTTATTTTCAACATGAGCCTGGAAATCCATAGCAAGAATGTATAATAATTTAGCGTCTTCTTGCTGGTAGGCATTAAGATTTGCGTCCGTCCGCGGTGACTCACACCTGTAATCCCAGCACTTTGGGAGGCCGAGGTGGGCGGATCATGAGGTCAGGAGATCGAGACCATCCTGGCTAACACAGTGAAACCCTGTCTCTACTAAAAATACAAAAAATTAGCCAGGCGTGGTGGTGGGCGCCTATAGTCCCAGCTACTCGGGAGACTGAGGCAGGAGAATGGTGTGAACCCGGGAGGTGGAGCTTGCAGTGAGCCGAGATCACGCCACTGCACTCCAGCCTGGGCGACAGAGCGAGACTCCATCTCAAAAAAAAAAAAAAAAAAAAAAAAAAAAAAAAAAGATTTGCGTCCTAAGCATCATCGTGCTGAGCGTTGCTTCCTGGACATTTCTATGCACCTGCACAGGTAGCTTGGTGCGGCGGGTTTGCAGCCCCCGTTCTGTCTCTTCATTTCCATTTCTCAAAGTAGAATCGCTCAGCTCATGTGCTGTCACTTTTTATATCAACAAGCAATTGTTTCCAAAATGACTTCACCAATCTAGCCTCATACCAAATGTCTCCTGGTGCTCCTGTTCCCCTGGAAACTCCCCTGAAATTAAATTATCCCTGGTTAGAAATGACTGCCAATGTGCGACGGCGTAACGACAGAGCCTTGTTGCATTTTGAGCTGCCGATTCTCCGGAAGACGCGTATCCTTCAGATGTTCACGGCCATGTGTGTGCAGCTTCTTCTGTAAATCAGCCGTGCACATTGCCTATTTGTCTCTCTTCTCTCATTGATTTATAGGCGTTCTTTATTTATTCTGAGTGTTAATCTCGTTCCTGTTTTATATGCTGCAATATTTTCTCCTGCATGTAACTGTCATCTGCTTCGTTTACGGTGGCTTTTTTTAATAACACTGTTGAAACTTTTTACATAACTGAATGTTGCTTGTGACATCCGGGTTTAAAGTTTTGATTTAGAAAACCTAACGCACTCCACACTTATGAGAGAGTCTCCTCAACATCTTCCAATGACTGTTCGCTTTGTTCATGTTCCTTTTAGAGCGTTCATGTCTCTGAGCTCCGTTTGGGTGATGTCTGACTTTATCTCACGCAGCCTCGGGTGGGAGGTAGGGAGGGTCTTCCTCCTGTATGGATGAGGAGACAGTGGCTCACAAAACCCTTTTTTTTTGGCTGGGCGCGGTGGCTCATGCCTATAATCTCAGCACTTTGGGAGGCCGAGGCGCAGGGATCACCTGGGGTCAGGAGTTCAAGATCATCCTGGCCAACATACAGTGAAACCTCATCTCTACTAAAAAATGCAAAATTTAGCTGGGCGTGGTGGTGTGTGCCTGTAGTGCCAGCTACTTGGGAAACTGAGGGAGGAGAATTACTTGAATCTGGGAGGTGGAGGTTTCAGTGAGCCGAGATCCCACCATTGTACTCCAGCCTGGACGACAGAGTAAGACTCCGTCTCTCAAAAACAAAACAAAACAGAACAAACCCCCCTTTTTTCTTATTTTCCCAAACCATTTAGATGGACTCATCAGAAGCAAATGGAAAGCCTAGAGCAGAGAAGTCTGTGTCACTGACTTCTGCAAACTGAGGTGGGGCTGAGGGCATGGGGGCTGCACCTCCCGGATCCCCTGAGCACAGGGACATCCATCCACTGTAGCCCTGGCTCCGGAAGGGGACCTCTCACTGGTCCAGAGCATTGAGGTCACCCTGCCCCCCACACAGTCCCAGCCCCTGAGACCGGCTCTGGCTCTCCCCTTCTTTGTGTGGCCTGAGATGGTCTCAGCAGAGCTGCTGTCCCACCACCATCATCCACACCCGCAGCTCCACGGCTGACGGCCTCGCTGTGTCCAGTTCCTTCACATCCACCCGGGCACCCACCCCTTCATGCGTGGCTGGATCCCGCAACTCTCCTAGGCGTGCTTGGCCAGAGGGAGGTCCTGGTCCCCACTTACAGGGCAGATGGGATGCCTCCAGGGTGTGAGTCCCAGCCCTGCCTGGTCACGGCTCCATCCTTCCTGGCTCTGTCTCCTAGCCAGGGCGGGGGCCACAGCCACAGAGGGCCTGTCTCCAGTGTCCACTGGGGGAGGAGGTAGCAGAGAAAAGCAGGTTCCCCAGGCTGTGCCCTCTCCTCCCTGCCATCCTTTCAGTTCAGGAAGGTGCCAGGGTTCATTCTTGGTGCACAGACTCAACACAGAGGGCCCAGCCCTGGCATGTGGGCACACGGGGCCCAAGGGAGACCCCCTCCTGCAGCATCCCAGCCATAGTGCATCTGTCCATGAACACAGGTTTTGGCTTCAGTTTCCCCTTCTCAGAGAAATACTGAGCAGAGGTGGTCATGTCCGCTGCTGGGGAAATGGAGGCCCGTGGCATGATCAGGCAGTCGAACTGTTCTGCGTCGGTTGTCCAGGCTTTGCTGCCCAAGGACGGAGCACAGGGAGCCACGTGTGGACCTGAGCCAGGCAGTGTCCGGGTGAGTCCCACGGGTAGTTTGGACACTTGGCGATGTTCGGCCACAGCGGACCCTGTTCTTAGACCGCCAGGCTTCCCACTGGAAGACAGAGGCAGTGTTCCTGCAGCTGGGGTGGCCGTGGGTTCCCTTGGCTCTTGGGGAGCAGCAGCCAGGCTGGGCTTAGTAGGTGCCTCCTGAGCACAGTGAGCTGGGGGTTCCAGCTTCTGCCTCTGAGTCTCTTTGACGTCTGCTTGCAGCTTTACACTCAGGGCACTTGGCAGAAGGAAGGATGGAAGGGGGTCTCCCTCATCTCATGGAGCAGGCCACAGGCCCAGGGGGCTGGAGACTCTGAACCCACAAGCACCAACAGGAACCTAACCTGCCATTCTGATGTCCCCTGCTTCAGGGCACACACTCCTGTCCGCAGAGCACACGGCTGAAATGCAAGGGGCTGTGGGATGTGAGGAGGCCTCCCCACAGGCACTAGGCCTGGGCAGGCTTCCTGGGAGGCGACCAGGGATGAGAGCAGCTGGAACTCAGCCCCTCCCTATCTGGGGCCTGGGCGGGCACACAGGGCGGGCACTGCTCAGTGGATCTTCTCATTCCTGGGGGAGCTGCAGGGAGCCCTGCCAGCCCTTCTCCTGCCCGTGAACCTCGGGATGGCCTGGGGCTGGGGAAGGACCATGAATGGAAGGCCCCCTTGCACCATGACCCTTTGCTGGAGGGGAACACTGAGGTCCACAGAGGTCTCTGTGACCAGGGCCAGCCCCTCAGTGATGGCCAGGTCTGCAGCCTGTTATAACCCTGAGCTTCTGGCCTGTCCAGGTTTCTGCCCCCACGTGCTGCAGGTCCGAGGTCTGGGAGGAGCCCTCCATGCATCTGACAGATGTCCCCTCCTCCCCTCCCCAACCCAGCCTCCCGAGAAGCCAGGGAGACCTTGGTTGGAAGCCGGGCCCAGGTGCATGCCGGCGCCACTCAGCCGAGGCGAGGGGCTAATGTGGACAGATTTCAGGGCAAGAAGAGAAACAAATCCATCTGCCTCCTAACCTGGCCATGTCAATCAAAATCTGCAAAAATCACAGAGGGGGGCTTCCTCTTGGAGCCTGCCTAGGGGAGCCTCTGGCCGGCCCCTAATGGTCATGAACCAGCCTCACCGGCCTTCATTACGGCCTGCTTCAGCCCAACCCCTGCCTGGAGGCCCCGCCAGGCAAGTCCCCACCACAGCCTGGCCCACCTCAGCTCAGGGGCGGGGTGGGGGGTGTCTGGGCCACAGCCAAGAAGAACGCTGCCTGGAGGTGAAGCCTGGAGGGGCAGGGACATCCCTGTGTCCCCTGGCAGTGCCAGCATCACCGCACATCTGGGCCTGAGCCCCCATGTAATATCCACCACGCTGGAACCAGAGGTGAGCAGTCCAGGGAAGCCTCGTCCTACAGAGCCCTGAGTGGGACCGTGAGTGCCAAGAGTGAAGCCCGCACATCTGCGGAGGACAGGATGGAAAGAACCCTGGTGCCAACCTCCTGCCCCACCCCATCAGCACTCGCACAGCCGGCTGCCAGGTACAGAGTGGACCGCCCTCCACGCAGCAGCTTTAGGCTGCAGGTTACATTTGTATCCAGGTATGGTGAGGCCGACAGGTCAGGAGATGGCTGTCACTGAAAAGATCACTTATTACTCACAGATCCAGAGAATGAGGCACCCACACCAGGCAGGGCCACGTCGGGAGGCTCCGGGGTGGCCACGGGCAGAGGGAGCTGGGGGAGCTGCGGCAGAACCTTTCCTGTGGCTTCCTGGGAAGAAGCACCAGGCCGGGCAGCAGGCTGAATGGGTTCAGAGCTGGGGAGTTTGAATGATTCCAGCTGGCTCCAGAGCATGGGGGCTGCCCCTAGTTGGTACCTGGCCCTGGTGATGAGGGCAGGGACCTGGTGTAGGCTCTGCTACAGGAGGCAGGTGGACTGTGGGCTCTGGGTTGGGGGGTTTGCATAACAGGAGAGTCCTTTGCCAGCTCTGGGACAGGCTAACCTGGGCTGGAGTGCCCAGTCCCTCCCTGATCAGCAGCCCCCATCCCCCCAGGTCCATGCATCATACACAGAAACAAGGAAACATGGTTAATACCTCACCAGGGGAGGGCCTCTCCTCTGGTCTCCTTCTGCAGCCCTAACGGCGATCACCTCGCTTCCTGGCTAAGGCCAAGGGGGCTGTGTCTCCCCCTCCTGCCACCCAGGCATGGGTCTGAACCTGGCACACAGCTGAGCACATTGTCCTCTGAAATAGATGTAGGGAGGACAGTGCTGGCGGGGGCCGGGCTGCGTACCTCCCCTTCATCCCGTGCATCTGCAGAGGCCGAGCTGCTCAAGTCACAGAGAAGCCCGAGGTCAGGATGCCAAGGCGTGCAGCTGCGGTGGTGACCTCAGAGAGCCTGCTGGCCGGGAAGGCAAGAGAGACGCCTGCTAACATGTGCACCCCTCAGAGAAGACGCCATTCTAGACCCTTCCACAGACAACCGTGGCCTGGAAATCCTAAAGGCACGAACGCTGGCGTCGTCCTCTTTCTGACACCCTCCCCGCTGTGAGGTGGATGTGCGGGTGATGGACGGCAAGGTCCACTCGCCCACTCAGGACCTCCTGAGCAAGGAGACCCCTGATGCCCTCCAGGCCCTGCCCACGCCGCCTGTGATAACAACGGGTTGCTTTTCAGTTGTCCAAAAAAACAAATTTTTTTGCAAATCCCAATCCCAGCAGGCTCTCTCTCATGTGGCCCAGTTAGTGAGTCCTTCCTGTTTATAGAATAAAAACCCCCATTCATGGATGGAATGCCTCTTTGGAGTCTGTGATTTCTGGGTATGGCAATTGCGGTCCCAGCCTTAGGAGGGTGCAGACCTGGGGCCTCCAAACGTGGCTGCCCTGTTCCAGTAAAGTCCAGGCTGGTGCGAGGCTGGGGACTGTGTGTGCTTGTGGGTGCCCCCACCCCGGGGGGCTTGTCCCTGCCGTCTGTCAGGGGCTCGTTCTGAAGCAGACGGAGACTCCCACATGCTGTCTGGTGTCTGCAGGTGACGATGGCGGTGAGCTGGCCCCTCAGGAACACAGCCTGCCCAGAGTGGTGGCCCTGCCTGAGACAGCTGGACCAGCTGCCCCCAGCCCACCCGAGTGACATGGCCTTCCCACCAACCTGCATGCCACCAGGCAGAGACCACCCACCCACGCCCTGTCTTCTGCCTCTTCAGTCACCAACCACAGGCCTGTGGCCATGAAGCAGGCTGCCCTGTGCCGCAGGGAAGGCAGGAGAGAAGAATTGAAGTCCCAGCCTCTCACTGACTCCATGGGGAAGAAGCAGGGCCAAGATCAGAACGTGGTTTGGGGACACAAGTCTGTCTACATGTGGGCAGGGGTTTTCCAGAACCCCTGTCCACAGAAGGTCCAAAGGCCCCGTCTGCTTCGCATGAAAAACACTAGAATCGTCCAATGCCCAAGAAGCAGCAGGAAGGTCTCTGGAAGACCCTGAGGTCACTGCTTTGTCTGGCCACTTCTCTGCAGCCTGGCCTCTTCCTTATGGCCATGAGGGGACAGGGGGGAACCCCCAGCACCGTGGACAGCTGGCAGCCCCCACCCTGCACCCAGCCAGTGGCCTCAGCTCCTGGGGAACCACAGCCAGTCTCTTCCTGGGGAGGCCTCGGTGAGCCAAGGGACCACTCCTCATCTGCACATCCCAGTGTGGGCTCACACGCCAGCCTCGAGCAGCCTAGACCAGAGGGCGCTCACTGTGTAACTTTCTCCAGAGGGGTGTTGATGGAGTTAAAATTGGATTTCTGCTCTGATTGATTATCTAATATGATAGAAAAATATACAGTCTGGGAGCAAATTTAGATTTCAGTGAAAAATTAAACTGTTATACCAACTTGCCCACTGAAGCATTAAATGCATTCTCTATGTAATTATATCAGCAGATCGCAGCGGCGATATGGCTGTCACTCCAGCTGCCTCTCCAGAGGTGCTCAGGACAACAGCCGCAGATGGCCAGCACCACCTCCCAAGGCTTCCGGAAGACAGGGGCCCTAACTGATTTCATTGGCGTCTTTTCCATGGAAAGCCTGCTGTCTTTCTCTGGGCTTGGGAGAAGAGGCCAGCAAATACCCTTCCTCAGAACGAGAACCTCTGGAATCAACTGGCTCCAACATCTACAGGTGGAAATGAAGAAAACCAACGCGGTAGGAATCGTGCGTGGGCTTTCAGGTGCCCAGAGGCATTTGGTGTGTGCTGAGTGATCCGCAAAGCCAGGAGAGAAGCCCTCCTTAAGTGACAGAGCCCAGGGCACCCTCCCCCACAGAGACTCAGAGCCTTAAATTCTTACCATCAGCAGCCTGGAGGCTCCTCGATTTGTCATCTCAGTCATTAGCGGTGCAGTAATTAGGTTTTGGGGTTTTTTCCCAGGCCTGGAATGTAGGATCAATAGCAGAGATGAGTTAACATAATTGGATTCTGGATGGGTCTTTTCCTTCTCCCTTCGTCATCTCTAAGTGAAAGGCTCCTGGTGCCTCCCCCTCTGCCTCCCACGCTTACCATCCCCAGCCACTCTAACCTGGAGCACCTGGCCCCACCTTCCCTCACCACCTCCTGCGGGGCATCACGCCTATTTCCCAGACTGGGTTGGGTTCCGTGTGCTCCTTTGTAAAACTGTGAATACATGGAGAGATGAATGTAAAAAATAACAAGGTATGGCTGGGGATGGGTGAAGACATGAGGGAAGGTGGCTGTCACAGCTGTTCTCAGAGACCCATCTCTGGTTTGACTTGGAAGGCGGCCCCTTCGTGATGCTGCTGCGGCCACAGCTGGGACATAACACCTGCCCACTCCCTGCAGTGACTGGAGCCACTCCTTGTTCCAACCACACAGTGGCTTCTGCTGCCTCTAGCACTACCTGAATGGGCTTTGACATGAAAAGAATTAGGGAGGATTTGAAGAAATAAGACACGCCACAGCTATCTGTGTGCCTCACACATGCACACAGACATGCTCTCACCATCTGAGAGGGCACCTTTTCATGCCAACCAACACCAAGGAGTGGCTAGAACATTTTAACATTGCTGGAAACACACTTGGAGCCCTGGGTTTCACACCTGCCTCTCTGGGAAGGAGCCCCGTTTCTCAGGGGACACAACAGAGAATGTGCTGGATTGTCTTGGAAAGGTGAGAGGCAATTAACCACGAGAAGACAGGTCCTTCTCTTACATCTTTTATTAATCACCTGCTATTGTTTGCTCAACAAATCGCTCTGATTGAGGGTCACAGGGAGTTCAGAATTGCTAGGCAGCTCTCAGAAGTGTGGTTGCCTCCTTCTGACAACTTTCCCCAGGAGAAACTCCTGAGTCTGTAGGAACCTAGGGCTCACGTGGACTCGGTGCCTTTGGACTTGCTCACCTTTGTGAGCAAAATACCAGGATGGGTAAGGCTCACTGGATGCTAGCCTAGCGCCAGAAAGGAGCATAGAGTCAGGGAGAAGCAGCCAGTATGATGCTTGACTCCCGGCCTCCCCACTGGCCCGTGGCTGGACTGGGGCTGAAGCCTGAGACCCTTGACCACAGCCTGGTGTTTTCCCAGGACCCTGATTCTGCTCAGTGGGTTTAGCCAAAGTGTGCCTCAGTCACTGTATTAGGGTTCTTCAGGGAAACTGAACCAATAGGATGTACATATAGAAGGAGATTTTTTTTTTTTGAGATGGAGTCTCACTCTGTCACCCAGGCTAGAGTGCAGTGGTGCAATCTCGGCTCACTGCAAGCTCCGCCTCCCGGGTTCACACCATTCTCCCACCTCAGCCTCCCAAGTAGCTGGGATTACAGGCACCTGCCACCACGCCTGGCTAATTTTTTGTAGTTTTTTTAGTAGCGACAGGGTTGCACCGTGTTAGCCAGGATGGTCTCAATCTCCTAACCTCGTGATCCCCTCGCCTCAGCCTCCCAAAGTGCTGGGATTACAGGTGTGAGCCACTGCACCTGACCAGAAGGAAATTTTTTACAAGGAATTGGCTTATACAATTATGAAGGCTTAGCAGGCTCACCACGTGCTGTCCACAAGCTGAAGACCCAGGAAAGCCCTGGCGTAATTCAGGGTGAGACTGAAAGCTTGAGAACAAGGGGAGCTGGTGGTGTGAGTTCTAGTCTGAGGGCAGGAAGAGACTGATGTCCCAGGTCAAGCAGTCAGGCAGAGGAGCAAAATCTCTCCTCCTATGCTTTGTATTCTATTCAGGCCCCCAAAGTATTAGGCGATGCCTCCCCACACTGGGGACTGCCATTGCTTTACTAAGTCCATCTAATCAAACATTAATCTCATCAGAAACCCGCTCACAGACACACCCAGAAATGATGTTTCACCAGTCATCTGAGCACTCCAGGGCCCAGTCAAGTTGACACATAAAATTAATGGTCACTGCTACCTAGTTGAAAGACAATAATGATGTTGTTGGTGTTGATGGTGATGGTGATGATGGTGGTGGTGACAGTGATAAAGGTGATGGTGATGGTAATGATGACGGTGATTATAGTGATAATGATGGTGATCATGGTGATGATGGTGCTGCTGCTGATGGTGGTAATGATGATGGTGATAGTGATAGTGATCATGGTGATGGTGATGGTGATGATGATGGTGATCACGGTGATGATGGTGATGATCATGGTAAGGATGATGATGGTGATGATAATGGTGATGGTAATGGTAATCATGGTGATGATGGTGGTGGTGATAGTAATCATGGTGACGGTAATGATGATAGTGGTGGTGATGATGATGATGGTGATGATGATGGAGATCATGTTGATGTTGATGTTGATAGTGATAACGGTGATGATGGTGGTGATGATAATGGTGATCACGGTGTTGATGGTGGTGTTGATGGTGATAATGGTGATGGTAATGATGGCAATGGTGATGATGGTGATGGTAATGATATGGTGATAATGGTGATGGTAATGATGGCGATGATAATGGTAATCATGGTGATGATGGTGGTGATTATGGTAGGGATGGTGATGATAATGGTGATGGTGATGGTGAGCATGGTGATGGTGGTGTTAGTAATCACGGTGATGGTAATGACGGTGGTGGTAATGACGATGATGATGGTGATGATGATGGTAATGATAGTATAGCAGTAATAGTACTGAGCCAGCCTTTAATAGCCATAGACAGCTCAATCTTCATCAAGTCCTTCTTACACCACATCGAATCCCTTCCCGTAGCATGCCCCAGGTGGACACATTCTCCCACATAAGAACACAAGGCACAGACTGGGCCCTCTTCCCCTCGGCAGCTCTTCTGAGGTTCACAGTGGTGATCTTCACCCACCTGAAGCTCCCCTGGTCCCCACATCCCTGTGTCCCACTGTCCCCACTAGCCCTGGGTGGCCTGGTCCTGCCACTACATTGGTCGCCCTTCTCAGAGCAAGCTTCACTCCAAGCTCCTTCTCACATTCATTCATTCATTCATTCAGTTGGTCAGAGGAGATCGGGTAGAACAGGTGAGGCCCCAGGGCAGGTGTGGGCAGGCCAGGGCTTAGGCACATATGGCCTCCCTGGCCCAGCTGTGATGGTCCTATCCACGGCAAGACCACTGTGGAGTGACCATGTGGCATGGGTAATGGTTTGGACTTTGAGGCCAGTCTTCGCTCAAGGCTCCCCTAGAGCTGAGCAGCAGCAGAGCCATGACATCCCCATGTTACGGGGCTGGCCGGCTGCTTAGGGCCCTCTGAAGACCCCCAAAAGGTAACAGCTTGCAGAGCTTGAGGCCTCAATGTTCTTCCCCTCTGAACAAAAAGGGATCCATATTGAAGTCTACCCACAAACACACACCTTCCATATGCTCAGGGACACTGCTGAGGAAGCCCAATGCCTGTAAAGCTGACCTGACACTCCAGCAGATCCAGGGCTGTTCGCCCAGCACAGGTGGTAGGTAACTATTTGCCTGCCCTGCTTCACCATAAGGAACCCCCACCCCCGAGCCCACCAAGCCTCCCAGAAATCATGTCAGAAACGCCTTCTTAGGAGCTGCTACACACCCGTAAAGCCAGAATGAACAGATTTCCCATTCAGTTTCCTAGGAGAACCCACATTTTACAGGAGACCCATGGTGTTAGCCCCCAGATAAAATGTCCTCCATGGCTCCCCAGGAAAACGTGTCTATAATTGTCAGTAAAATAAACAGACTGACAATAGTGGGTGGTGGAGACAATGAACGTTCCCAGGGTCTCTGATTTTACTGGTAGAATCATAAACTGGCACAAAGCTTTGGGAAACTCTTAAGCATCATTCCCCAAAGGTGAGCATTCCCTGCCACATGACTGCCAATTGCATTTCTAGGCAAAGTAGACTCTTGAACGTGAACTAGGGGATGTGTACAAGAACCTTCCCCTGTCCTTTTTTTTTTCTTTTTTCTTTCTTTTCTTCTTCTTCTTCTTCTTTTTTTTTTTTTTTTTTTTGAGGTGGAGTCTCACTCTGTCACCCAGGCTGGAATACAGCAGTGTGATCTTGGCTCACAGCAACTTCTGCCTCCCAGATTCCAGCAATTCTCCTGCCTCATCCTCCTGAGTAGCTGAGATTACAGGCACTCACCGCCATGCCCAACTGACTTTTGTATTATTAGTAGAGACGGCATTTCACCATGTTGGCCAGGTTGGTCTCGAATTCCTGACCTCAAGAGATCCACCCGCCGCAGCCTCCCAAAGTGCTGGGATTATAGGCGTCAACCACTGCTCCCAGCCCCCTGTTCTTCATAGTAGCAAAAACAGGATCAACCACTCAGGCACCTGCAAACATTTTCTAAAAAGGATCAGATTGAAAATATTTCTGGTTTTGCAGGTCGTGTTGGCTCTCTCACAACCTCTCAACTCTGCTCTGCAATGCACAAGCAGCCAGAGATAATGCATGCAAGACTGTGCTCCAAGACAACTGTGTTTACAAAGACAGGAGGCAGCCAGGTTTGTCCCTCAAGCTGTCACATGTCGGCCTGCGACGTATGGAAAACAATGGTCAAAACAAATGAAGAGCAGCCATGTGATGAATGTCAGCAATCAAATATTTAGTGAAAAAGTACAATTGCTCACTACATGTTACTCTTTCCGAAAGTTAAAAACTGCACCAATCCAACAGTATAACACATGAATACATATTTAGAAATACACATAAATGGAATAAAAGTACATACGAGGGAAGAATGAACACTGCACTCAGGCAGAGTTTGCCCTTGGGGGAATGGAGAAATCAGGGGGTGGGTTAGACAGGACCATGTTCTTAGACAGATGTCATGATCAAGACCCTAGCAGGGACTTAGGGAAGTGTGTTTATGGGCTCTTCTTAGATTACTGCAGAATGATGGATCCTGTTCTTTGTACTTGAGATGCACCAAAAAGAGAAAGAAAGGCAGGAAAGAAGAAAAGAGGGAGGGAGGGACAGAGGGAGGAAGGAAGGAAAGAAGGAAGGAAGGGAGGTGGGAAGAGTGAAGGAGAGAAGAGGGAGAAAGGGAAGAAAGAAAAAAGCAAAATAAGAGAGCAAGAGAGAAAGAGAGGGAGAAACAAGGAAGAGAGGAAGGAAGAAGAAAGGAAGGAAGGAAAGGGAAGGGAAAGGAGGGAGGGATGAAGGAAGGAATGGAAGGAAGGAAGGGAAGGAAGGAAGGAAGGAACGAAGGAAGGGAAGGAAGGAAGGAAGGAAGGAAGGAAGAAAGGAAGGAAGGAAGGAACGAAGGAACGAAGGAAGGGAAGGAAGGAAGGAAGGAAGGAAGAAAGGAAGGAAGGAAGGAACGAAGGAAGGGAAGGAAGGAAGGAAGGAAGAAAGGAAGGAAGGAACGAAGGAACGAAGGAAGGGAAGGAAGGAAGGAAGGGAAGGAAGGAAAAACTTCGGATAAAATAATACAACAAGACAAAGACTGGCTGGAGCAGGGATAGGACTGCCCTCATCAGCAGGCAGTGTGAGGGTGGCCTCCGTTTATCAGGTTTTCAGCAGACCTTCTGTTTTGCCGTGAATTCCTCTTTGGTCTCTCACTCAGAGCAAGAACAAGAGACAGAAGCTAAAGACCCACAGCCCCAGGGAAGTGGCCTGCAAGCAGGAGTGCTGAGCACAGTCCTCCTGATGGCCATCTGCCCAGGAACAAGACTCCCGGGGCTCTGAGCGAAAGGGCTCTCGCCTGTCACTGTCAAAATGGGCTGCGCAGCTGAAAAGAGCCTGTCTCTTCCTCATTAGGATGTGTTTTTATCAGCTAAGTGCTTTTCAAGGGCTGAAAATGCCCTGAGACTCTTCAAAGGCTGTGGGAGGGGAGCCCGTTTTGCCTTTCTTATTTATCAGCTGTTGGGGTATCAGGGGGCAGGAGGGGGGCAGCTCACAGATTGCTCGAGGTGTCATCTCACTCTGTGGCTCCAGCCTCCTCTCCCCACCACAGTTCCACTCACAAGAAAGAGACCTTAATACAAATGCATTTCTTGGGCCTACGTGTTGAGTCAAAAAACGGCCATAAATGATAATAGTGGTATGTCCTCAGATTAGGAAAACACTTTAGACTTTTCAAAGCCCTGCCATGAACATTGTCTTCTTAATCCGGGCCACAGTCGGGGCAGGGAGAGACAGCACCGTGCTGGAACTGGGTCACATGGACCATGAGAGCAGTGGCAGAATTTCCAGGAATGCTGTGAGCTGATTGCTGAATTTAGCCCATTAAATCACATAAGCTTACAATGAAATAAATTATACTAAAAACAAGGCTAATGGAGTTTATAAAGAACTTCTACAACTCATCATCAACAAAAGCCAAACAACCCAGTAACAAAACGGGCCAAGAACTTGAACAGACATTTCTCCAAAGCAGATCTACAGATAGAGGGTGGGTAAATGCAGGTGGGCATCACATGACCATGTTTCTGCCAACCGTGGACTGAATAGACGGCAGTGGTCCCACAAAATTAGAATACTGGGCCAGGCGCGGTGGCTCACGCCTGCAATCCCAGCACTTTGGGAGGCCGAGGCGGGTGGATCACGAGGTCAGGAGACCGAGACCATCCTGGCTAACATGGTGAAACCCCGTCTGTACTAAAAATACAAAAAATTAGCCGGGCGTGGTGGCGGGCGCCTGTAGTCCCAGCTACTTGGGAGGCTGAGGCAGGAGAACGGCGTAAACCCAGGAAGCGGAGCTTGCAGTGAGCCGAGATCCCACCACTGCACTGCAGCCTGGGCAACAGAGCGAGACTCTGTCTCAAAAAAAAAAAAGAAAAAAAAACAAATTAGGATACTGTTTTCACTGCACCTTTTCCAGGTTTAGATAACAAATCCTTACCCTTGTGTCTGAATTGCCTGCAGCATTCAGTACAGTCCACGCTGCACAGGTGTGTACCCTGGGAGCACCAGGCTGTGCCACATTGCTTAGGTATGGAGTAGGTTGTGCCATGCAGGTTTGTGTAAGTCCAGACAAGGACTGTGATGTTCAGACAAGGAGAAAATCCCTTGAGGACGCATTTGTCACAATGTGTCCCTTTCATTAAGTGACATGACTTACATGACTTTCATGACTATACTGAAAAGATGTTCTGCCTCAGTAGTTGTTATGCAAATCACAGTCTCAAAGAAATACCACTTCGCACCTACCAGGATGATGTTCATCAGCAAAACAGACAATTGCACGCATTGGTGAGGACGGGGAGACATTGGAGCCATCGCGCTTTGCTGGTGAAGATGGAAAACGGCAGCCTCTGCAGAAGACAGGCAGAGTCATCTGTCGACCCGGCCATCCCACTCCTTCCTTGGCACATGTCCAAAAGAATCGAGCCCAGGGACTCAAAAAGGTATCCCCATGTTCACAGCAGCATTCGCCACGATAACCAAAAGGTGGAGAGAGCCCGGGGGTCCACCAGTGGGTGAATGGATAAACAGCATGTGGTCAGCACACAACATGGAAGTATTCAGGCACGAGACAGCAGGTGACAGCAGGGATAAACCTTTTCCACTCCACATGTGGAGCAAAAAGGCCCAACACGTAAGGGCAGCTGTGGCAGGATTCCACCTTCATGAGGCTCACAGGAAGGAGAGGCCAATTCACAGAGCCAGGACGGAGAGTGGTAGGTGCAGGGGCTGCCGCAGGGAATTCACAGAGGCAGGACGGAAGCACACACACACATTAGGAATGTATTGAATGCCACTGAATTATAAATTAAATGACAAAATTTGCATTATATATTATTGTATATTTTATTATATGTAATATTACTTTTAAAATTATATATTTATATGACTATATATCATATATAATGTGTTGTACTTAAGTAATTATACCAAAAAATTACTATATTTGCTTTTCTGTAACCTGCTGTTTTTCTCTTCCTAATATAGCATGACTGGATTTCCTCATTAAATATTTTTTGGCATTATGTAATACATTGAATGTGATATATATATACACACACATACAAGTATTTTGTATACCCACAAAGCTAGATAGAAAATATATGGTATACACACACACACACACACACACATACACATATACACATATTAAGTTTAAATGCAGTCATCCCATCCCACCAGTTCCTGCCTTTGCAGTGCATCTTACCATGACCTGCATCCTTGCGGTTGTTCACGTCTGTGAGCTCTTGTGTATCTGTTGTATCTGGACTCCATCCTCCAGCAACCACTGACCCCATGGGCTCTGCACAGACGGGCCAGAGTTGGCCTCAGGGACACAACCTCCTTAGAACTCCAGTTCACCTGCCTTCTCCTTCCAGGAATATATGTTTTATAGGAATGTTGAAAAATCAGCCCTGGTTACCCAGAGGGCAGGGAGGTCCCCACCCAGACTCCCGAGCTGTGGAGGCCTCTGGGACTTCCAGGTGGTAGCCGTCTATGTTTCAGAGCCAGCGCCATTTATATGGAGGCTCCGAAGACTCACACAGGACTCACTGTGAAGAGCAAGATACTGAGTGATGAGCGTCTAGCTTAACTTGACCCACACTTGTGTGCTGAGCCACACACAATTACTCCCATTGAACCGTTGGCTGACCTGTGCAGATGGCATGTTCACACGATACATCCTCATACACAGAACTTTGCACTTTCATTTTAAAGAAATAGGTGGTGTCCTAATTGAAGGAAACATACGTATTCCAGGAAAGCTTGAAAGTGCAGAATTGTACACAAAATAGACATTACTCAGCAGTAATTCCGCAGTCTTTCTTAACAACTGGCATATATTCTTAGAGACTTCTTTCCATAACAATATATCATGTCCCCCTAAAATTGGAATTGTGTTTTCTATCTTGTTTACAACCAGGTTTCATTAAATTTTCCTCTTTACAAAAAATAATATATATATATATCTTATGGGAAACACAGAAAAGCTAAAGAAAAAAACTAAATAAAAATGATTGTAAGGATTATTTGGGAGAATTTGTGTGGAAGGATATTTTGGAGAAAAAGTGAGTAACAAAGCAAGACTGAAGATCCTTGGTAATTAAATGCCTTCATCGGCAGGCCGGAGCAAGTTCGGGGTCCTGGAATGGATTGAGAAGAGAGGCTTTTAGAATGTGCTTAGAACCTCCCAAACCATCAAACCCCAAATATAAAAGGAAAACAGAAACAAATACAGAAATCTACCCATAACTCACACGGGCTGCCACAGGGCTTTCTACTCCAGGAGAAAAAGGAATTCAATACGTTGTCTTGAGCTAATTGGCAAATGATTTAGATCATCAACTCACAGCTTACCTCAATGCAAACTTCCTCTGGGTTAAAAAGAAAGGCCCAGAAGTCCTAGAAGTATGTGTAGGCAAAAATTTCTAGAATCTTGGGGGGCAGTGTGGAAGACTATTATAATAAGCAGAACAAATAAATAGAAAAAAATAAAAATACACATACAAAAAACAGACACATTTGGCCAAAAAAAAAAAAAAAAAAAAACGCGATTTCAGCGTTCATCAAGAAGACCATCTGTTATTCATCACCTTATCGGTGTCCCAGTGCACATGTTTTTAGATCTCGAGACTTTTCTGTTACAAGAGAAAGCTTTATCTGGCCCCAGTGGAATATTCTTCACAAGACTGAGGTATATTTGGCAGTAGTAGAATGTTCTTAATGCAGCCGAATCTGATTTTCCATTACTTCATGTGAAATGTTCACGTCTGAGTTCGCAAACGAGGTGATCTGTTTCTTCTCAATTATTTTAATTTTATTCTCCTTGTCTGAATTTGGAATCATGGTTGTGTTGAGTTCATGAAAGCAAGTGGAAATTTTTTTGTTTGTTTGTTTTTGAGAAGGAGTCTCACTCTGTCACCCAGGCTGGAGTACAGTGGCACGATCTCGGCTCACTGCAACCTCCACCTCCTGGGTTCAAGTGATTCTCCTGCCTCAGCCTCCCGAGTAGCTGGGATTACAGGCATGCACCACCACCTCCGGCTAATTTTTTTTTTTTTTTAGTAGAGATGGGGTTTTGTCATGTTTGCCCGGCTGGTCTTGAACTCCTGACCTCAGGTGATCCACCCTCCTTGGCCTCCCAAAGTGCTGGGATGACAGGCGTGAGCCATCGCGCCTGGCCAGTAAGTGGAAATTCTGTGCGCCTATCCATTCTTCTGATCACTATGTATAACACAAGCTTGTTCAGCCCACAGCCTGTGGGCCCCATGTGGCCCAGGATGGCTTTGAATACAGCTCAATGCAAATGTGTAAACTTCCTTAAAACGTGATGAGAATTTTTTGAAAATTTTTATTTAGCTCATCAGCTATCATTAGTGTTAGAGTATTTTATGTGTGGCCCAAGACAATTCTTATTCTTCCAGTGTGGCCCAGGGAAGCCAGAAGGTTGGACACCCCTGATGTGTTTGCTCTTAAGTACATGAAAATAATTTGCAGCTTAATTTTTCGTAAAGACTCAATAGGGTCCTCGTGCTTTTAAGGGGAAAATGCCATGATTGCGTCCTCCATGTCCTCCTTGTGGTCACAATATTTAATCTGGGGTGATTTTCCATCTATCCTTGTATGTGTGCTGGGGCCCACCGGCATGCAGAGAGAAAGAAAGAGAAAGGAGAAGGAAGGAAATAAAGAGACAGGAGACACCGAAGAAACCAGCCGTTTCACGGGAGACCCCGCTGTAATCTTGGATGTGGGGAGTTTTCTCTCCTTGCTTGAAAATTTCTGTGTTATTCTCCCTCCCCAGTTCCTGGATTTTGCCTGAAAGGGACTTGGATTTGCAAGAAATTCATTTACTTATTTTCTTCCTCAAAAAATGAATTTATTCTAATCGCCTTAGAAATTAAGGTTTATTTTCATTTTCCAATTTCCTATGTTGGCTGTTTAGTTAGTTGTTTTTTTTTTTTTTTCCTTTCTGTTACATGAGAAAAGTAATTAACCTCTAGGTACAGCTTTGGCCACATCTGCTGGAGTTTCATCGTGCTATTCATTTTCATTTTGTCCACATCCGCTATCACTGGTTATACACGGTTCACTTTCATTACTAAAAATTATTATTATTATTATAGGAGTGTTTCCTTCTAGCCCTAGCTCCAGTGTGTGATTGAAATTTTATTGTATCTTGGTGAATGTTGTTTGTGTGATTTCTATTTCTTGAATTAGCTGAAGTTTTCTTGGTGATTTTTTAAAAACATTTTTCAACACTGGGAAAAAATGCAGGAATTCATTCCTTTAACGAATATTTACCAAGCATTTACTGTGCACTTGTGGAAAAGTCCTCGTCAGTACCAAGCTTGATGCCATCTACTGCTTCTTTCCCTGGTTCCCCTCAGGGCAGCTTTGACAAAGACTGGGAACGTTTGGACTGTCCCATCCAGGAGGATGCTGTCTTACCCAGTGGGTGGAGGCCGAGGTGTTTCCAAAGAGAAACCGTGACAAGTAATTATTCCGGCCAGATGCCATGAGTGTTGCAGTCGACAAGTCCTGCCCCCACACCAGGAATCCTGTAGCCCTGGATAGCCTCACTCCATGTTGATCTACAGAATCTCACATAAACTGTTAGTCAAAAGAATCTTAGCACCTTCTCTGACCATGTCCATAAGTATTTGAAATGGAAGTTGAGGCTTGCTGTGGGATTCAAGGGAGTTGCCCCCTGTGTGGATTTCAGCATCGAAAATGAATGCCTGGTGTCTTCCACCTGGTGAACTCTTCATTACCCAGGCCTAGTGATTTTGTTTCATACAAGATAATCACCCTGAATGTGCGAGTTATAACTGCCCATCTCTATGTTCAAACTGGGTCATTTGCTTAATGTTATCTTTTCTAAACTCTACTCCAAAAAGGCTTTCTTTAAAAAAATCTGTCAGCATCAATATTTCTCAGTGGGAGGGGTGTGGTTGGAGCATTATATTTTGGGCATAACTGCTGTCTTTCACACTCCTGCTGACAACTGCTCTTACGTTTTTATGGCTTTTGACTTTCTTCTTTTGTTTTCTCCATTTTATACATAAAAAGTTTTATTTTAATCTACTGCAATGATTTTGATTATTTACAATCAATTTAAAATTTCTGTTTGGGGCCACATTTATGGTTCTGGAATCTGCAGGTAATGTTTCCCTTTGTAAATTCACAAATAAGGTGGTATTTATTGTAACATCCCTAGGTAAGTTAAGGAATTTTGAGTTTTGTATTACTCACACGCTTCTCTCATTATTAACTATACCTGGGATTGATTTATTTAATGTTAAGGCTCTCTTTTTTAAATGTTTTATTTGCATTAAACTGCCCAAGCACATGGCACAGTTGTTGCGTCTTATGTCTCATAGATGTACACTCTGATTTATGATCAGACATCGCATTCCTTGGTGGTTTACCTGGGACAGAGGAGGTGCCTTGGCCTGGGAGCCCCTCTGGACAGAGTCCACCCTGTCTGCACCCCTCCTGGGCGTTACTATCAGAGACAAATAAATCCAACAGAAGAAAAGTTACAAATGAACACAGAAAAATATCAGCAATGCTCCCCCCTGGTTCTTTCCTCCACCTTTCCCTTCCTTGGTCCTGTGTCTCAGTGTTGGTCATGTTACGAGATGCAGGATTGCATCCCAGCTCTCCTCCCCAGGTGCCCGGCACACCCCTCCCTGAGAGCAGCTCCCTCCCCACGGGCTCTGCACACCCCTCCCTGAGAGCAGCTCCCTCCCCAGGGGCTCTGCACACCCCGCCCTGAGAGCAGCTCCCTCCCCAGGGGCTCTGCACACCCTGGCCTGAGAGCAGCTCCCTCCCCAGGTGCTCTGAACTCCCCTCCCTGACAGCAGTTCCCCACCCCAGGGGCTCTGCACACCCTTCCCTGAGAGCAGCCTTTTCAGGTACCCTGGAAGGAGAAGTGTCCAGAGCCCAGAGTTTCCCCCCGGATTTCTTGGTAGTGCTTCCTCGCTGGAGCCTTAATGTTGGGCTGGGGAATCAGATCTGGCTGCATTTTATTATTTCCAGGAAGGATTCTCCCTCCACAGCTGGCTTGGATATGTTAATCTCCAATACTAACACCCAGGATGATTCTGGAGGCCGTCCCTGCAGAGTGAGTGGTGTTGTATCCAGCCTGGGGACTTCTATCCCAAGTGTGCTCCCCTGGGACACCAAGTTTACCCAAAGGTGCCCAACGTGGTGAGAAAGGAGACAGCATGGGACCAAGACACCCTCGTTTCCAGCTCTACCTCTTCAGGCCTCCCTGGGAAAGCACCTCCCCATGGTGTCTCCCTGTGGCCTTTTGGGTGTGACAGAAGCCACCACCTGCTCTGGCCTCCTGGTGCCTGAGGCTTCTGAGCCCCCTGCAGAGCTGCCTCCCACCGGGAGCCCCGAAGGGCCTCTCCTGTGTGCCCTCCGCCTGCTGGTGTGGAGCCCATGCACGTGGTTGATCCCATTTCCTCTACTGCTCTGTCTCCCGGACTCAACAGGAACCTGCATCTGGTCATTCCCTTTCCCCCAGGGCCAGACCCGACATCTGCACACAGTGTTTTCTGATTCATATGTAAATAACTCTTTTGTTTTGTTTTCTGAGTCTGTTTTCTGCTCTCATGACTCTGCTTCACCATGAGAAGAATCTGTGCCCGTGTTGTGGGAGCTGTTTCCTCTCATGTCTGCTGGGGACCAAGGGAAGGGCCTTGCCAGGCCCTGGCCTCCTCCCACCAGCGTCCGTCAGAAGGTGGCATTTCCAGGACCTTCCACGGTGGCTCCGCCTCTCCCGTCTATATCTGGGTGCTGGAGAACCACAGCTGCCATCTGCACCTGGGGCCAGGTGGAAGGGGGATCCGCCTCTCCCATTTATACCTGGGTGCTGGAGAACCACAGCTGCCATCTGCACCTGGGGCCAGGTGGAAGGCGGAGCCCTTTTCCCACTTCCCATTGCCTGCAGAGGTCACTGAAAGACGAGCTCCCATGAGCTGGTTCTCCATGGCCCTCACCCCGTCACCATCTGTGTTGCGGAATTCTGTGGTCACTCTGCACCTGCCGCTGTTTACGGCACCGTCAGCTCCACAGAACCTGCATTTCTATGTAGGAACTCTGCAAGGGGGCCTTGGGCCCCGGTCTCTCTGCCTGTGCCACCCTCCCTGAGATGTGGGCTCCAGGCAATGGGCCTCATGGAAGAGGGAGGCCACCTCGGCAGAGCCAGGGGAGGAGGGGAAGGTGGGCTTCTCCACCCATCTGGTCCCCTGAGGGGCTGCCTCATGGCTCAAAATGACCTCATGACGGTTCCATTTCTTCCCCAGTTGCCAGCTGGGCTGGCTGCGGAGCACACACACGTCTGCTCCCATCCCTGGTGTCCAGACCCATGTAGGCATTGAGACTCAGGAGCGCAGGGGTTTTCTGTTCACAAATTTAAAGGAATTAATGATAAAATTCCTCATTGTTTTTTAAAAATACTGTTTGTAAGTCAACTTTTCTTCAGTGCACACACTGAGCATATAAAGTCTTAGAGTCTTTAAAGCATAAAGAGCATATAAGGTCTTAGAGTCCATCATTATAACGACTTTAAATACAAGTTAAAGAAGGCAACACACCACATCCACCTCCTTTTAATTTTGCTGCTATTTGGATGTCTGTGATCCATTTCAGGGTGGGGGGAGTACTCCCAAAGTAAAATGTAGTAAAGATTTTCTTTTTCCTGGAGTAATTTATTTGAAATCATTAAAATCACCAAGTTCACAGTCGTTACCTCCTAATGGTTATCGAGCCTGATTCTGCCTCTTAGCGATTGTCATTTGGAGGGAAATCAGTCCTCCTGTCCCTTCAGCTTTACTGAAATTCAAGGTCAATGCACGCTGGCTTTATCTGAGGATAGGAGGCATTTCCAAATTGCCCCAGAGCTTAGGTTCAGAAAATTTATAGCTTAATTCATAGAAATCATTGTTAAACCACACAGTTAACGTCTTAGCCCAAAACTAAGCCTGTAGTGAAACTCCTAGCTGTGCTAATGGATAGACTTAGTAAACCTTCAGTGAGACTCTACTATGTGCCAGATACACATTATTATTATTATTATGTCTATTGTTGCCAGATGCAAGTGTTAAGGACAAACTGCCTTTGCTCTCAAAAAGGGCTACCAAGAATATCCTTAAATAAAATAAATCGGCATTTACCAAATAAGAAATAAAAGTGAAAACAAGCACATCAATTACGTCCTTGTGTCAGGGCAGCATACGAAAGACTTCTGGCCACGTATGTGAGGTTGTCAAAGATTACAAAGCATCCATGGCTCCCACCCAACCCGTGTGTGCAGGAATCCAGCCTCCCTAGTTCCCACAGGTGCTGGCTGGTTTGCAAACTGGGCAGGCAGATTGCAGGTACCACTGGCATTGCAGACACAGTGCTTAAAAGTGAGAGGCCACTCCCATGGACTTGCCCCAAGGAAGTGGTCAGAAAAGTATGAAGGGGTGTGTCTGCAGTGCTTTCTCATTGAAAAGTTAGCAAGCAAGGGCCACGCTCACTCCTGTCATCCCAGCACTTTGGGAGGCCGAGGCAGGTGGATCACCTGAGATCGGGAGTTCGAGATCAGCCTGGCCAACATGGGGAAACCCCGTCTCTACTGAAAAAACAAAAATTAGCCCGGCATGTTGGTGGGCGCCTATAATCCCAGCTACTCAGGAGGCTGAGGCAGGAGAATGGCTTGAACCCGGGAGGTGGAGTTTGCAGTGAGCCAAGATCGCGCCACTGCACTCCAGCCTGGGCGACAAGAGCAAAACCCCGTCCCCGCACCCCCCCACACACAAAAAAGTTAGCAAGCAAGCATGTGTCCAGCAACAGTGCAGCGGTCACACAGATGATGGTGCACCCACATAATCCAGTGCCATGTGGCTCTTGGCAATGGCGGAGCACCCATTCATTGATATCGGAACATGTGTCTCATACAGCAAGTAAAAAGGAAAATGATCTATGAGATTGTGCCCAAAATGTAATCGACATTTTTATGTGAAACTATCTATGTGTCTACCCACGCAAACACACACAAACCAAACATCTGAAATTTTATCCACGTGAACTATGACAGTCTTGGCTTACTTCAGAGCAGGGAAGAGGGCTCACCTGGACAGAGGGCGAACTGTGCCGCTCTCCTCTGGGGCAGGAGGGCTGGAGGGTGGAAGGAGAAAAGCCCGACTATGGAGTGAGAGGAGAGAAACGGAGGCCACTTACAGGTAGGCGCCTTCATGGTTCCCCACTGCAGAAGACAGACCAAGTCCAGAGGAAACCCTCTGAAAATACCAGCTGTGCCCTTCTGGGTGCTCCTCTGCCAACCACGCTGTCCTCAGAAATGAAGAAGGGTTGGGTGTCATCTGTCTCTGAGGGAGATAAACTCACTGCCCTGTGCTCTGTTCCCATCCCATGCTGCTGGAATTAAAATCACTATGAAGCATTAGACGCTTGGCAGGTGACAGCATCATACCACCAGCCAAGTCCCCTGCAAAGGAAATCTCCTCCCTTCTCCGCCACGCCCCATGAAGCCAGGATCCTTTATGCCCACGTGGAACGAGAGGACAGACTTGATGCATATTCTTTTCCTCCAGTGACATCTCTTGGAAATTCTCTTATCAGCACCTTTTGCTAAACATATGATGGGGGACAACCCAAAAAAATGGAGGAAGTGAACTGAGACATGAGCCCCAGCAAGGAGGATGTTGGCTGAGTCCACAGTGCCTCACAGAGGGATTTTACCTGCTACGCGAGGTGTAAAATGACTCTGTAAGTGGTCTCTGTCCTCGTGAACTCTGCAAAGCATTGGGAAGCAGAGAGCTGTCCACTCAAGTGGACACTCTGTAGCCAAAGCTGAAAACGTGTTCCCTTCTCTCTTTCCTTCCTTACCGTATCAATCTCTGGAGTCCCTGCAACCCAGCAGAGGATTTGCACTGGGATGAAATGACAGCATCAGTGTGAATGCATAAAGCCATCAAATAAGAAAATGCTAACTCTGTACCAGGGTCCACCTTCATAAGCCCACTCCCATTATGAAAGTCTTGTGGATTTTTTTGTTTGTTTTGGTTTTTTTGACGGAGTCTTGCTCTGTCTCTCAAGCTGGAGTGCAGTGGTACGATCTCAGCTCAGTGCAACCTCTGCTGCCCGGGTTCAAGCGATTCTCCTGCCTCAATCTTCTGAGTAGCTGGGATTACAGGTGTGCACCACCACACCTGGCTAATTTTTGTATTTTTAGTAGAGACAGGGTTTCACCATGTTGGCCAGGCTGGTCTCGAACCTCTGACCTGAAGTAATCCACCCACCTTGGTCTCCCAAAGTGCTGGGATTATAGGTGTGAGTTACAGTGCCCAGCCCCATTATCAAAGTCTTGGGGAGAAACTAAAACCTTTTCAAGTTAAGCTCTCAATACCAAAAGAAAAAGGTCCAAGAATAAATTCTATTATTAGTTATATATATGTTGATTAAAACCCTTTCTGAGTCCTCATTCTCTGCAGACTTCCCTGGGAGGCCCCAGGTCTGGGTGGTGGGATTCCTGGGCAGCCCCTGGGGATGCGAGTGGGTCCCTCAGGACCTCAGAGGCTGGGTTTGTACCATTCTTTAGAGCTTTGTCTCATTTTCCAAGGTGTTCTGATCTTGGCCAGGGAAGAGGGATGTCAGTTATGGAATCCCATCAGAGGCTCCAGCACTGGAAACTTATGCCGACTTTACAGATGTGGAGACTGAGTCTTGACGAGCTTTGCAGCATGGTGTCTCAGTAGCTGACCAAAGCCAGGCTCGAACTCCTGCCTTCCTGACCCCAAGGACTGGTTCTTCCAGTCCTGCAGCAGCTCATGGATGGGGTGCATAGGGTCAGAGGGGCCCACATCGGCACTCAAGGGAGACAGAGGAATGTTCAAGCCCAGGCTCTAACAGAAACCATCTTGAACCCTTGCACAGATGTACATAAGCAGGAGTCCTCGGTAACTTCCCCTATGTGCAGGATTGTGACGTTGGCGACTTTACCCAAAGAAGGACTTATTCCCATATCACTCATTCGACCAATGTGGCATTTCCCTGTTTTCCACTCACTGCCCTTGGCCAGGTCCTGAGAAATATGGAGTGGAAAGAAACGGCTGTCCTCAGATGACTCACAGGACGGTGGCCGGCTCCCAGGACGGCCACCCTGCTTCCTCTGCAAGGGAGCCCACCACCCTGTAAGCATGCATTTTTTGTTAATGTTAAGGTTTTTTCATATTCATTTCTCATGTTTCTTATGCCAAGTTAGATAACCCCGTCTTCAAAATCTTTCAAAAATACCTGGTGCTTGAGCCACAGGCATTTCCAGTGGCCTGAATGAGAGCAAGCCCAGGCGAGAAGCACCGGCCGTGGGCCAGGCGGGGTGAAGACCAGGGGGAGACATCCATAGAGGATGATGTTGATGAAAGATTTGACTTGAAGAAGACACATTGGTCCCAAACACAGGAGCTGCGAGCCATCCGGGGCTTATTTCTTTGAGATACAGGAAGGGGAAGCAGGCTCAGAGCTCCACATTTACACCCCAGCTTCAGTCCATTCCAAGTGTTTTATATGCTCAACAAATGCTCTTTGGTAATGAGAAAATTCTCCTTTAAAACAGGAGGTAAGGATTCAGAAATCATTTAACATTCAATCCAATTCAACTCAACAATGAGGAAGTGAATTTCCCCTGGCAGCTGCAATCACCATCCCTAGTGCAGAGAGGAAGCCTTTCCCCTGGTCCCCTGAAAGGCATCAAGTGGCCTCCTGCTGGTGGAGGCTTCAGAAGAGCAGCATCTGCTCGTGAGACCTGTGTTGGATCTCTCGTATTTATAGGTTGTTGTTGTTTTGTTTGTTTGTTTGTTTGAGACAGAGTCTTGCTCTGTTGCCCAGGCTGCAGCGCAATGGTGCGATATCCGCTCACTGCAACCTCCGCCTCCAGAGTTCAAGTGATTCTCCTACCTCAGCCTCCCAAGTAGCTGGGATTATAGGCACACACCACCATACCTGGCTAATTTTTGTATTTTTAGTAGAGATGGGGTTTCACCATGTTGGCCAGGCTGGTCTTGAACTCCTGACCTCATGATCCACCCGCCTCGGCCTCCCAAAGTGCTGGGATTACAGGTGTGAGCCACAGCACCCGGCCTATAGGTTGCTGTTTTAAAACTTCCAAAGAGCTTCTATGTGATCTAAAGAAATGTTGAAGGTCTCTGCGTAAAGACTGCATGTGCCAGGGCAGAGTAAGAAGAGCAAGGCTCTTGGGAAGAGAGGAATACAGGCAGCTTCAGGAACAGCTGGATCCAGACACAAAGCCACCTTCAGCCTTGGCTTCCAGCAGCACCCTGCTTTCTTCACTGCACAGGGCAGCATCATCCTCACACACAGCAGGGTGGGGCTGACTGTTCCTGCATTTGCACCTTCAGTTTTGGCTGCTGGAGCAACAACATTCACCACCAAGGCTAAACCACATTGGAAGAAAAACTCGTTGTCCAAGATTGAGTGAAAGGCTGATCCTAGGGCCATGATGCCATAGTCAGGGGCAGGAGCGCCCTATTCTGGAGCGTTGACGAGGAGCACTCACCCAATCCTAGGGCCATGATGCCATGGTCAGGGCCAGGAGCACCCTGCTCCGGAGTATTTAGGAGGGACACTCACCCGGCTTCTGCAGAGTGTGAGCTGTGGAGGAACTGCCCACAGCAGCCCCCCTGGAGGCTGCCTCCTGGAGCATCAAGCTGACCACCCTGTGTTTCTAACCTGCTGGGTCCTTGGGTTCCCCAGGAAAAAGTATGCAAGAATAGGGAGCTAAGAAAGTGTATTTTATTTTATTAAGGATCAAAAAAGTAAAGCAGTCTAGAGACATTTTCCACGAGAGGATGGCCCTGCAACCTCTGTGAGCCCTGCCCGCAGGGTCCAGGCTCCCAGTGTGACAGCAGACAACACCAAGGGTGCCCCAGCCCAGCACATGCAGCTGGATGACACTTCATGTCTGCAGTGTATGAAGACAACACCAAGGGTGCCCCAGCCCAGCACATGCAGCTGGATGACACTTCATGTCTGCAGTGTATGAAGGCAACACCAAGGGTGCCCCAGTCCAGCACATGCCGCTGGATGACACTTCATGTCTGCAGTGTACGAAGACCAGGAAGTGTCCAGAGTCACATCCAAAATGAAGGAAGTTTTATCCAAAGTGTCGCTATGGTTATGTCAAGGCGAAGGGTGTCTTAGTTTGAGCTGCAATCACTAATTACCATAGACTGGGGGCTGAAACACTAGGCATTTATTTCTCTCAGGTGTGGTGTCTGGGAAGCCCAGGATCATCACGGTGCTGACTCGGTGTCTGCTGAGGGCCCCCTTCCTGGCTTGGAGATGGCGCCTTCTCGTTGTGTCCTCAGTGGCAGAAGGGAATCATTTATCTTGTGTCTCTTATTCCAAGGTCACTAATCCTATTCGTGAGGGTTCATGACCTCATCACCTTCCAAAGGCCCCATCCACAAATAGCGTTACACTGCGATTAGGGCTTCAACAGAGGGATCTGGGGATTCACAATCATTCAGTCCATAATAGATGGAGAGAAAGAAAGGGAGGGAGGGAGGGTAGGGTGGAGGGGGCAGAGGAAGGGAGGAAGGAAGAGGGAGGAAGAGAGAGAGAGAGGGAGGAAGAGAGAGAGAGAGGAAGGAAGAGAGGGAGGGTGGGAAGGAGAGAGAAGGGAGGGATGGAGGGAGTGAGATGAATTTCCCTTTGAGAGTGATGCAGGTGCCGTCCCTGGTCCTCATCACAGAGGCTCCTGTAGAGGGGTCAGCCTGGGTGCTAAGGAGACCAGAACCCCGTGTCCCTATGCTCAGTAGAGGGCAGGGCACCGCTGGCCTGCAGTTGGGAGGTCCCCATCAACCCCAGCTTCCAGGAGACAGGGCCGGGGCACTCTCATTCACCATTGTGTCCTGAGTGCCCAGACATGATGGCACTTACTCAACATGGATGAAACGGAGAAGGACTTTCAGAGAAGCAGGAGACTCCTCTCCTGTCCCTGGCCCTGTCTCACTTTACGTGTCCCACATCTTTTCTGAAAGCCACCAGCCCACCCAGCTCCAGTCCTTCAACCTTTTCCAAACGTGTCACAAGTTCTCCAGGAATTACCTTCAAGCTTTCTTTTAATAAGCATTAATTTTGTCTTATTTTTAAATTGGCTCAGCTTGAGCACGGGTCAGAATGGAGTTTTTCATTGGCCCTCTATGAAACCTCAACAGAGAAACCTTGTAAAATGGGAAGGAGATTGTTGGAGTTAACATGTTGTGTAGGTTTTGTATAGTTGTAGAGGGAGTTAAAGTTACTAGGTACATTTAGATGTTGATAGGTTTAGTGTAGATATTATGAAATTTAGGTGTAATTGCTTAAAGAATAGAAATGATGTATACTACCTAAACCAGTAAAAAGCTCAAGAGAGCGACGTCTTAGAAGTACGGGTAGTACAAAGCCCTAAGTAAGGTTGCATAACTGAATTTAATACATTGTTAACTAAAAGAAATGCAAGTAAAGAAATTTATTAGAGAAAATATAGGAAATCTACCTCCCCAGGTGTCTACACATATGTAAAACATGCATTGTTGACAAGAGACATATCAAAAAGAACATAACATGGAAAGAATGAAAGCAAGATACAGAAAGTATGAGAAAAACACTAACCCAAGCAAGGCTGGAATCGCCCGATTATACCAGACAAATAGATATTAAATCAAACCACATTATCAAGAATAAAGAGAGCCACTGCATCACGAGAAACGAAATTATTTATCAGGGTCATAGCATAATTGTGAAACTTAGTATATTAACATAATTTCAAATGGATGCAATGGATAAAAACTCAAGGAGAAAAACACGAATACAAAATCATGATGAGAGTGTTCGACACAACTATCAATCCTAAAGTGGCTACACAGACCCAAAATTAGTAGCGAAGGATTCTTGTCAAGATAATTAATAAGTTTTCTATAATAGCTGCTTCAAATCTGTGAACCTAAGAATCAAGCATTCATGAGACATTTAGAAAAATTCCAACAATTACTAAAAAAATAAGTATTTATGGACTACATTCTCTGAACTCCACATATCGAAATTAGAAATAATGAGAAAAACAGCCCCATAAATATGGAACCATAAAAACCTATTTCTGAAGGAATCGTAAATCAAGGAAGATTACAATCAAAATTTGAAAATATTTGAAACACAATGACCACATAAATGCTGCATATTGAGACTTCTGGAGTGAATGCAGAGAATGCTTCACCTAGGAAGGGTCAGCAAACTGTCTCTGTGGAGGGGCAGGTAGTAGTGTGCTTGAGGCCTATTGCAAAGCAGGTGACTAGCAAAACTGTCTTGTGGAGGGGCAGGTAGTAGCATGCTTGAGACCTACTGCAAAGCAGGTGACTCTGGTTAACAATAATGTGTTGTATATTTCAAAATAACTAAGAGAATCAATGGATATATTAATTGGCTTTAATTAATCACTCCATGTTTTGCACATACATCCAAATACCACATGGCATTTCACAAGTGCAGATGATGATCATTTCCCATTTAAAAATATTATTACTAATATTTTTTACAAACAAAAATAAAAATATATTTGGCTTTGTGGGATAGTCTCTGTTGCATCTCCTCTTCTCTGCTGGATTGGTCAGAAAGCGAACACAGGCAGTATGAAAATGAAGAGGTGTGGCTCTGTTCCCGTAAGCTACGGTTAGCAGAAATCCCTCATTTACATGAAAATGTGTCACCTTTAACATATGTAGGAAGTAAGAAAAACTTTAAAATAAAGCTTGACTTAAAACATCAGAGAATAACAGAATAAACCTAAAGAAGCTAATGAATAGAAAATCTATAATTATGTCCTTAAATTCATAAAAACAGACACCAAGAAATAACAGAGAGGACCACTGTCTTATTCTGTTTTCTGCTGCTGTAATGAAATGCCACCGGCTGGGTAATTTATAAAGAAATGAGATTTATTTCATTCGCAGTTCTGGAGACTACAAAGTCCAGGACAATGGTGCTGGCATCTGGCAAAGGTCATCCCATGGGAGAAGGATGGAGGGCAGGAGCCAGGGCCTGAGTCCGAGCAGGAGAGGCCAGGCTCACTTTAGAAACCCCACTCTTGAGGTAACAAACCCACTCTCTCGATAATGACATTAATCTGTTTATGAGGGTGGAAGCCTGATATGGTTTGGCCGTGTCCTCACCCAAATCTCATCTTGAATTGTAGCTCCCATAATCCCCATGTGTCATGGGAGGGAGCCAGTGGGAGGTAACTAAATCATGGGGGTGGTTTTCCCCCAGGCTATTCTGACAGTACTTTCTCACGAGATCTGATGGTGGTTTTTTTTTTTTTTTTTTTTTTTTTGAGATGGAGTCTCGCTCTGTTGCCCAGGCTGGAGTGCAGTGGCACGATCTCGGCTCACTGCAACCTCTGCCTTCTGGGTTCAAGCGATTCTTCTGCCTCAGCCTCCTGCCTGGACTGGTATAGACACAAATGTGCTAACACTGAGTCTGAAAACACTTCCTTGGATCTTGGATCTAAACTCTCACTGCTTCTCTTCTGATTATAAACCATTTCACAGCCCCCGGCAGTTCAGAAGGCCCTGAGCCCAGGCGGGAACTCAGACTGAATTGCGATGTCATTCAGGCATTAAAAGCACGCATGGGCTCAGAGTGCTGCTTGCTTGACGTTTCCCGTCTGTGAAGCAATTTTATTTAAATTCTACGCAAAATAGAACCCTTTGCTCTTCTTCCCAGAGTCCTGCCCGGTGGGAAGTTCGCTGGAGGCGCAGCAGGGAGCAGCCTGGCTTTTCCTACGGGGTCATTAGAAGCCTCGCTGGGAGAATTTCCCAAATATTTTGCTGTTTGCTCAAACACACTTTTATATTTTGAATCCAGGCATTTGAGAGAGAAATCTGTAGCGTCTGAAGCATGGGTCTGTGGTTCTCAGCGGAACACACGGTCCCAAAAGGCCCTTCCCAAGATGGCCGGGGCTTCCGCCTGCCGCCCTCCCTCCCGTGGTGCTGAGCGCAGGCTGGGCGCGGCCACATCACCCTAAGGGCGTGGGTGTCGGAGTCTTGCAGGCTGGGGTCCCAGGTGAGAGATGCCAGCAGGGAGCTCTAGATGGGGAACTGGGTGAGCCTGGCTCGGTAAGGGCGTGCTCAGAACACCCCATCCCCGAACACGGTCTTGTGTGATAAAATGTCACGCAAGAAGAATCTGAAACCGCGAGAAGAGGAGGACACGGCCAGACTGCACCGAACCCCGGCACCTCTGTGGGGAAAAGCAGGTCAGGCTGAGCGGGGCCGGCGGGGACACGCGCTCCTGGGCTTCTCCAGAGTCTGCCGGGGCCGGGCCCGGGACCGAGGCTGGGACGCGCTGTGCAGTCCCACCCCTCACACCCCTCGCACGCCTGGAAACACCCTCGGGGTAACACAAGCCGGGGTTGAGTTTCTTGAAGAGAAGCTGGCTGCATCCTGGAGCCAGGGAAAGAGGAGCACAGGGGCCAAGCGGTCCAGGGCCACGGAGGAGCAGGACCCCTGGGGAAAGGCCCGGGTCTAGGCCGGGGCCAGGGGACCGTGGTGGAGACCTCAAAAATGGCAGAACACGGAAGCAGGGCGAGAAAAGTAAACGTAGTCCTTGCGGCAGTTTGAAATACACGCGGGTAAACGCTGGGTGACTCCGCCCGGATGCAGAGTGGGGGTCTGTGTCTCTCCCCACAGGCTGCAGGGACCGGGCTCTGGGTAACCAGCAGAAGGTAACAGAACGAGGCTGCTTTTCCTCCAGGCTGTTCTGGTGTCCGCGCGTGGCTTGTGCGCTGACTCCTGACTTGGAGCGCCGCGTGGCCAGAGAAATCTGGGTGCCTCCAGGCCACCATGGTGAGAGGAGAGGCCACCGCACGAACGGAAGAAGCGATGGAGACGGTCTTTACGACCTAAGAACAGAAAGAGTTTCTTATACACAATCCGAAAAGTAAAAATTGATTGATTGATTGATTGAGATGGAATCCCACTCTGTCGTCCAGGTTAGAGTGCAATGGCTTGATCTCGGCTCATTGCAACCTCCGCCTCCCGGGTTCAAGCGATTCTCCTGCCTCAGTCTCCCGAGTAGCTGGGATTATAGGCGCCCGCCACCACGACTGGCTAATTTTTATATTTTTAGTAGAGACGCAGTTTCACCGTGTTGACCAGGCTGGTCTTGAACCCCTGACCTCAGGTGATCCGCCTGCCTCGGTCTCCCAAAGTGCTGGGATTACAGGCGTGAGCCACCGTGCTGGGCCAAAAATCAATTTTAAAACGACCACATGAAAAATAAATCTCCTGTATCACAGAGCATGTTCTGAGGAAAATGAAAGCCACAGATCCAGAAGATATTTGTGACACATATGAAAAACAAAAACTCATATTCAAAACATACACAGCATTGCTATGAATCATTAAGAAAAATGATTTCGTCTCCTCTACAGGAGCCTGAGTGAAGGACAAGGACAGATCATTATAAACCAGGGAGCTTGAAGAGCTAGTTAACAAGCACAGAAAATATGTTCCCCCACACTGTTAATCAAGAAAATTAAAACTGTAATGAGATGCCGCATTGTATCCATGGGATTTCTAAAAGTACAAAGTTCCACAATACCCGTTGTTGACGGAGCAGGGAAACCGCAGGAGCCTGCAGGAGATGAGATTGTAAATGTGCAAGGACATTTTGGAGAAGAGTTGACAACATCTCACTCACGTGTATCAAGCCAAGTGCCGAAAGAAGAATTGGTTGTCATAAAGAAAACAGAAACCCAGAATGGATGTAGCTTATCCCTCCGATGGAAAGTTACAAAGAAGTTAAAATGAATGGGCTGCATCTCTGTGTAACAATTTGGATCAATATCAAAGACACATTTGTTAAAGCAAGGTGTACAATGAAACCTGCAACATGATTTGTCTGTTTAGTAAAACACAGAAAATCTAACTCCGCCTGGCTTACGAACACACACATGTGTTAGAATTTGGGAAAAGGAAAGGGAGGGAGGCCGGCTACACGTGAACTTTTGGAAAATCTCAGAGGGTCTGGGGCACCAGGTGGAGACCATGGCAGCCTTCAGGGATATGAGGTGAGTCCTTCAACTACATTTGCAAGGTTTTATTTCTTAGGAAAATATTTAAAGCAAATATTTCAAAAATGACTAAATCTGAGTGGTAGGGAGTCACTGTTTTATAGATTATTCACTTTTCCCTGGGCTTGGAATGTTTCGTTTTTTCAAAGGTCAAATGAGATGCTGCCTTTCCACCAGATAAAGATTTACCTGGTGCCTCTGTTACTGCCCAGCAGCGCCTGAGGACGTGGGGGCTGCTGCCCAACACGGAGGCTGGGCTGGCCTGGTCCGTGGGCTCAGGTTCTCATCCTCTGCACGTGCATCTGCCTCCTGTGCGTCTCTGTGCACACGCTTGTATCTGGATGCAGAGTCCTGTGCCCAGTGTACATGCACAGATGTGCGCATCTGGGTAGATGTGCTGGTTCGCTGTGTGAGCATGCACAGACCCTTGTTCACCGTGTGTGCGCATCCGTGCAGTGTGGACATCTGGACAGGACCCCGTGCTCCCTGTCTCTGCCGCTGAGATGTTTCCTAGCTGTGCACAGAATTCACTCTCCTACTGGAGGGCTCTGACTGAAAGCTCTGATGCGGCAGGCCTTCTCTTGACACTTGGTTAAGGTATGCCTCTCACATCTGTATGCCCACATCTGCTCTCCTCCCTCCCTCCTTCTCAGCACTTAGCCCTCTGATATGGTTTGCTGGCGTCCCCACCCAAATCTCATCTTGAATTGTAGTTCCCATAAATCCCCACGTATTGTTCGAGGTACCCCGTGGGAGATAATTGAATCATGGGGGTGGTTACCCAGATGCTGCGGTTCTCGTGTTAGTGAGTTCTCGTGAGATCTGATGGTTTTATAAGGGGCTTTTCCCCCTTTTTCTCGGCACTTCTCCTCGCTGCCGCCACATGAAGAAGGATGTGTTTGCTTCCCCTTCTGCCATGATTGGAAGTTTCCTGAGACCCCTCCAGCCATGCTGAACTGTGAGTCAATCAAACGTCTTTCCTCCATAAATTACCCAGTCTCGGGTATGTCTTTATTAGCAGTGTGAGAATGGACTCACACATTCTCCTAATGTAGTATACATGTGTTTGCTCATTTGTCACCATCTCTCCATCTCTAGTCTCTAGAATATGAGATCTGTAAGAACAGGGACACCTAGAATACGAGATCTGTAAGAATAGGGACATTGTCTGTATCAGGTGTTCATGGCTCAATCCCAGCACCTGGAACAGCATGAGGCACCTGGCAGGTGCCTGACAAACATTTGCAGGGAATATGTGTGCATGAACCTGCATGGGCAGGAACAGGTGCATAGGAACATGGATTGTGGACGTGCATGTATGTGCGTGCATATGTATACCACTATGTATACGTAGCTTATTGTGTCTTTGCAGTGAGGTTTTCAAACCTCTGTCTTGTTTCCAGGATTTCCTGAAGACACCATCCCAGTCAAGTGGTCTGCCTCATACTGAGCCACCAGACCACCCAGCATGTCCTCACCCGCGTGGACAGATGACAGGGGGCTCTGAGCATGCCCCAGTGCACCTTACGCACCTGTGAAGGTTGGGAGCCTGAGTGCAGCTCCTGTGGCACTGCCCGTGGCCAGGGAGATGCCTCCTCAGTGCTCCTGACCCTCGGTGGAGGACCGGCCAGCGTGTGTGCCGACAGTGTGTCCACACAGGTGTGCTGCGCCCAATGGGCAAGTCGGAAACAAAGGAAAATGCTCTCTGAAGGAAAAGGCAAAGCAATTTGGATTTCTGCGAGAAAATGAGACTGCATGTGGCACTGTAAATACCCTTGCTGCTGAACTTCTCGCTCCCCCCAGATACACCCTTCATATTGACATGTCTAGAACCTTAAACTGAACCAAGTTGAAAAGTGAGATTAATTAGGGCTGAGTTAACAGTTAACACATACAATGAAATATTGAATAAGGCTTACTGAGCAAACAAGAATATACAGAAGTGGAGGAGACAAAGAGGATATTAAAAATGCAGACAGTGATGAGGCAGATAGCTGGGACAAATAATGAAAAATAGTAAAGGAGATAAGGCAGATATTGGAGGAGCAAAGAGTCTCTGAAATAGATATCGGTATTGAAAGATGCTAAACACGCTTCTAAAGAGACTTTCTAGCCGACACAGGGAGCTCACTGATGGATGAAGTAGAAACATTTTTAAATGGAATCAAACAGGGCAAAGCGGGAGAAGAAAAAGAAGTAGGTAAACCAGTAAATTAACTTTTCTCGTGTGTGCTGTGTACTATTTGTGAGTGAGCAATGAACGCTGTGGCTCCCTGGAGGGGCTGTGGTGGGAAGTTTCACTGCGATCAAGTAGAGGTGGTGCCTTTGGACCTCTTCTCCTGAACCTGCAGGGAGAGGCGCAGAATATTCACAAGGTGAAGATGCAACAATTCAAATGAGTGTCCAGGTTTTCAGGGTGGTTGCTAAACCCCAAAAGACCGATAGCTTCGGGCAAAAGACTGCAGAAAGAACAGCTTTACATTTTTACGGAAGCAATGGGAAATATACCCTGTAAGCCTTGAAAAATTCCCGAAGGGATTCCTGTTCATTCCTGTGGATCCTAATGGGCCAGCATAGACCTGTTAGTCAAAAGAGGATTTATCTACATTGCACACTCATTCAGGCAGGCAGGGAAGTCAACGCCACTTTCAGATGTTTGTAGAGCATGAACTCTGTCCGTTCCCACGCCCTCCAAAGGCTGTTACACAGGGATGCCCGCTTCTGGACAGAAGTGATTCATGCAGGATGAGAACCATGACCACAGAAGATTTTGTGCATGTGGTTATTTCAATATTTAATTTAAGTGTATGCATGAGTGTTCAGGATAAAAATGCTTGGAGTGTACTTTAATTCCATTAAAAATGTATACATTATTCATGTCCTATGGACTGTCCACTGTGTGACTCAGAGAGCTGAGGGGGTAGAAATATATTCATTCATTCACTGTCTCCTTAAATATTTACTGAGCACTTGTTGCCCGTTGAATAAGTTGTTGTTTTAGGTTCCTCATGGTAGCTGTGCAGGAAGGGTGCAGAGTGGCCTGAGGGGCTATTGGGAAAGTCCACCTTGGGTTGAGGGATCTGGGAGGGCTCCCTGGAGGAGGTGGTGTTGGACTACAGCGATGGGAACATAAAGGAGCTGGAGAGAGATTTGGGTGCCAGTCAGCACAAGAAAGGCCCACACAGAGAAAGTCAGGCTGGGGCGAGAGTGAGCCCCCCAAGCTGAGAGCTCAGCCTGAGAGCATGGGAAGCCATCCAGGAGCTGAGAAGCCAGGCTGGGTCTGACCCCACTGATTCAGATCCCTCTGTGGCCTTGGGAAAGGCCAGAGACAGGGCCGCAGGTGGGGGCTTTGGTGAAGGGAGCGAGAGTGTGAGCCAGTGCCACGTAGAGAGGACAGACGCAGGGATGCCAGCCAGGGTGCCGTCGGCCAAGAAAGGAAGGTCCAGCAGGCACAGTGTCAGAGGAGGGTCCCAGAGGAAGGCACTGGGAACAGTCCTGGCTTCTTACCTCGGCCACTAGGCAGATGGTGATGCTCTGAGGGTGCTGAGGCCACAGGGTGGGAGGGAGGAGGAGGAGCCTCCCTCTGCAAGCTCTGTTACAGGGGGTATGCATCAGTGGCTCCCCACCGCCCTCTGGAGGAAGCCCGGAGCACAGAGCACTTGAGGCTCCTGGGTGTCCCTGGTCCGTGCTCCACTAAGTAGCTCCCCTGTTCCCCACCTAATCTCCATGGCTGGGCGTTCTGAATCCACGCTTCCAGCTCCCAGACGGTTCACAGGCTCCCGGCCCAGGCCATGTGTGCGTGCTGTCTCCCTGTGGGAGCAGGCTCCTGTCCTAGCCCCACACACCTGCTCATAGCTCTGCCCTCAGGTCAAAGGCCCCTTCCAGGGTCAGGGTCCCAACGGGGAACCCCAATTCTGGGCTCTGCAAATGCCTCCCAGCGTTACCCCTCAAAATGTCACTGTCTGAGGGTCTTGACCTCTGGCTTGTGAGCTCACAGAGGGCAGCGCCCTTGCACTCACCTTCCTGTTGACCTGCAGGGCCAAGCATTGTGCCGGACATAGGGGTGAACAGGCACATGCTTCCCACCTGTCAGGGAGATTCTTGCTCTCCTGGCTCTGCCCCACCCCTGGGGGCTCTGCCAGCTCCTCGGAACCCTGAGTCCAGGGCAGGGCACGGTCTCAGGTCTTAGCCTGATGACGTAGTACAGGCTCTAGGCCCCAGGAGGGACATGGCACTTCCTGCATCGACTCTGTCACTGGTCTCCCCAGGGCTTCCCTCCCCAAGCCTCAGGGGCTGTGGGGTACCCCATCCTCTCCACAGAACACGTGCACAGGCCTCCAGGAGATGGTTAATAGAACGGAGAGGTTTTAGGGAAGTTTATTTCTATAGCTCTTACATTTATTTATATTTGTCAAATATGTTCCCATCACTAAAATCTCTTTGGAGCATTTTCAAAAATTAAAGAATTGCGTCTAAAAATACTGACCTTGATGTTCAGTGTGCATGGGTAACTCTCCAGGCCCAGCAACATCAAGAGGCAGATGTGACAGCAGCCGTGGCTGCTCAGGGGGCCGGGAATGCGGGAAAGGGGTGGCTGTCAAACAGTCTTGACAAGCGGCTGAATGTGACTGTGTCGGATTTGGAAAGTGCAGCCTGAGAATTTGAAATCCATTCACTCCCCACCCCCAAGCGTTTTTTCATGTATTCGTTCATTCAGCACACCTTGAATGAACACTCTTTTATTTGCTACCTATTCAGGGACACTACACAGGCCCGTGACCATCACACGCCCAGCCTGGCCCCGTGCTGTGCCTGAGCAGAGGACTGTTGGCAGATGGTTCACTTCCACCCTCCATGATAAATGCTGAGAAAAGAAAGATCAAGGGCTTCAGAGCCCACTGGAGGGAATTCATACAGCCGGGGGCCCAGGAAGCTGCTAAGGAAACTGCCTGGACGGCAGGGTGGCCGTGACCACGGGGACGGGGAGAAGGACCCAGAGGAGCTGAGGAATCCTTGCTGTGGAAGGCACCATATGAGCTGCGTGAAGTCAGAGTCAAAAGCAAACCCGTCTCTTCTTGACAGTGGGACCCAGGAGGCAGGACAACCTGCCAGAGAGGCTGAAGGAGGTTCCCTCAGGCTGGATCCTCGACAAGAAAAAGGAAGAGGGTCTGCCTGATTCCCTCGCCAACAACAGCTGGTCTTCCAGAAGTCAGCAATCTCTTGTCCCTTGTCTTCAAAAGCCCATGGAGCTGGAGGCAGGCAGCTGAGGTCAGGAAGAGAAGGTGCGACCCAGTCCAGGAAGGCTGAGTCCTCGTGAACCCTCAGGGCTGGGGTGAGGGGC
The DNA here is from genome assembly GCF_000001405.40 of Homo sapiens. Taxonomy (NCBI): domain Eukaryota; kingdom Metazoa; phylum Chordata; class Mammalia; order Primates; family Hominidae; genus Homo; species Homo sapiens. The sequence goes on along the minus strand of NC_000022.11, from coordinate 49,045,011 downwards.
CAGTGCCCGGCCCAGACACCAGCACAGCCCTGCAGTGGGAGTTGATCTCAGCAGATGGACGGGCACCGCCCAGAGGATGGACTGGTCAGCACCGCCCGGAGGATGGACCGCTCAGCACCGCAGTGGCCGCTTGGCCTAATTTGCCACCTGAAGAGCCGCCAGGTCTCCAGTGACTCTAGCACCATGGACAGGAGAGGAGCAGGGTGACCTGAGGGTACAGAGAAGGTTCTGCTGTAATCAAGTTCCCCTGCCTGGTCAGAGGGCTCAGAGGTTTGAGAGGGGAGGGATTTCCTTTTAAAGCTGCAGGATCCCTGTGGGTCCAGAAAGAAACACAGCCATGGCGGGCATCCCATGGAGGGTAGTGACCAGGAGCAGGACAAAGGTGGAAGGTGGGTGGAGCCCCCACATGGGCCTCAGGTCACATTGGACATTTCCTCAGCAAGTGTCACCTGGGTGGTGACGAATGGGGGAGGAGAACAGATGGAATGCGGAGAGTAGCAGTGTGAAGCTGCACCGCCTGGTCACCACTCGAGATACACAGGGTTTGCTCTGCCTGAGGAGCACACGCTGGCTGCAGACACGGGGCAACCACGTGAGAAAGGTCAGACCCAGGCCCACTCGCCTTCCATATGCATCTTAGGGACGGGGATGCCTGCGCCAGCAGCAGCCTTGCTGCCCCTGCGTCCCCCAGTGCACCTGCCAGGGCAAAGCCAACAGGCAGTGCCAAGGACCTGAGGGAGGAGGTGGGCTTGACTTCGAGGCAGGGCACAGACACCAGACCACGTGGAGGAGCAGCTGAAACAGGGCCGGTGGCAGCAGCCGCCTGTGAGACGTGCCAGCCGGTGAGCCTTGTTAGTTTACCATTGCCACGGCAAGACCCAGAAGTTACTGCCACTTCCCACGGTAAAATCCCAATGACCCTGAGGTTTCTGCTCCTTTTCTAGAAATTTCTGCATAAACCAACCCCTAATTAGCATGTAGTTAAAAGTGGGTGTAATTATGATGCGGAGCTGCCTCTGAGCTGCTCTTCTGTGCACTCTGCTGTCCTGGGGCAGCCCCTCTGCTGCCGCTGCAATAAAAGCTGCTAACAGCACCTGCTCACCTTTGAATTCTTTCCTGGGCAAAACCAGTAACAGACCTGGGCTAAGCCCCCGTTTTCGGGTCTGCCTGCCCCACATCAGACCTGCCCAGGGTTGCCCCACCACTCCTAAAGGAAGACAGGAAGGGGAGGGGGCAGCCGCCCAGCCGACCCTTCAGATTGCCCAGCCCCAGCTCCTCTGCATCCTGGAACCCTTGTTCACACGGAGGGGCAGGGCAAGCCCCAGCGCCTGGGTGCCCACAGGAACCTGGGGGAGGGCTCCTGAGAGGTGGCCGGGCAGATCTGGTGGCCGCCGGCAGATGCTTGGGTTTGGGCCCCTCACCCCACTGCCTGGTCAGGCCCCTGCTCACCTGAAAGCACAGGAACGGACGTCAGGCTTTGAGTGTGGAAGCCACGTGTGCGGGGACCTGGAGTGGGAAGCAGCTCCCAGGCCTGGCGTGAGGCCCCTGGCATCTCCCACAGAGGGGAGCAGAGGGAGCCTCTTCTGGGATGCCACTAGCTTTGCTTCTGGGCCCTGTGCTCTTGTGTGAGTCTGTGTGATTCTGCCAGATTCCGCCTTGCTCTGCTTTGGTCTCCCTGTTGCCTCAGCCACGCTGGCCTCTGGAATCCAGCCCTCCGGCAGCCGCCCTTCCGCCTGACATCTTTCTTACCCTCGCTTTTATCTCCACCCAATGACTGTTCTTTCCCTCCTGGAAGTTACCACCAGGACACCTCCAAGCCCAGCCCCTCTCTGGACATCATTCCGCTTTCCATCATTCCTGCTGTGGTCTGAAGGTTTCTGTCCCCTCAAAACGTGTCTGTCGAATCCTCGCCCCCAAGGTGATGGTATTAGGAGGTGGGGCCTCTGGGGGGTGATGAGGCCAGGGGACAGAGCCCTCATGAAAAGGATTAGTGCCCTTAAGGAAGAGGCCCAGAGAGCTCCCTTGCCCCTTTCTCTGCAGGAGGACACGCACAGCACCCGCTTCTATGGGGCACTGGCCTCAGCCAACGCTGACTTTGCTGGCACCTTGACTTCCTGGCCTCCAGGACCGTGAGAAATGAATTTCCATGGTTTATGTGATATGAATTTCCAGGGTATTTTGTTACAGCAGCCCAGGCAGACTGAAACCATTCCCATGCTAGCTGGAGAATCAGAAGGTGCGTTTGCTCCTTAAAAGCACCCTCAGTGGCACCAACTTCACACCCATGGCACCGGTTCTCATCACTCTCTCAGAGGCCACCCTCACCTCTGCAGGCCTTGAATCGTTAAGAGAATTTAGCCACAAACCAGGCAAGAATCTTTCCTACTTTTCAGCAGCCAGAAGGCTTTGTAGTTAATATTCTTCTTTAAAATTCAGTAATTATGTATCTAGTTGCTACCAACCACAGAGAAAAATATGCATATTAAAAAGTCCATAATTACATAATAAGCACTTCCTGTCAATGGCGTTCTGCTGCCATGCACTCTCTGCCCCCTTTATCTTAAAAAAAATTCAAAAACAATTACCACAAACACTAACATAATCAAGCACCACGTGTCAGGTTAATGCAAAATTACGCGTTTGCTTTGAGCACATAGATAAGTTCTAATTCAGACACCATCAGTCCTAACCACAACCACATGGGATCTGTGGCCCTGCCGGGATGGCTGGGGAGCTGGAAGCACCTCGGAAAGGCTGAATGGCAAAGGACTCAGGAGGACACCTGAGGAATCACCTGCTTGGATTCGAAGCTGCCAGAGTGTCAGGTAATTTGGGGAAGGTCTGTAGCCTCCCTGAGCCTCAGTGTCTTCACAGGGAAGATACAGTATTTACTTCATAGAGGTTGCTGTGGAAACTATATGCCCAGATTTCACCACAAAAACAAGCAAAATAAAAGAAATGGGGTGAAAAACGGTGCCTCGTCCCAGTTCTCTTATCGCTGCGTGGTCACATGACCCAGTCCTTGCCAGGGGGTGCCAATGAAAGTGCCTCTGTGAACCCTGAGAAAGGCCCTTTCGTGGGAACACGTTTGGCCAGCCCTTACCTTTGCCCTTTTCTGTCCTCTGTGGAGAATGCAGATGCAATGCTGGAGGTGCAGCTGTTGTCTTGTGTCTTTGAGGCAGCCTAGGAATGACTGAGCAGAAAGATTTGAGGAGGCCATGTCCCTGATGGCACCCTAGAGCCAATGGGCCACCCTGGACTGCTTCGCCCTTGACCATCTTAGTAGGTGAGAAAAACAACCTGACGCTGTGCTTCTCTCTCGGGAATTGCTCTTACTTGCATGTTAATGGAAGGTTGGTAGCCAGTGGGTGTGCAAGGTAGAAGCTGTTGTTATTTTGAGGTAGGAATAATGTCATCTTGAGTCTTTAACATCCTAAGCCTGTGACCTAGGCATGGGGAGAAAATCAAGTCAGGCTGGGCGTTCTGGGCTTCTCTCTGCTGAAAAGCCCTAGGGAGTCGCCCTGCTTCCACTGACTGTGGACAGAAACCCCACTGCTGGCTCCAGAGATGTCTCCTGATTCCTAGCTCAGAGCGTATTCCTTCTCCCTGACCAAAACTTCCGAGGAGCCCACTGGCTCTGGGGTGAGATTTGCGTCTGGTTTTGAAGACGCTGAGCATCAGCTCCTTTCCACGCCTTGCCTGCGTGTTTCCCTGCACAGGTGGGCTGGCCGCTCCTCCCGCCCATCCTCGCCAGGGCTGATCTGCCTGGAGTCGGGGGCAGTGCTCAGATGGCGGCTCTTTCTGTCTTCTGCGTGTGTCCTCCCCTGAGTGTTCCTCCAGTGTCATGTTGTCTCTCAGAGTCCTGCTCAGGACACCAAGTGCCTCCTTGCAGCCCTCTGGGCAGCAGAACTGGGCCAGGGCTCGGCTCTGGGTACTGGAAGTTTCCACCTGTCCACCATTCCTCCCAGCATGCAACACAAGCATGACCGTGTTTCACGTCTGCCATGGCATAGGAATGGTGGAGGATCTCCTAGTCGGACTTGATCCAGGGAGCACCCTGGGGAAGGGACCTAGGAGCACAGAGGGCAGGACGACTTCCACCGGCCTTCAGCCTCCGCTCCTTCAGGTGCCCAGTGAGCAGCCTTAGGCAGCAGAGCACCTGCGAGGGCTTCTCCATCTGCCCCCAGCCCTCCCCTGACACCCACAACTTTCACTGTTGATTGGACCTCAATCCAATGCCCCACTCAAAGGACCTCCCCCAGGACCCTTTCTCCCACAGCACCTCATGCATCCTCTTTCTGGACTTGGCTCTATTTTTTTAATGACCATCGGTCACCCCGACTTGCGTTTATTGGCTCCATTTGTTCAATACCTCAGTCCACTACCAGAACAGGAGCCACTCAGGCAGGCATTTGGTCTGTCCCTGAGCTTGGAAGGTCACATGGCTCTCAGTTGTTTCCCAAAGAATATTTGTGAATAAGTGGAGAAATGAATGAACGTGTGAACAAATGAATGAATGTATAAAAAGTACTTCCTCCAACTTGCTGGTCTATCTCTACTGTCTTTCCCTGGGCCTTGCTCCCCAGCTCTCCTGGGTCCACAGCTCCCCTTCAGCTCCCCGTGCCTCTGTAGAATATTCCACTGCCCAGGGCTCCGCTGTCTCCACCTGCCAAGGCGTGTGTGAGGCTTTCCGGTGGCGCTGGGGATGCTGGCTCTGTACCCACTCCCAGCACACTGTCTCTCTCTCCCTCTGCACCGGGTGACTTTAAACTCCAAGTCCCTCACCGTGACCAGCACTTGGCCAGGATTCCTGTTGAACGGATTGATGAGTCAATGATAAACAGATGAAAAAAATTACAATAGAATTTCAATAATGGCTTAAAATCCAAGAATAGAATGATTTTGTAAAGAATCCCACAGCCAAGTTCTGTGTATGGGAATTGAAGCCAGGGCCAGAAAAGTAATAAATAAACAAACAAATCTGTCTTTTGATTCCTCTGCCCTGGAGGCAGCTTGCTAAGTCCCTGGACCCTGCAGTCTTCTGCTAATTTGCTTCCCTAAAGCTGCCAAGCATGGCCTGGCTGCAGCGACATGGCCGGGTCTGCTGTCACCTGGGTACCAGAGACGCAGGCTCCAGAAGCTGTTTCCCTCCCCAAAGCAAATGTGGCCCACGCCACTCTAACTGTGCCAGCACCAGGAGCAGAGGTTGCTTCCAGCTATGGACTTCGGCCTCTCACTAAGGGGAAGACTGGCTCCTGGAATGCAGTGCCTGCCGGAATAGTCTACATGGTTTTGCACTGGAGTGGCTGTGACAATGGTGGGTTTGGGAGAGAAACCTTGTACCGCCCTGTACAGCTCTTGCCCTCAACACACCAAGAGCAGCTATCTTCTAGCCTGGAGACTTTTCAAAGATTCATTGTGTGTGTGCGTGTGTGTGTGTGTGCACATGCACCACTGAATAAAAATGAATCTTTATGGAATTCAGATTAAGAAGCTCTCCTAGGCCACAACTGCCCTTTTGTCTGGTCTGTAGAGCTGAGGGTTGGTATCCTGAGGATGCCAGGACCGCAAGTGAAGATGATAAAGGAAGCAGGAGAGGAGGAGGAGCTGGGTGTGAGAAAGTGGAGACCCGTGGGAGGGACAATGGAGAGTCCCAAATGGGACCAGGGTCTGGAGAGCAGCGGGGAGCCCCCATGGCCACCATCAGTAGAGAAATACAGAGAGCAACCAGCACCTCTGTAGGTGGGATGAATAGGTCTTAAATTCCACAGGGGCCTCCAATCAAAGCCCCAGGTCTGCTGGCTGGATCAGCGAGATCACAGAGTGAGGCTGAGCTCCCCCAGGGGCAAAGCGTGCAGGTGACACCTCCATTGCTGGCCTGATGACTACAGAGGGGCCTCTGCGACATGGCGCTGGGCTGAGGAGTCCAGGTGGCTGCAGGGCTCAGGGGTGGGACCACACACCTCAGCTCTCTCATCTCCTTCCAAACAGTCTCAGGTTTGGGGTCCTCCACATCCTCACCAGGTGTCAAATTCTTGTTAACATCGCAGCCACCATGCGGCGATCACGGCGCGTTTTCATCCTGCCGATCGCCTGTGAGTCCAGCAACGGCCCATTTTATTTTTCAGTCAGAAACCTGAGAGGCGAGCGCTGAGTCACTTTTCCAAAGTCATCGAGTGGCTCAGGTGCGGGGCCAGAACTAAAACCAGGGCTCTAGCCAGTCCCTCCGGCTCCGCCTTCCAGCCAGTGTCCAGGGAAAGCAAGAGCAACATGTGGAGAAATTGCAGTGACACACACGTAAAGCAAAACATGATCAGATTAAAGAAATGCAATTCCCAAATAAAGATTCTCCGCAAAGTGACGCAAGGAGAGAAAACCAAACGGCATGGTCTCACTCCTAAGTGGGAGTGGAGCAATGAGAACACATGGACACAGGGAGCGGAACGTCACACACCGGGGCCTGTCCGGAGGCGGGGGGCTGGGGGAGAGCATTAGGACAAATATCTAATGTAAATGACGGGTTGATGGGTGCAGCAAACCAACGTGGCACATGTATACCTATGTAACAAACCTGCACGTTCTGCACGTGTACCTCAGAACTTAAAGTATAATAATAAAAAATAAAAAGAAGAAAGAAAGGGAAATTAAATAAGAAAAAAAAAAGCAACTCCGGTACATTATAAGAAAACACCTTAAAACATCCTCCAGACAGTCCAGTGCCCTTGCTTTCTCTCGTGTCCGACCTCACATGCTAATTTTGGTGCCTTACATGTCACAGAAGCGGTCATAATCAGCCTCATCACTGTGGGGCCTGGTGGGGCAGAGACAGAGGGCCCTTCTCATCTTTGGGAGATGCTGAAAGGCCAGTGCCCACCGGCCCTAACATTTCATGTCCACCCCCGTTTTCCTGTAGAAAGACAGAGGAAACGGGACAGCGGCCTTCAGGGTCAGCATTTGGGAGCTGCCTGGCGGCAGGCGAGGACCCGAGGCATTAGCGGCATCCTCAGCTCCTGGGCCTGCTGAGCTCTGACCCACCCTTGGGTGGCTCAGAGGTGGCCGGTTCACTTCGAGAAGCCCAGAGAACAGATTCTTCCTGAATGAGTCTCAGAGAACTACCAGCATCCTGGCAGCTTCCCTGCAGCTGGAAGTGGAGGCGGGAGGAGACCTGGGGCCAGGAGTCTCTGCAAAGTGTTTGCCTTCTTCAGTCCTGATAGAGGAAAGTTCAGATGTGATTGTGGTTGGAGGAGGTCCTGTCACACCACACGTGTTGGCTCTGGGCTCTCCTGGCCATTCCGGAGACATCCAGGGTACTTCGGGGCTTGCCCTTTGGCCTTCAGAGAGCTGCCTGGGAAGTGCTCACCTTGCGCACAGCTGCGGCCTCTCCCGCTGCAGGATTCCCCTCCTCCCGCTCCCCAATCCTTCCCACCCAGAACCCCTCTTCTCCCTCTCCCCGCCCCGTCCCACCCCCTGGCCCCTCCCGCTCCCAGCATCCTCTCTCCCACCCTCTGGCCCCTCCCACTCCCAGCATCCTCTCTCCCACCCTCTGACCCCTCCCACTCCCAGCATCCTCACTCCCAGCATCCTCTCTCCCACCCTCTGGCCCCTCCCACTCCCAGCATCCTCTCTCCCACCCTCTGGCCCCTCCCACTCCCAGCATCCTCACTCCCAGCATCCTCTCTCCCACCCTCTGGCCCCTCCCACTCCCAGCATCCTCTCTCCCACCCTCTGGCCCCTCCCACTCCCAGCATCCTCACTCCCAGCATCCTCTCTCCCACCCTCTGGCCCCTCCCACTCCCAGCATCCTCTCTCCCACCCCATCCTTCCTTGCTCCAGTCTTGCAAACCTTTTTTTGCATCATTTCTTTTGTGATGACTCAAGTTTTTGTTGTGTTGATACTTTTTATTTCTTGTCTTTAATATTATTTCTTATTTTCCTGTTACATATTTATTTTTTATACTATTCCAGTTTTCTTTGGGTCTTTTCTTGGTATAACGGTTGTACCTCCCACAGCTGATCTCCTCTGGATACTCACGTTCTGTGTCTATAGCTCATACACACACACACACACACACACACGTATCTGACCTTTATTTTTTGGTATTGATTTCCGTGACGGAACAATGTCTGTGGAGTCCGTGTTGGGTCCGAGGAGAGACGGAGCGTGCCTTTATCTCCCACTTCTGCTTCGCTTCTTGCTTTTGTCAAAATAGCCTGGGATTGTGGAGGCATTGTTTACTTTTCAAAAGGGCCATTCTCTAGACTGTGGAAAATCAGTCCCTTCCAGCCAGGGCCGATAGCTTTATACACAAACAGCTACGCCTCTTGCAAGAACCCGAGGGCATTTATTTAGCTTGATTGCATACAGGTGTCTGGCAGGAGGAAGGTGTATTGAATTTTTAACTGTCAGTTAAAATAGAGAGTATTGAACATTCTATTTTGGTAGCCTTTCTGAGCAAGGTCAATACCATGTTATTTCAGTCTGGAGCTGAAGGTTGGTGACGTCTGTCACCTGTCACCCCCGAACTGATATTCGTAATCCAGGCAATTCTCTGTCTGGCAGGAGAGCACAGGAAACGCGTCCCCTTGGCCTCCCTGATAGTGGGAGCCATAGGAGAGAGGCCCTGGGCGGGCGGGGAAATCAGAGAGACTCCGGACCATATCGATGGGGTCTGTGCCCTGGTCCCGGAGCCTGCCAGACAAAGCTCTCCAACCCTGGGGCCTCGCCGGCAGCAGGCGCCTCCGCCTGGTTACTGTCCAGCAGGGGTACCATGGCCAGCAGGCCTGTGAGGCAGGCAGGACTGCAGGGGAGGGCTGGAATTCAGGCCATCAGGAAACTCCACGGGTCTCAGTTCCCTTGTTTGTGACGTGGCAACCTTGATGGGACACCCCGTACATCAAAGGTCTGGCCTTTGCCACTCAGCCTGCACACGCCGGGCCTGGCTGCAGCTTCAGGAAGGCTTCAAGGAGGAGATGGGTCCGAGCCTGAGCCTGGCCCTGTGTGAGGACTGGGACGGAGCCCCCCAGAGTGCAGAGACCCTTAGCCCAGGAAGGCTGGCGGCCTGAGGGGGCTCCATGCTGGCCCGTGGGGATGCGTGTGAAGGTCACACTTATGTGGGGCAGCCGAGGGGAGGGGACAGAATTTGCATAGACTAAAATCCAGGAAGGACAGGCAGGAATGTCACACACGGAGGTGGCATTTTAGCCTGGAGACAAGGGCTACCCCTAAAGGTCTCTGAGCTGCAGACCGAGCGATGACAGTGGCCCTGTGCCCACAGTGAGACTCTCCCAGGATCCCGCAAGAAAGCGTCCTCTCTGTGAGGTCACTGCCTCCCACCCGTACCCAGGAGCCAGGCCCCCAAGCAGCAGTCCCCAAAGAGTGGCCTCTATGTCACGTTGCTCCCCAGCAAGCCTCACCCAGGAAGCCAGGAGGAGGCCTTCGAGGGAGCTGGGCGGACAGACCGCCAGGACTGTTGGCTCCATCCTCCCTGCAGGCGGCCTTCGCAATATCTGACGTTAGAAGTCACTGTCCAGGTAGAACCACCTAGGAGAGGGCGTGGCATCCACTCAGGAGCAGGGAAAGGCCATGGGGCAGCGGGCTGCTGAGGAGGGCAGGCGTGGGGAGGAGAAGACCCTGATCTGGCCACCCCAGGCCCCCTGTGACTAGGAAGGAGTTGAACTAGGGTCCTGCCTGCTGGGACACAGCCCTTGTGCCCGCCAGAAGGTGAGTCCCATAGCTGGGTCCATACCAGGAGCCTCCCAGGGGCCGGGACTTCTTCTGGAAGATTGGGAGAAGTGAACCTTTTGATTAGTCATGGAGGTGTGGGGGGCCGAGTGGGGTGCTGATCTCGGCACCCCAGCGTCTGTCTGTACCATTTCCATCCAAGTTGCCCGCTGCCTCTAAACCCGACGTCTTCAAGCCTGACTCAGGGCCCTGCCGCCTGCCACCCTAATCCTCCGGGTTCTTCCACGGCAGGTGAACATCACCCACATCCCCCAACCCCGATGTCCGAGTCACAAATCCTGGGACATCGACTCCTCCCCTCCCGAGCTTGCTCTGGATCTGGAGGGGATGGCCCTGAACTGGAGAAGGGCCTGCCATGCTCTCCCCATCCTGTTCCTCTATGCACAGAGTGTTTTCACTCTTCAGGTGCCTTGGCCAAAAGCAAGGCCTATCTCAGGACTGTCCAGCAACCCCTGAGGTCTGCAGGTCCCACACGCCTCTGAGCTGCCAGCGTCTGCCTGGGGCCAGGTCACCATGGCCTGCCTGAGAGGGACCCAGGAGGGAGAGATTGGCCGGGTTCCCTGCTCACCCTGTGGGCCTCAGAAACTCCAGAGCCCCAAGTCAGACAGTCTCCTGGGAGCACGCTGAATTGGGGCTTGTAATTGTTTTTTTTTTTTTTTTTTTTTTTTTTTTTTTTTTTTTTTGAGACTCGCTCTATTGCCCAGGCTGGAGTGCAGTGGCCCAATCTTGGCTCACTACAACCTCTGCCTCCCAGGTTCAAGTGGTTCTCCTGCCTCAGCCTCCTGAGTAGCTGGGACTACAGGTGCATGTCACATGCACAGCTGAGTTTTGTATTTTTAGTAGAGATGGGGTTTCACCATGTTGGCCAGGATGGTCTCGATCTCTTGACCTCACGATCTGCCTTCCTTTGCCTCCCAAAGTGCTAGGATTACAGGCATGAGCCACCGCACCAGGCCATAGTTGTTTTCATTGTGATTTAAATGAAACTTCAAGCTCTTAATCCCATAGTCCTGTAACAGGATATCTGCGGTGAGGATGCTGCTCTCTGCCCCCTGCAAACTCTAGAACACCGTGAGGCCCCCACCTGCTTCCATGTGAGAGGAGCTGGAGGTGGAGGACGTCAACTGAGAAACGTCCCATTTTAGGATTTTATGCACATTTTGAAGTTAAGTACAGAATTGAGCTGAATGACAGCCAGACAGGGAAGCCACTCCTGGGCAGAAGGAAGCTGCAGACTGGAAATGGAGAACATTCCAGAAACTGGCAAGGCTGCCCTGGAGCAGGGCTGGGGGCATCTCACTCATGAATCTCACACCCACTACAGAAAGAAGTACCTCATGGAGCCACCAGCACTGAGGGCCCTAGGGCAAGGGTTGGGGACGGAAGGACTCCACCTGGCACGGTGGACTCAGAACAACGGCGTCTCAAGTAGGGTGTGTGCAGCTTGGAGCTGGAGCTCTTCCATGCCACCACTGACCTGGAGCTGGGCAGCTGCTGTCATGTGCAGCCTCACGATGCCTGTGTAACGCGGAGGCAGGAAGCATCACTCCTGTCTTTAGGAGCAAAGGAAGGAGCTCAGGGTGGGCACACGACCCACCCAGCATCGCAGAGCCCATGAGTGTCCTCTGAGACTGAAGATTTCAAAACTGGCCACGATGTCTCTGGGTCGGTGGTGGGCTCCTGTCTGTGAGATCCAGCATCTTACACTTCACACCCCAAGTTTCAGGGGAGAAGGGCGGAAAGAGATGCCTCTCTTAGGGAAACCAGGGAGAGAGGGGTGAAGACGGCCACCATCACCAAGTGTACTGCGTGTCCACCTATCCACATACGTCGACTAATTACCCCCAACTAAATACGGATTATTGCGTCTGTTCCACAGAAGATAAAACTAAGGACCAAAGAGGCTCCCCAAAGTCCCACGGCCCCCCAGAGGGTGCGGGCCGGGTGGGAATTTAAACTGGTCTTTCTGTCTCCAGGGCTGGAGCCAGGCTCTGAAGCTGCCTTGCCCCCTCCAACCTTGTTCCTTTTGGGAGTTGGTCTCCCTCCAAGCACGCTGATCTCTCCCCTCCTTTCAGGAGGCCAGTCCTACCAGCCCCCCGCACACAGCGGACTCGGTGCTGCCAGACCGCAGCACACAGACTCCCCAGAAATGTCTTTCCCAGGCCCAGATACTTGATTTCACCACGTGGCCCTCAGCGGAGGCTGCGTTCCTGCTCAGCCTCTGCCTTTTGGCTGCAGGGCAGCCTGGCGAGCGTGGTCTCCACCAAGCACTTCCCTGTACCTCAGCAGCCGACAGTGGCATTTGGGGACCTTGTTTCTGGGGAGCCTGTGGCAATGCGTCTCTCCTGTCTCAGGGACACACCAGCCGTCTTCCTCTGAGGCCCCTGGGGCAGGTCACACCGCTCAGTGGGTCCGCCCGGCAATGGCAAGTCTGTGTCCTCTGCCGGCCCGGGGTGTCTGATGTCCGGGAGAGGACTTGGGAGAAGAGTCTTTTGTTAGCAAAAGGTCACAGGGACGCTCACCTTTGCAGTGCACCAAGAAGACAAAGGCTGTCCTCGGCATCCGGAGCATCCGTATAATTCATGCCCACAGCAGGGATTGAGCCTTCTGAAAAATGCAAACTCACGGCTCCAAACTGCTGGCTGAGGATCATGGGATGAGGAGGCAGGGAGAGTTTACTGAGATTCCGGGCATTTTCTAAACTCCCTGCTCTGCAGTGCTGTGGGGGGACGCAGGATTCTCCTGCTCTGCTGGCAGGGGTGGCCCAGCTGTGCGTACCAGGAGCCCGGCAGCCTGCTCCATCTGCCTGCTCACTTGCTACGGGGCGTCCCCGGCCTCCCTGCCCCTGCTAACACGCTGCTGGTGGTCCCAGCACCCTCCGGCCTGGACTCACTTCCCTCCATGCCCGGCTCTCCAGGGGGCTCCTACGCACCCTCCCTGGCTCAGGTCCAGGGCAGAGACCCCAGTGAAGTCTCCAAGGTGGCCCTGCTTTCCCTCCTCCTTCAGAACTGCTCCCACCCGCCTGCAGGCCCCAGGCATCTTCTCCCATGGAGGCTACTGCTCTGCTCCACACCCACCCCGGCTCCCATATGCAAGCCCAGGGAAGCATCTGCCTAGGGATCAAGCTGAATCCACTGCCTATGTGTGGCATGGAGGCCCATGTGCCCACCCCTCTGATGGGCACTGCCAAGGGGTCCATGGAGAAGAGGCAGAGTCCCTGTCCAGGGCCCTAAGCCTTCATTGAGGGAAGAGGCCCCCGAGGCATCAGGCATCAAGGCAGCAGGCAGACCTACCCCCTCGGATGGCTGCATGGACACCAGGGCAGGGGGTGACTGGGGCCTCGAGGGCTGGAGCAGGGAAGGCTTCATGGAGGAGGGGGTATTTGGATACACCTTGGTGAATGGGGAAGAGTTGATGGGGAGAAAGGTAGAGGGAAGACAGGGAGGAAGGAAAAGTGGAGGGCATGACGGTGGGAAGGGCTGGGCATCCATGCTGACAGCTGGAGGGGGAAGGAGAAACATGGCTTTAGAATTGGGTGAGGGGCACCCTGACCCCACTCATCCCCCAGATGGCCACCCCTCTGGGGCTTCTGAGTCCAAGGGAATGTGTCTGTTTAATATTAATAGACATTTTCCATTTATTTCCAAAGAAAGGCTGCAAATCTAATTGTCACCATCAATGTCAGGAGCTCTTGTTGCCTTGTATTTCCCCTGACAATTATTTTAAGCATTGCCAATCAAATATGTGAAAGACAGCAAGTCAATCAGACACATAATTATTCATAAAAATGAGTTTGAACTTCTATCAACAGTTCCTCTTCTTTAAATTGCCTATTTACACCCCTCATTAATTTTGCATTTTGCTGTTAGAACGTGTCCTGTTTGTTTCTGTGCATGCCTTGCCTATGGTGGACATTTGACTTTGGGGTTTCTGAACTTGCTCCCGGGCCCTTCCTTCAGCAAGAGCCAGACCAGCCTCACTTTCAACACCTGTGAAGTTGTGGGGTGCTCGGACCTTGATTGCCTGTCTACCGCCTGTGATGACTGTATTCCCTGGGGTGTGTGTGACATTCATACACACCCATGTGCACACACATACATGTATGTGCACACACCAAAGGCATTGAATGCCTTGATGTCTAGGATGTGAATTTCAGAGAGCCTGGGCCAGCATTTCCGGGAAGGGTTGGCATCTGTGAAGATCACAGTTACAAACACACTTGAGAGGTCTCTTCTCAGCTGGCTTCTGAATTTTCATCTTCTCATGCTTTTAGTAACGGCACAGAGTAAGCATATTACACTAGCAAAGTGTGACTCTTAGGATGACTGGATATAAAACGACCAAAAAGAAACCATTTTTTTTTCTACACTAGCAGCAAACAGTTAGACATGGAACTGGATAATAATCTCCCATTCAAAAATGGCAGCATAAGCCATACACACTGCAGGGAACTAAATGAAAAAGGCACAGATCTCATAAGAAGAAAAATATGAAATGGTGCTGATAGCCTAAGAGAAAGACCTGAATGAATAGAAAGAAATTTGGGATTACTAGGAAAACTTGACACTATAAAAATATGATTTCTCTTCAGTATTTTATTACTTAATCTAACTATGAAAAGAAAGCAATCCCAAATAGAATCGGAGCGGAGTTTTCTTTGATATGGTACAGATAATGTTAAAATTCACCTAAAGGAACAGCCAGCTCTTTATCTGAAAATATTTTTTTAAAGAGCTAACAGTGAGGGGGCACTCACCTTATTAGATAAAAAGCTCAATACAGAGCAGCTTTGGCCCAGGGATCAATGACTAGATGCCTAGAACAAGTCATAGAAATATCTAGCTGGGTGTGGTGGCTCACACCTCTAGCACTTTGGGAGGCCAAGGCAGGAGGATCACTTGAGCCCAGGAGTTTCAGACCAGCCTGGGCAACATGGAGAAACCCTGTCTCCACAAAAAGTTAAATTATCCGGGTGTGGTGGTGTGTACCTGTAGTCCCAGCTACTCAGGAGGCTGAGGTGAGAGGATCTCTTGAGCCTGGGAGGTTGAGGCTACAGTGAGCCATCACTGCACCACACTGCTCCAGCCTGAGAGACAAAGCAAGACCCCGTCTAAGAGAAAATCTAGGTCCATTTTGTTATGGAAACTCAGCTAATTGTGGTTTCTTAATCTTATGGAGAAAGGATAATTTATTTTATTGGTATTAACCTAACTGACCACTTGGAATTAAAAAAATGTTTCTTCCTCATGCCTAATTATAATGAGTTCAACGCTGATCAACTATCTATGAAAGTAAAACATTAAAAAGTCTTAGAAGAAAATGTAGATGGAGCTCAGCCTTGGCAACTTGGTGAAATCCTGTCTCCACGAAGAAACAAAAAAGAATTAGCTGGGTGCAGTAGTGCATGTCTATGTTCCCAGCTACACAGAAGGCTGAGGCAGGAAGATCCCTTGAACCTAGGAGTTCCAGGCTAAATCGAGTATGATCACACCACTGCTCCCCAGCCTGGGTGATAAAGCAAGACTCACAGGACTCTGTCTCAAAAAAAAAAAGAAAGAAAGAAAGAAAGAAAAGAAAGAAAATTTAGAATAACATTTGTCTAGCTTTTGAGCAAGGAGTTTTCTTATAACAGAAAATCAAGAAGCCATATTTGAGAATATAGATACATTTGACTACACAAAGCTTTAAAAAAGAGTGGGTGTCAAAAATTCTATAAACATTCTAAAAATTCTAAAACATAACATACACCTGTAATGTATCTTTTTATTTTATATATTTATATATAATTTATATATATTTTCCTCTTTTAACCACGAAAAGTTAGTCTTCATAATGGACAAGGCATTTCTACCATTGAACACGAAACATCCTAACACCAAAATATACAATTAACAAAGGGTTTGAATAGGTAATTTAAAGAAGAGGAAATGTTAATATATATTCAAACTCATGTTTCTTTTATTAACAATTATATTACAGATGGCCTTACTATCTTTCATCTGTTTGGCTGGTAACACAAAGAACTGTCGGAAGGCAACTGCAGGGTGACAGGCGCTCCTGACTTGGTGAAATTTAGAATTGCAACAGCTTTCTTTGGAAGTCATCTGGCAATCCCTATTTAAAATACACTTTAGTCATAATTCTTGCATTTCAAAGTTGCTCCTTCCTCCACAAGAGCCCGCGGTGAGGATGTCTGCAGGCGTCTCTGGACAGTCTCTGCCTCGTCCAGCTCAGGAGCCATGAGCCACGTGTGGTTACTGAACACCTGATGTGTAGCTGGTGCAGAGTTTTTATTTCACTTCATTTCAATGATTTTAAACAGCCACATGTCATGTGTGGCCACTGCATAGGATAGTGCAGCTCTGAGCAGTCGTGAAACCGATGACCTGGATCTCAGCTAATGCTGCAGGAGGAGAAGAAGAAAGAGAAAGAAAAAGAAAAGAAAGAAAACAAGTTCCTCCACAGCTGCCAGCTGGCTGAGCTTCAATCTTTATGGACCAAGTGTGTACTGAGTAACATGTCTGAAAACATAAAGCCTGTGCCCTCAGGGAGCTTACATTCTAGCAGGGGGGACTCAGGCATGAAAATGGAAGGTCTTATAAAGAGGAAGCAGTGAGCCAGGTGCCTGCCCCCCAGACAGCCCGGGTCACACAGGGTTTTGCGAGGAGACCCCACACCGCACAGGCTTGAGGCTTCCCTTCTCACCCCTGCTCTGTCCTCTGTGAAGTTCCAGATCTGCACCTTCCAGGGCAGAGGATGGTGCCTCCCACTGAGCACATAAAAAGTGTTTTGACCACCACAAGCCCTGCCTCGATGGGTCCCAACCCAGACAGTGCTGGGACACAGAGTCCATCCAGCCAGGAGCAGACCCAGCACTGACCGGGGGAGCTGCTGCCGCTTTCCAGAAATTTGCTTCCCTGACAGCACGGCCTTGTCCACTCTGGCTCTGCCAACTCTGCCCCTCTGGACTCCTCCAGGCAGGGTGAGGACATGAGAGGTGGGCGGCAGGGTGGGGATATGTGAGGTAGGGTGAGGGTGGGCAGCAGGGTGAGGACACGTGAGGTAGGGCGAGTGTAGACACACCCCTCCTGCTCCTTCTCCTGCTCAGCTGGTGTGCAGAGCACAAAGGCCTCCATCCCTTCCCTCCCCTTCCTCCCTCCTTCCTTCTGTACCTCCATGAATTGAGGGGAAGGAGACCGTGGCACAGCACTGGGTTTGACTCTGGGCTCCATGACCCATCAAGGGTTCTAGCAGCTGGGGCAATAGGAAAGTTATTGATTCATTTCTGCTTCTGTAAAACAGTAGAGGACCTGTCTTATAGGGTGACCAGGAGGTTTAAATAGTAGAAGTGGAAACCACGTGAACAGGGCCAGCGGCAGCAGGTGCTCAGTCACTATCAGTGGCTGTCAGGATGACATCTCTGCGTCTCTGGTTCTTCATCTAGAACACGGGATCGGTGATAACCCTCTTACGTGGGATTGCTCTGCATGTTAGAGGAGGGTGTGCACTGGTGGCTGCAGCAGGACCGTGGTCAATACGCATGCTCTCGTCACCCTCGGAGCCATCTTGCCTTTGTGGTCTGTGTCTTCCACCAAACACACAGTGCAGAGGAGGCGAGGGGAGCCCTGGATGGATGGGGGAGGCGCAGATGTGCGGCCACTGTTCCAGGACATTGGCCACTGGAGTGCCAGGGCAGAGGAAGAGGAGACACCCGGCAGGACAGTGAAGGGGCAGTGAGGAGGGAGGAGCAGTCCTGAGGAAGCAAGGGGGCAAGAGTGCAGTGAGACGACGAGATGGTGTCCAGCAGCCAGTGAGGTCAGGGGATGCAGGGGATGGGAGACGGGGCCCGGAGCTTGGCTCTCTGTCGCCCAGGATGGCCAGTGGCTGGAGAGTTTTACTGGCAAGGTGGATGCAGAGACCAGGCTGTGAGGGCTGCCGAGGAGTGGAAGCAAGCAGCACAGGGTGGCTTTCCAGGCCCTGGGGAAGTGGGGAAGGGAGGAGGAGAGAGGGAGGCAGATGGCAGAGTGTCTGTCGCCTAAAGAGCAGTGCAGAGAATGAGAGCAGTGCTGTCTTACTCTGATTTGGTTTTGAAGTGTTTGCGTGTTACATTTCACATTGTTTGATGTCTCTCAAAATGGGGAGAGCTTTGAGGCAGGACATTTGATTGACATTCACAGGCAGGGCCCATAGAGCCTGGGGGCTCAGACCCAAATGTCTGCAACTCATGTCTGTGTGCAGGAGACGTCTGGGCTGGTGCCCAGAACCATCTGCCCTTGTCTCCAGCCCCGCAAGCCACTGGCAAGCCAGGTCGACCTCTAGGGGGTGGAAGCACGCCACTGCTGGGGCACTCAGCAGACATTTGCCCTGGAGATGAGGTGGGTGCATGAGGTGCCCTGTGGACCTCACAGAGTCCTCCCCTTCAGGCAGGCTGAGCTGCTCCTGCAAGAGGCAAACCTGCAGTCAGGAGGATGTGCCCCATGGGGTGGCTTCCCAGGAAACTTCAGTGACATGAGAGTCTTCTTAGCTGTGAAAACAGATACAGGGCATCCAGTGTGCTTCCCAAGAACCACCACCAGAAATCACCACCCAGGAGAAGAGCTGCCCCAGTCCTTGCTGCCCTCAGAGAACCCCCAACCGAGCTGCAGTTGGCTCCTCAGTCAGATGGGAGCGGGCAGCAGCTGCCTGGCTGGTCTTCAGTTCGCAGCTCAAGCAGGGGCAGCGGGGAAGCTGCAGTCTCGCTATCTGGGGTTGCTTCTCCCCTGGACTTGCCTGAGCCTTCTACTGCTGAGCACTTTGCAGCCTGTAAACCAGCAGCCAATGGGTGCTGGGAATTTAAAAGGTAAATAAAATGTGTATTTCTTACACTTGCTGGGGAAAAAAAATCAATATCACACATGTACTGATGCTAGACAGGCAGCGAGATGCTGAGGAGTGCCGCGGGCCTGCGTGCCAGGCGCAGGCATTCCGAATACATTAGAGAAAGAACCTTCGCTTCCTTTATGGTCACACTTTTATTGAAGACTTCCTTCTGTGCCAGAGCAACACCATCCTCGCTTAGCAACACAGATCAAGTCCTCATCCTTCACAACATATGTAAATAACAGTGAAAGTAGCATTAAGGGAACCCTTTCCAGTCAGGAGGAAGAGGGCGGGCACCTGCCGCTAATGCCAGGGTGGGGGAACATAGCCCCTGCCAGAGACTTCCCTGTCGCGGGCCCCGCCCAGGTGACCCCCCAGGGACCCCACCCAGCTGACCCCATCCAGGGGCTCCACTCAGGTGTCCCTGCATGTGTCCCGTCCCAGGCACCCCCCTCAGGTGTCCTCCCCAGGTATTCCCACCTGCCCCAGGTACCCCCCCGAAGGTGTTCCGCCCCAGGTATCCCCACTCAGGTGTCCCTGCCCAGGTGTCCCACCCACCCCAGGCAGGTATCCCCTAGAGGTGTCCCCACCCAAGTATCCCCTCCCAGCTCCCCCGCACCATGGCCCTGCCTCCAGTGGCCCCACTCAGGTAGGTGTCCTTATCCCATGGGTCCCCCCCCCCAAGATGAGCTCCACTGTTTTCCAGGGTGGAGCTTTATCCCAGAAGGATGGGAGCCGGGGGCGTTCCCGCCTCAGCCCCACCAGGCTCCC